>NC_000007.14:110006779-110631779 GCF_000001405.40 Homo sapiens
TAAGAGAGATATGAAAAATTAATAAAAAATTAAATGACATCTATCATGTGAGTATAAGAAGTGATATAAATTTTTAAAAGATACTCATCAGAAATATTCCTGAAATGTAAATGTGGGACTCTTTGGACCTAAGGAGCCATTCAACATGGCTTCCTAGGTTAACCTGCCTGCCCTTAAAGGAAGCTCTTCTAGAAAGAGTTGTCAAGTTCTTGGCAGAAGAGCCAATTCTTTTGAGTGAATGTCATGTTTCACTGAAGTAAAAGAATGAAGACAGAATCAAACAATTTGAGGTGTGGACTACAGTTTACTCTAATTAGACATTCAACTAGAGCCCTAAAAAAATAGTAAGATCTCAGTTAATAACTTTTAAATAGAATTAAAAGACTGGGCCTAAGGTAGTCACACTTTACAGCGTGTTTCCAAATATATCATGAAATTCATTCTTTCTGTTTAATAATTAATTAAAACTTTAAAATTCTCTTTGTAAGGGTTTTATTGGGTGATGTGGCTACCCCACAGGAAATATTTATTCAGAGAATTTAATGGCATAAAATTAATTTCCATTGAGATGATTTTGATTTAAAATTTAAGAACATCTGAACAGTCAGTTTCTGAAAAGGTGTTAAAGGCCTTCTGGCTATTTCTTTCATCAACTTTTGTTTTGCTTTTACTATCCTACCTCATATCTAGCAGGCATGCTATAACATGTCCAGGAGTTTGAAAAATAAATGATTGCAGCTGTCAGTGCCTCCTGCCTGAATTCTTGAGTTTCTTTATGAATATTCGGGCTGTGCTGTGTTTTCCCCTAGCAAGTTATTTCTAAAGGAAGCAAGATGGCTCTTTCATGTAAATTAATTTCTACAGCTGTAACTTTTACGCTTAGCCTGGGGCTCCTCTTTGTGACTTTGCATTTATTTAAAACATAGCATTTTGAAAATTATAATGTATTTTTATTGAGTTTAAGCTTTATTGGAGACAGCTTGAAATTATTATTGGAACTGCATTTTAAAAACAACTAATAAACATGTCCCTCTTAAATAATTGCTTGGTGACTATTTTGCCACTCTGGCGTTCTTCATTTGAACAGGCTGCTTCCAGTGCAGCCTTCATCTGTTTGCCCTTGTCGTCACCACTCTTCATTCTCTTTGGTGGCTTTTTTTTTTTTTTTTTTAAATTAGCCTAAGGAAACTTTTGTTCAACCACATGATTTAGCCCAAATTAAGAAATGTTATATTTTGAGTATTTTGGAAATTCAGGCTTTCCAAAATTGCTGTGATCATCCAAGATACTTTATTCTAGCAAACTAAATGTTTTTAAACTATAATTAAAAGAGTTTTTTCTGAGTTATCAAAGTATTCTCAAAATTTTGTCAATGATAGTCACTTTGAAAACTATACTCTGGTTTTACTAAGTGTAGAAACTGCTACAGTCACTTTATACTCTTTATCTTCTTGATATAATCTTAAATTCTACCTAAAGACATAAAACCTTGTTTTATTATTGATTTTCTGAATTCTGTTTGGAAGGAATATTTTTTTCCAGACAGTCAAATAATAGGTATCATTGGGAAATCTCTTTTTAGAAATAATATTCATCAACACTGCAGAAATGACAATTTTAAAGACAGTGATTATTCTTTTTACTAAAGTAAACAATTATTTTTTGACATCCCACATATGATAAAAACTTTACTAATAACCGGAAAAAATAGATTATATAGGAGTACGGTGTTTAAAAAAGAATACTTACTTTTAGGCAGTTTACATCACATCATGAAGTATAACTTGGCATCTAGAAGTCAGAGGGAACAACGTTCAAATCCTAAGTCCTCTACTTATGAGCTGTGTGACACTGGATGACTTCACTAACATCTCTCTACTTCAGTTTTACCGTAGAAAAAATGGGAGCTATAACAGTACCTACCTGAAAAGGCTGTGGAGAAGATGAAATGACAAAGTGAGTGTAAAGTGGCTGGGGTAGCACCTGGCAGAGTAAGAAAGCTGCTACAAATAGTTGTGGAATTACTACCTACATTGACTTTTTTCAGGTAGTGTTTTCAAATCTATGTAAACATACACCAGATGTATTTACACAATAGTTTTCTATTGAGTATTCTGCACACGTACAACTCTCTGTATGAATTTATTAATGGTAAACAAATACAAGGTCTGACTTTTGGAAAACTCAACTCTGGAGAAAAAGTCTTATTAACATTGAACATTTGGGTAGGTATAATTGATATTTCACTGTTAACTGGCAAATCCCCTATTACTTACAGATTCAAGCATTTCTGTTTACATTAGTTGACCACTTGGATTTGTTATTCTGTATAGTGCATATTTATGTTCTTTATGTCTATAGTGCTACTTGTTTTCCCCACCTTTTTAAAAGTTTAACAACGTGTACAAGCTTTTTGTATTACACATATAATAACCCTCTGTTTTTTTGTGGTGTGAGCAATGTCCCACAAATCTGTGATTAGCCTACTGACTTTGCTAATATTTTTTTGTTTTTATTTTTATTTTTTGCTTCACAGAAGTTCCTAGTTAGAAGTTCCTAGCTATAGGGTGAACTATGTATTAATATCCTTGTCTATAAAACAAAGATGATAATAACTACCTTATGACAATTGTTATAAGAATTCATAAGTAAAGCACTTTTTAAAAACAAATCATTGACACGTCGTAAGTGCTATTATGACTTCCTAAAGAACATGTCATCAAATGTGTTTTTCTTTTCCCATATACATTTTAAATTTTCAGTTCTCAACCCAGAATTATCTTATCTCTATATTGTATATCAAATTTTCTATATGTTCTTGCAAAATTGCTCATGTCTGTTTATTTTATATTGTATAGGACTTTTTAATTCTCTGATACCAGTATTTTTCAAGATTTCTAGTTGTTCTAACACTCTTTATGAAATAATCCCTTATTTTCTCACTCAGTTGAAATGCTTGCCTTGTCATTAGTACATTTGTCATAGTACAAATGTCATTAGTACATTTGTATGTTCTGGGATATATTTCTGAATTTTCCTTTCTGTATCTCTAATCCTAAGCCAATACTCTCTTGGTTTCATTACAGTGGCTTTACAGTTTTTTGTGGTATTTTCTGTTGTTATATCTCTCTTCTCTATTGTTTATTTGAGAAGCTTTCTTAGTTATTTTTGGCAATTTATAATTTTATAAAATTTGCATATAATTTGCCCCATTTTATTTCAAAATCTAATTTGTATCCTAATTGAAATGGCATGATATATGTATATTTATTTTTTAAATGTTTTCTGAATTTTACCAGGTTCATTTTCATCATTTATTGATATAATCATATGTTATTTACATCTTTCAATCTGGTGATATAATGGGTTATGTAGGTTTCCTGATACACTCTTGTGTAACTGAACAGTCTAGCCTGAAAATACAATTTAAAACTTTTTTTCTTTTTTCCCTAGTCTCAAGATGTAACCTTGAAGCTTAGAGCAGAAACCTTTTTCTTTTTTTCCCTAGTCTTAAAATAAAGCTTTGAAATGTACTTTCTTTGAAACACCATTTCCCTCCCTTTCTCAACATACACTCCCTGACACTATGAACATTTGTCTAACTGTGTGCTTCTATGTAATTATGTGCTTACTTAGAACTTCCAGGAACTAATCTTGAAACAGACCAAGCACAGAGAGCCAGCTACAGAAGTCCAGAGATTACCTCAAGGCAGTTAGTCAACAACCCAGCCATTGTTCAGATGACAGCATCCTACACTCCAGGTGGACCATGGCTCGAGATAACCACCAGAACAAGACACTCCCACCTTGTACTCAGCAGCCTGCCTGCCTGCCTCCCATTGCAAGTTCCCCTTTTTAAGCTCTCCTCCCCAGCCTAAAGTGTGAAGTGGTTGCTTTGGAAGAGAATCTGGCCGTTTCTCGATTACTAGTGTTGGTTAATAAAGTCACTTTCTTTCTACTACACCTCACTGTTGTCACTGGACTCTGTAAGTGGTGAGTAGCCAGACCTGCATTTGGTTACAATATTTATTATTAATATTTATTTTCCTGTATTATGATAGACATATGTATCTTGGAAACCATCTACTTTAAAGAGATTTAGGTTGCCATATAGTTAATAAATATTTAACTATTAATATTCAATAGTCACATAGACATCATAAAATAGTCCTACTTTCTGTTGGTAAAAAAGGCTCCAAATGTATCCAGATAATCAATTTTATTCATTGTATTATGCAACTTCTTTATCTTCTCACTTATGTTTGTCTCTAGCAGTCACGTCCAAATGTGAAAGAAATATATTGAAGTCTCCTAGGATAATTGTAGTTTCATCAAGTCCTTGCATTTCTAATAGGTTTTGTCCTGTTATTTTCCTGCTAAATTGTGTGTGGCTTGCAGAATTTCGATGTATATATATATATTGCTATCTTGTATCATAATCTAGTGCTTTCTGGAATTCTGTTTAGTTCTACTAACTTTGAAAACTACCTTCTCTGGTAGTAATACATCAACTCCCACTTTCTTTCTATATGAATGTTTCTGGAAACTCTTTGTTAACTTGTTTTCAACCTCAGTCTATAGCACTTTGCCTTAAATATGTTTCACATAAACAGCTTATAGTTATTTTTCTTTGTCTTTATTAACCCATTGTGTCTTTTATATTTTTTTAGTAATCTGAAAGTTCATCTAGCTGTAGTCTGGATGCAGTGATGACCCACAGTCAGTGAGTTCAAAGTGCTGAAACTTTCTTGGCACATGGTAGGAAGAAGGGAAAAACATTCATATGTGTGTGTATACACACACATACGCATGCATATATATACACATACCCACGTCCCAACCATCTATATCTCTAAAAACTCAGCCAGAAAACATTGGACAATGGAGAATTTTTCATTTTAAAAAAGTCTTGTATTTGTACAAATACAGTATTTTACAGAATCATTAAGTCTATCAAATAATCCTGTAATAAGGGAAGAAACAAGTGTGCATCAGATAATTGAAATAAATCAGCCTGAATATTATCATAAATACTTGAAGGGTAACTAGAGATATTCTTTTTTTATTGACATTGATTTTCCTCTTTAGCCTCATATATATGTTGTGTATATCTATCTATCTCTATATATACAATCTATTTTTAATTTTGTTTTATTATTCTTGACCGAAGGAACCTCACTCCTAGTTCTGTCTTAACACGCTGTATAATATTTTATTGACCTCATTTTTGTTACCAATTTTTGCTTATTTCATCTATTTTATTTCATACGCCTTAATGTGCCTTAAAGTGTTGAGAGAAAACAGGAACTGATGCATAAACCTTTGCATATATATTTATATACATGAAAAGACATGACAGTTTGATAGAGAATTCAACTGGATTTTTCATGTATCCTTCCATAAAAATATATTTAATGAAAGATAGAAATTTTAATTGAAAATGGAATATAAGAATCAAGAGTATCTTCAAAAGGTGGTTACCAGGGAAGGGTGAAAATGCTACATCTAAATCTGAGATAATAACTTAATAACTGGGACAAGATACAATGCAGTGTGGATTATTTAATAATAGAATCAATCTGGTGGTTCTGACTGAATTTCATTTATATCTGGATTCTATTATATTTAGTTTTAAATTGTATTTTAGAAGCATAGAAAAGACATTTTTAAGAAACCCCCTATTACATATTAAATAATACATATAATCACCTATTTCAGAAGTTTTCAATCTTTATATGCACACATATACACATGTACACACATACATCGCTAGAGAGAGAGAGTTTAAATTGCCTAGTAAAATTTCTACTATAGCTTTGAAAATTGCTCTCGTTAAAGGAAAAAAATTTGTATAAGAAGAGACAAATTCACTAGACCCTTCCTCAGAAACGTGAATTCAGTAGATTGGCTGTTGGAGCCCAGGAATCCACATTTTAAGAACTCTGATAATTTGGATGCAGTTTAGTGCAACTATACTTTGATAAATATCATATTGTTTCAATCACCCGATGAGCTCAGTTTCATTTTTTTTCTAATACTAGATATTTGTTTTTAGCTCTGTAGTAGAGATAAAAATAGTGTAAATGTCTCATCCTGTGAAGATGAAACAAGAAACAATGTATTTAATTAGTATAATAGCAAGCACATAGTATGTGTTCACTACGTGTTAACTTCTGTTTTAATCAATCATTTTCGATTATGGCAATGTTAACATTACACTGTCATTATCTAGTTAGGCACTTGTTCCCCTTTGAACTATAATTGCCCTGAGTGACGAGAATGCTTCTTTTCTGCATATGTACCTCTAGAATCTGGCTTAATGTCCGACATGTTATGTGTTCTCAGTTTATTTGTGTTAAATAAATTAACAAACTGAAGTGTACACACAGAAAAACCACTGAAGCTAGCAGGAGAGCTCAGAGTACGCTAGAAGGTAAAAGAGTTATAAAAGACCCAGGTGATAATTTGACATAACAATGTGAGAAGATGAACATCCTGAGGCAATGCTTCCCTCGTCTCCTTTCATAATCTGCTTGAGTCCCTGGTTGTCTCCTCTGGGGAAGAACAGCAACCTCATCTGCTCATACATGGACCCCATTCACTTTGCAGCTCTATCCTTGCCTCTGTTACCACCCACTTAGACTACCCCCGCTCCCTACCTTCGCTACTCATTGGATTTTGTATCCCTCTACTGAAATAATTATATGGTATTAAACCAAAGATATTACCATTGTTCTTTAAACTAAATTCCTAATAAAAGCACATTAGTGGAAAATTTCTGTAAGAAAAACATGTTACTAGATATGTTTCTACAATTTTATATACTGCTTGTTTTTTTCTAAGAATATCCCCTACGATACTTTCTTAAGAGTACAAGCACAATTAAAACATTAAAATGCATTAAAATAACAAAAGCAGCTATTGAAACAACACTAAATTTCCTCATCTATAGAAAAATATTAAAAAGTATTTCATTCATAAGCCCTGTTTTAAAGCTAAACACAACCAATTTTAAATATTTCCACTAAATAACCTTAAATTCAAAGAGATATCTATAGATTAAAACATACATTTTAAAATAATTATGGTGTTTATATCATTTGAGGCAACAATGACAAGTTTACTAAGAATTAGAGTTTGCTTCTAAAAATGTTACAACTAATAAAATATCAGATAATTTGGGTATGTTAAATAAGTTGCCACTTAATTATTGCTTTATTGCACTCAGTGATAAATTGAAAGAATTATTGCAGCTTCCCAAAGAAAGTAAATTATCCTGAAGTGCATATTATAGTTTAGGAGTATGAGATTTAATACATATTAAAAATGATTTATTATAATTCTCATCTTCCTTTCCATGATGATAGCTGCTTGAAGAAGGTAAACTCAATGATTTAATCTCTCCTACAGAAGATATTTTCTAGCTTCTTGCTATATGCATATTTTTGTTGTCATGTTTTTCACTTTAATTACTCTGACACTACGTGATGTTAATATTTAGTCAGCAAGAATTTTCTCAATGTGTAGTTTTAGAGGTTATGATAAATTAAGGCACTGAACGCATGTCAGTTTTCTTGGCAGATTCAGCTTCTAAATGAGCTCCCAGGTATTAACACAAACAGAGTTGATGCGGGCATCGTACTGGTGATACTGTGATACAATGTGGTAACACATTAGCTATGCTGTGAAACTGCATAACAGATGCAAAGCAAGATAAGAGGCTCTGAATTTTAAGTTAAATATTACTTCCAAATCATCTGAAGATGACTTAAATTATGAACAGTACAAAATTATGTTTGGAGCAGAATTCATTCATTAAACAAATGTTTATCAAACATCTACTAGGTGCCCAGCCCTATCCACAATGCTTATAAATCAAAGTTGAAATATCACTGTCTTTCTTTGCAACACAGCTCACTGTCTAGCGACTACCGGGGAATCATAATATGGGCATAAATACTAACTCAGGAGTCTGCAAGGTGGACAGGCAAGGTTTTTCATCTACCTTGGGAAATCAAGGAGAGTTTTCTATTAGAGGTAGTATTTGGACTGATGTTTGGAGACTGAGAGTAATACCGGTAAAGTGAAGTGTGCATGGCTTGGAACTGTTAAGGGCATTATAAGAAAGTGAATGATATGCACAGAGGTTAGAGGGATGTGCCAGTTAAAGAGGATGTTAGGAATTTGCTAGTAGTTCAACACGGCTGAACTTCATGCTGTGTGTAAGATAGCAGTGAGGTATGAAGCTAAATAGTTAGGGTCAAAGTACAGAGGGCCTTATGTGTCAAACAAAGGAGTTTGTCTTTTATTCTGTAAATGGTAGGGACACATAAAGGGATTTTATAAAAAATAAAAATAGGTAACATTTATTAAGCACTTACAAGATGCAGGCACTACACTATGTTGTATGTATGCATTCCCCATTTTTCCCATAAAATGAGCTGTAAAATAGGTATTAAACTGTATCAGAAAACCAGAACCTAGAAAAAAAGATACTGGCCCAAAGCCACTTCATTTATTAGCAGATCTGAGCCTGAACCTTAATTTTTTAAATTCTAAGTTCTCTTAACCAGTGGTATTTTCTGACCCAAAGGAAAGTCAAACAACCCATTAACAACATGTGAATTGCCACTGTGGCAGCAATGTTGTAGAGGGACTTCAGGAGTACAGGAACACAGACAAGAAAGTCATCAAGGAAGATTCTTCAGCAGTAGAGGTGATGACTAATATGTGTTTCAATCAGAGACGGAGGAGAAAAAAAAAGATTTAAGATACAGATTTAAAAAAAGAATACATTAATCAGGGAGGGCCCTGACAAAAAAGCAGAAAGCATATGGCACATTCAGACTACATAACAGAAAGCTTAATAAAGGCACTCTTTACAAAGATATAGGCATAGTTTAGGAATACCATCCAAGGGTTTGGAACCCATAGCTTGCAAAAATAGGGGTGGATTGCTACCCATAAGTCTTGAAGAGTGAGGGGATGCTGCCAATACTGGAATTCGGGAAAGCAGCAGAGAGAGGGTTGCCCCAGGAACATTGGCATTTGGTAAAGGGACACAATTAACTCAGTGATCTCTCAGGAAGAGAGGAAAAGTCCCATTATTCTATATGCTGCCTGGGCCTCCTCCAGAAGAACCTAACCTGAAGCCAGCAGGCAAGGATTATCACTGATTCAATCTACAAGCATTAGCCTCTCTGGCACAGAGCAGGGTGAAGGAGGGCAGAGTAGAGAAATAGGCAAATGGAAAATACCTAGTTCAACTTATAATACGAAGGTTAAGGTGATTGGGAGAAGATAAGGAAAACAGGGAAATAATAAAGGTAAAAAACTGTTAAAGAAATGGTTTGAGGTTTGATAATAATAAATAAAATGAGTTAAGAAGTTTGTTTTTTTTTTTTTTTTCTGGGTTGGGCTTATTTCACTTAGCATAGTGTCCTTGCATGTTGTCGCGAATGGCAGGATCTCCTTTTTTTTTTAGAAAAAAAAAACCTAGTAATATTCCATTGTTTATGTATATATAATGTAATTTCTTTATCCATTCATCCACTAGTGAACACAGGTTGATTCTATATTACTGTGAATAATGCTGCAATGAATATGGGACCACAGACATTTCTATGAGGTGCTGATTTTATTTCCTTTGGGCATAAACCCAGAAGAAGGGTTGCTGGGTCATACAATAGTTCTGATTTTTAATTTTTTGAGAAGCCTCCATACTGTTCTCCATAGTGGGCATATCAGTTTATATTCCCACCAACGATGTTCAAGCTTCTCTTTTCTCCACACTCTCAACAACACTTGTTATCTCTTGTCTTTTTTATAACAGCCATTCTAACGGGTGTGAGGTAATATCTCATTCTAGTTTTGATTTGCATTTCTCTGATAATTAATGATATTGAGTAGTTTTTCATATATTTGTTGGTCATTTTTAAGTCTTCTTTGAAAAAGTGTCTATTCGTGTCTTTTGACCACTTAATTGGGATATTTGTTTTTTGTAGGGGTTTTTGTTTTTTTGTTTTTTGCTGTTGAGTTGTTGGAGTTTCTTATATATTTTGGATATTAACCACTTATCAGAGTTTTTTGCAAAGATTTTCTCTCACTCAGGAAGCTGCCTCATCATTTTGTTGTTTGTTGTTTTGTTGTTTGTTTCTTTTGCTGTGCAGAAGCTATTCAGTTTGATACAGTTCCACTTATTAATTTTTCTGTGTGTTGTCTTTTGACATGATATCAAACAACCATTGCTAAGGCCAATATCAAGGACTTTTTCCTTATGTTTTCCTTTAGAAGTTTTGCAGGTTCAGTTCTTATGTCTATGTCATAATTCATTTTGAGTTGATTTTTGTGTATGATGTAAGGTAACAGTCCAGTTTCATTATTTTGCTTATGGATATTTAGTTTTCCCAACAGCATTTATTGAAGAGATTATTTATTCCCTACTATGTCTTCTTGATAACCTTGCCAAAGATCTGTTGATTGTATATGCTTGAGTTTATTTCTGGGCTTACTATTCTATTCCATTGGCCTATGTGTCTATTTTTATGCCAGTGTCATACTCTGCTGATGACTATAACTTTGTAATTTATTTTGAAATCAGAAATCGTAATGCTTTCAATTACAATTTTTCTTTCTCAAGATTAGCTATTCAAGAGCTTTTGTGGTTCTATAGGAATTTTAGAATTTTTTTCTATTTCTGTAAAAAATGCCATTGTAATTTTCATAAGGATTGCATTGAATCTGTATATCACTTTCAATAGTAAGGCAGTAACATGGTTGAACCTGGAAGTCATTAAACTAAGTGAAATAAGCCAGATAGAGAAAGTAAAATACTGCACGATCTTATCTGTGGAATCTAAAAGAATGTTGAATATGTAGAAATAGAGTAGAATGGTGGTTGCCAGGGGCATAGAGTTGGTAGGAAATGAGAAGGAGGTCAAAGAGTACAGACTTGCAGTTATGTAGGATGAATAAGTATAGCAATCTAATATGTAGCATGAGGAGTATCATTAATAATACTATATTTTATACTGAAATTTTTCTAAGAGAGTAGATTTTAGATGGTCTTACCACACATACAAAAAACAGCAACTATGGAAGTATATAGGTTAGTTTTCTTGACTGTAGTAAGCACGTCTATATGTATATATATATATATTTATCAAAACATCATATTCTATACCTTAAATATATAAAATAAAGATACATTTTTGAAATGGAAACAAAACTAACAAAAAGTTGGGAATACGTGGCCATTTATAAAGTACTTTCAAATAAGTCATCTCATTTGATCTTCATAATGATGTAAAATATGGCTTGTATTTTATTAGTGATTATTTAATGTTATTTAATTAATTATTTGGAAATATTACTTTTCCAAGATAAGTGATCAGCCAAGTCAACTGATTTCAAGACCCTTACCCTTCCCAAGCTCCTATCAGTCTTTCTCTGGGAAGATAAGTATACCCATAGATGTTTAGCTATTTTACTGCCTACCTCTTCCTTCCAATACAATAATTTAAAGTTTATCACAGATATTATTTTACCTTTCAGAGATAGAATAAAATAGATATAAATTATTGTTTGGAGAATATTCCCTCAATATTACTCTTGAGGGAAATATACTTGGTCTTGAATCTTGTATTAGTAACGTGACAAAAAGTATTTTTAAGATTATAATAATATTTTAAATCCTATATATGGAAAATAATTCTTCAGTAATTAGTACATCCCATAGCAGGAATAAATACCACATCTGAAGCCCTACTATTCTAATAGCTTCTATGGAATTCTAAAGTCATGTTTCTGACATCCATTGACATAGATATTATAGCTATGGAAAAGCATTAAATATTTCTTGTAACAAAATGGAACATGAATACACATAGTACTAAAACCAATTTTTTATTTTTCACATAACTTATTTTATGGAATTATAACAATTAATTTTATTAAAATAACATTCTTACACCTGTTCCTTTTACAAACATGCCCAGATGAATATAAAAAGTAAAACAATAAGCTCTGTTAAGGTAAGGACTGTAGCTCCAATTTATGTCAGAAAATAATCTTTGGATAAATAATGGGTGATCAATAAAAGGTGATGACGGGTCTATATTGGTTAGTTCATATTTACACTGTCTCCCCAATGTGCCAGTCACTTTACTTCACAAGATACGTGGATACTTGTCTACGACCAAGCCCTCTGCAAGTTTTCATTTGAGTACAATCATGCATTTAGGGGAGAGTATGTGTGAAGATACACACATGCACATACACACACACACACACACACACACACAGGCACACATACAGAGAGAGAGAGAGGGTCTTTGTTGTTCCATATCCATCAGGAAGTTAAGCATTTTAACCAGTGGGGATTTGAAATCAGAATTATTACCATCAACATCAGAGATCTTAAAGAGAAAAAAAAATGTTATTTTTGTGTTTACTATACAGAAAATTTTAATTGTAGGTAGCAGCTATGTACCAGGACTGAGGGAAAAAATAGGAAGAGGAAAATTTACCATAAACTAGAAGCTTGGTGCCCTGAAACCTGGTACTTAGACCACAGATGAGCCTGCTCAATTACTGCCGCTGCCTCTGAGGAGCCCTGATGACACTGATGCTGAGATACTGATGGAAGCTGGTGGCTGGGTCCATGGCTGCTGCTAAAGTGATACTGATGGTGCCTGGAAAACAGGTAGAAAATACTCTCTTCCTTCATCTCACCTTCCAGCATCCCTCTAATATGTCCTATTGGCATAACTGTACAAACTATCAGCTGGCCAAAGAGTTGGGGAAGTGAAATTTGTAGACTGCCAGCCCCACTACCACGAAACAGAAGACGGAAGAGTATATTTGTAGTTGAGACAATAGGTAAATAATTGGCACAGTCACCCTTTCGGCTACCCAGCATTCATATGCATTCTCCCACACACGTTAGAACTTCCACACAAGAAAAACAAATTCTTATCTCTGCCTAACAAGACACAACTACATTTAATGCAAAGTCACTCTCACTGTTGCCCCAAAATGAAGAAATACAAAGTCTCATCATAACTGTCTCTAGGAAATAAATTATTTTTCATATTCATTAACTGTCCTATCTTTTTATTCTGTAACATAAAGCCAAATTGTAAAATTAACTACTAATAACAATTCTTATACTAAATAACAGAGAAACAAAGAAGGGAAAAAATATTAATATATATAAAATATATATGTATATGTAATCAAAAATATATATCAAATATATATTTAATATATGTCAAAATTATATATAAATAAATATATATATATATATATATATATATATATATATATATATATACACACACATGCACAGTATGGAATGGCTATATCAAACTATTTAACATATGCTTTCCCTCACATATTTAACATTTTTTGTGTGTGGTAAGAACTTTTAAAATCTATTTTCTTGGCAATTGTCAAATATTACAATATATTGGTATTAACTGTAGTCATGATTTACAATAGATGTATTGAACTACCTCCCTTGTCTAACTGAACTTTGGTTAAGATTTGTTAATATTACAGATTTATTTTATTACATCATATATATTATATATACATATATTTTTAATGATCATTGAAGAAAATATGCAGACCTGTTACAGAAACAGAAAATCCTGTTTTTGTAATTGGTCACAAATCTATAGGTTTTCTTTTTACATTCTTGTTTTTCCTTATTTATTCTGTGTTCCTGTTGCCCTCCACTGGCACCATGGTTGTTTAGCTTTCTTTAGTTGGTGGGCTGACTCAAGCTTTTCTAACAAGAGGAGCTAAATACTGAGTGGTCTTGACTTTAGTAGGATTCCATTTGCTTTCATTAATTTTTACATTTGAATATAGACAAACTAAAGAGAATCCCAGAAGACCGACTTAATCCCAGACATCTGCCTTCATTCTAGAGCAGTCATTGAATTTCCTCTTGGTTATCTGATTCTGTCAAAACATCTAGTAGAATTTCTTCCTTGCCTATTGACTCAATGGTAGGAGAAGTCCAAAATGGCTGTTGGCTTTCTCAATTTCCAATTCAGGGAAAACATTTTTGTGTACGTATGAAAGCATTCTTCTCTTGAACTGAGTCAAGGTCCCTATTTTAAAACTGATCTTTAAACCAACAGAACCCCAAATTGCAAGAAGAGGAATCAACAATGCTATGGGTGATGTTCTAGCTTCTAGCTTTTGATTCCTATGCCACTGTATTATAGCTAGTTGAAACTATGTACTGTATCTGTTAGAGAATGTCCCAGATTTTATAGAGAATATATTTTATAGAGTTAAAAAGTACTTGTTCAGTCACCACAGCACCCTATAATTGATTTGATGTTTTTCATTCTCAATTGCCAAAATGATTAATTGTTTTGGTGATATGTACATGAAGCCTTAAATTAAACAGTTGCCTGGGCTTTCTTACATACTTTTTCTTAGATACACACAGTAACCCTACTGCCAGATTTTTCCTGTGTTCAGATACAATGGAAAGAACAATCTTGAAAAACTTTTTCTCCCCAACCCTTGTAGAGTAGAGGTATAAGGTTAGATACATAGTTTTAGCTCTCAGAGACGTATGTACCTATAAGCATCCACAGTGAAAGTACCTGTACATTGTCAGTTTTCGCCTTCTTTTTCTCATTCTCTGCTGTGAATTCTCTCCATTTCTTTCTCTTTAACAACAACAAACAAAACCTCCATTTCTCTTTATCCCCTCACCTCTGGTTTCCACTTTAGACCTGCCAGTTAGCAGTCAATGATACTCATAAGCTTTGCCAATCTTTATTTAAAAATGGTAATAGGCCAGGTGCGGTGGCTTGCACCTGTAATCCTAGCACTTTGGGAGGCCAAGTATCTGAGCCTGGTGGAGCATGCCTGTAATCTCAGGTACTCGGGAGGCTAAGGCAGGAGAATCGCTTGAATCCTAAATGGGAAGGTTGCAGTGAGCCGACATTGCACCACTGCACTCCAGCCTGGGCAGCAGAGTAAAACTCTGTCTCAAAAAGAAAAAAAAAAAAAAAAAAAGTTTAGTAACTAATACATTGTTGCTTAATTTTATATTATCAATCATAGTCTCTTCATATATAATGAAGTTCTTTTTATGACCTTTTCCCTACACTTTACTGACAACAGAATCTTGAACAACTTTTTTTGTGTGAAATCATGCTACCTTGGAATGTTATATGTAAGCACAACTTCTTGCTGTCTAACTACATCTAATGATGTATTGCATAAGCCTAGTGATCCATCAGACTATCTAGGAAGCTCATAGATAAGTAGACCTCTGTTAAATATATATTGTAAAAGACAATTTTGTACTATTGTCTATTATAATCCATGATATGATGGAAAAACACCAAAGGTAAAAAGTGGGTTACTTCCCTAAATGATGAAGCTTTAGGTTTAAAATTTTCTTTAGGAAACATTCAGTCTATGTGCATTGCGATTTTTTTAACGCATTTTTCTTTTAATTATTTCTTCAAACTCCAGAGAGGTAAGTTTAAATCTCATATCTGACGAATCCTATGGACAAGTCCATAGCCAAGTTATTTTAGCTTCCCAACCTTCTATTTCTTCTTCTTCTTTTTTTTTTTTTTTTTTTTTGATTAAAAGGATTAGTTGTACTAGTTAAGTAATAAGCAGTGGGGGATAGATTTCCATACTGTGTGTCACCACCAAAGCAACTATGTTGGAATCTTTTCCATTCCACATATCATTACTACTCTCTGAGGATCAAGGAGTTCAATTTAGGCATAGAGTATATGTGAACACTGAACAATTCAGACTTGAGCTCAGCAAAGTACTAACACATAGGCCCACATGATATACTGGTGACTCTAGAATGTCCCAGCCTGAGAATGAGGACAGCTCAATCAGGTTCAAAGAGCAAGGGCTGCTATTTAGACAGTTGATTGGTTTCCAAGAACTCCCTGACACCTCTTGTAAGTGATTCCCTCTATTCCGCTTAATAACACCCCAATTATTTAGATCATTTTCCCAATACTATCTTCTCCAAAGTTATGCTGTTTTTCTTTCCATCTCTGTTGAGCAAAAAGCACACAGACAAATGTTTATAGCTATGTGGAATTAATAGAAAATAGAGTGTATTAGATAAAAGTGTACAAGTAGAAAAGTAGCCACGTACTAACCATTACTCTCATTTTTGTTTTCAAAAAGAGAAGTATGCCTCGGTGAGATTCATCTGTAATAGTCATACCATGAAAAAGCATCCTGGTGCAGGACTATATTAATGTTCTACATATTGATAAGCTAAGCACAAGTTAAGGGAACACCTGGAAGACTATGTAATAACGGAATTTTCTTGGTTGAGGAACTGTCCTCATTTGAAAGGTGGAGCCTCTGAAACAAGCAACTAGAATCTGCCAGTGCTTCCACTGAGCTAACTCAAACCTGCTGAGGTGGATTTTTACTAAGATTCTAAAAGATAAAGAAAATGAACTTCCAGGGTTATTCATACTTATTTCTCTTAACTATTCTAGTATTTCAACCCTCATTTTCTATAGGTTGAGGGAGGGGATGGGAAAATGAGGGTTGTCGTCATGTTCTGTATGGAATTTTATTTTCATTTCTCTTTACCAACTTCATTTGTGGACTACTTTTTGGTTCTTAGGAGCCCAATTAGAATTTTTTAAAAACATGAGCACCAATAGTTTCTTTTTCATTGCATTCTGAGATAACAACCCCTCTGGAGACAAGGCTGGAAGAGGCTAGAAATTCTGTAAATAAGCAAAGCATGAAGATACATATGTCAAGATCTTATCTTTCTATGTCTATTTCAAAAGGTTTTTTGTGAGAATTAATGAGATAAAGTATGTAAATCATTTATCATAACATCTGTTTAGCACAAACAGATTGATTTATTGAGCTACATTTGGATAGCTATTAGTGAAAGTTAAATTTGTCACAAAATGTCCAGTATATATAAGTTGAAAATGAAGATAATAGCACAGTTAAGGCTCATTTAAACATAGCAGTTTGGTCATAATTATCTATTTAAATTCAATCATTTGAAGACGGTTAGTTGATTTGGGGTCCATCTATTAATTACCAAATGAGACTGGCTTTGTTCATGTAGTCTCTAATAAATACCATCTGTTGTCATTGAAATGTAGAGAATGTATGGGACCCAACATAGAAAAATTCATAAACCATTTAAAACTGTGTATTAGCAATAAATAAGACTGATACGTACAGTAAATCAAAATCTAATTTATAATAATACATACATCTAATAACAATCTCCCTGATTTTTGAGGATTATAATTAGGATATATTCATTGTCGTTAAAAAATCCTAAATATTAGATATATTTAGCCCCATTTCTGGGAAAAATATTTAAAGGTGAGAAAATATAACCAGCCCAAACTCCACCGAAGTAATAAGTGTGAATGCTAAAACTTGAGTCTAGATCTATCTCATTCTCTAACTTAATCTGTCACTGTTAGACCAAACTGCTCAAATCATCCACTTCTCTTTTGTCTAGAATGAGTTGATTAAACAAAATTTCACTGGCTATTTGTATAGTATACATATTTTCTGAGATTTATTGTGGAATGTCTTATCCTTAGAGTTTGTCTAATGGAGAAAATTAAGTGGGATAATAATGGCATGAGAATACTGAGGGATATTTATCTTAATTATTTCTCAGCTTTTTTGGCTAATAAGTAAGCAAAGTCTTTCTCATCTAAAATAAGATTTAAGGATCAGATTATGATTTCAAAACAGCAAAATGATACCTGAGTCTTAAAGAAAATTAATGAAGCTCCCTAATTATCTGACTTATTACTCAGTTTCAACACGGCATGACAAAATCTGAGTCAAATTTAGGCAAATTTCTATTGATTACTAGAATGGCAACATTCTGGGTTATTCTTCTTTTCCTTTTGAGCTATAAATCCAAATATGTTAGGTGGCCTATAATTTTCACACTGAGTAAGTCTTACATTCAAAATCGTCTCTTGACTTTTCCTTTCATAAGTAAGCCACAGAACACCTGTGAGGTTACTAATAATAAAACATTTGGCACTGGGATTATTTTAATAGTTTCTGCAGCATACAACCTAACACTGCCACTGCACATACTGAATAGAGAGAAATAAATGCCTGGAAATATGGTCCTGTATATTGGTATTTTCAAAGAAAGAACCCTTGTTTCTGTCAAATTGACACATATTACACAAGTATTAAACCATTTACATTGCCTCTGTTACAATAAGTTTCTATCCTGAGTCCTTCAGTCTAAGCTTTATAGAGAGTAGTCTGAATCAGTATAATAAATAACTATATATAACTATATAGATGATAGATATATGGATGACAGATGATAGATAAATAAAATGCATAATTATACATCATACCCAGATATAAACCCATATGCACATTTGAGTTACTTCATTCCACAGCCTTAGTTATGTCATTTCATCATCATCATCATCATCATCCACTTATAAAGCACTCACAATATACAAATTGTAGAACGGACTATTGTTTTTCTTAATTCTTGTTAAAGTTCATTTTTGTGTTTAATGTAAGAGGAGTTCAACAGTCCCTTTTGGAATAGAGCACTACGAATTCAAAGTGAATCTTGTCACTTTCTATGCATATAGATTCCTCTTTTACCCATGCTCATTATTTCCAGATGAAGTTGCCTAGAATATATGCCCCAAACTCCAATTCCCCCATTAGTAAAATAAAGATGATAATAATAGCTATGTAATATATAACAAGGGTGAGCAAGCCTTTACACTCAGCCCACCAAAGTACTTGAAAACAACTTTAATTGTAAGATTAACTTCATGGGTGTTCAAAGCTGGGGAAGTACACAGACAATATGCTTCAGGAGAAAGGCAATTGAAAAGAGCTAATTCAGTAGGAATGGTGGGTTTCTGTTCCACCAATCCTTTTATAGTTATTAGAATTGTCTAAAGAAAATTCCAACTGGTAAAAGACAATTACACAAAACTCATCCAATCCAAGCTGTAAGTAGTCTCATAATCATGCAGCAAACTAATAGCATTAAACATCTTAACAAAGATAACAAAATGAAAATTGTCTTCTCATGATAAAATAATAGGCTAAAATAAAAGAAATTCTAATTCCAAATCTGTGCCAAAGAAGCACAGTATTTCTTTCCATTTCATACATTCATTCATCTATGCCTTCATCTAACACATATTTATTTAGTTTATCTAATTTTTTGGAATTGTCTTAGGTGAGAGAGAAGTGGAAAAAAAGATCTCTGGATTAAGGGAACTTACATTCCAGGAGGGGTCCAGCTGGGAGACAAATAATTGTATGCCAGAGAGTGATACATGATAGAGGGAAAAACAACCCAGGGAGGGATCATAGAGAGTGGGGTGATGGGGGTGGGAGATTCCTCCTTGAACTTGAAACCATCTAGAAATGGGATTGTGGGAGATGAAGATGACCTGGGAATCCTTGGCTTCTTGAGATAACTGATAGAAAGACGAGTAAAGAAAGAATCGTGTTAGTTTTGATGACTGCAAGATTATAGTTCTGGTAAAACTGTGAATATTGGGGTAGAGGAGCAGGAGTAAGGGCCAAATCAAATTGTGCAGAAGTCTGAGCATCTCCTTATCTTTCCAAAGTTGATGTGGAGGCTCAGAGAGAGAGAACAGTCACTTCCAGATGGTTAGAAAAATCTTAGTAATCAAATACTTGGATAGATAAGAAGAAGGTTAAAAACTACTACTTGAAGTTATGCAAATCAACAATACTTGAAGAGAACAGACAAGTGTTTAGAAATGTTACAATTAAGAGGCTGGCAGGAGGATAATCATTGTTAAAACTTTTACTTTGAAGGATGAGTATAGTTTAGATTTAAGTCAGAAATAATGCAAGAAATTAATGGGCATACTTTAATAAAGTTAAACTTTTTTTGAGGAACGTAATTTTAGTGAACATGCAACCTATTATATAAAAATAGAAAGAGTTGGAGTTTCTCTCAGGATTTTTACAATGTTTAACAAATCTCAACACAAAGAATTTAAAATGTGTAACTAAAAGAGCAAATGAAAATTCTTATCTCCAATCCGCATGTTCTTTCTATTCTTAGAGGGAAAAAGCACATTAAATAAAAGGCTCCCACTCCTCCCTATCACTACTATTTATTAACACTACATGAGCTTGGGCTAATTTCTTATAAGCTGGAGGAGGTAATAATGGAATCCAGATTTACTATTTATACTGATTTGCAGCTACCATTGAGAGAGGTTTTGAAGACTTTAGAAGGATCAGAGTGACCATATGCAATTTCCTGATTAAAAACAAGTAAGTAAACATATTTCAAATCTCCTACTTCACTGTTGACATTATTCACAAAAAGAAACATTTTAGAGTGATTCAAGAAATAAACCAAATAAACCAAGCAATATATTTAATGAGAACCCTGCACACCAATGGACAAGAAAACCACAAACAAATAAGCAAGCAAAACAAAATTAACAGATATACACACAAAGCCACACACAAACACACCCCCAAAACACCCCTTCTTTTGCTATGCTTAGATATTTTATATCCTGTGCACAATACTCTTCCAAATTCTAGTTAATGCATTGGTCCTTGAAATTTTGATTTAATGATATGATTTGGCATAAATTAAAAGAAATCACAGTTCTGAAAGAGTATATCAATGTTTCAAATCGTCCAAGATAATTTTGGCATTTATTGTACTTCGCCACTCCACATATCATAAAGTAGTTTTTTAGATAAAGAATTACAGCCCCACAGAAAATATGTTAGATTTTCACGCAGAGAGCATTCCACTACTGTGATTCAGTCAGAACACATTTCATCTGTTGTAGTCAAAAAAGAAATGACAGATTGTTAAAAGAGGATGAACTTCTGATTAATAGAAATGCACACATGGCTACAGAAAAATGACTTGTTGAGAAATCTAAATAAAACTAACAGCAAAAGTATTAAAAGACACAAGAAATGTCAAGTTATAATAATTAGTTTGCACCCATTCAAACATGCTGATTATAATTTATAATTTTACAAATATTCAAAAACTTTAATAGTTGAGACAGTTTAAGAACTAATGGTGAAACTAAAATAAGTATTTAAAATGCCAATTTTTTTTCCTCATGATTGTCCTCTCCTTTCTGAATTTTGTGTAAGTTATTATCTGGCTTCCCTTTGTAATTTTACTGTATCTGTATGTGCTCCTAAACAATGTATCATTTAGTTTAGCCTTATTTGTAAAAATGAAATCATTTAGTATGTATTCTTCTGGTACTTTTATTTCAATCAACATTATTTTTTTGAGATCCATCCAGGCCGTGTATAGTTCAATCATTTTCAGTGTCATGTAGCACTCAACTGTAAGAATGTACAGCAATTTACTCTTAGTTTTACTGTCAATGGATATAAGTTGTTTGATGTTTTTTGGTTTTTAATTTTCTTTTTACTTACAATGATGCTATAAACATGTCTACATTTCCTGACATTATGTGCAAGAGTATCTCTAGAGTATTTATCTATGGAGTGGAATTTTGGACTGGTAGAGTGTGTGCATATTTAAATTTATCAGGTAATACAAATTTGTTTTCCTTAGTGTTGCTAGCAAACTGTACTCCTACCTACAGTGTGCATCTTTCTTTCTTTACATCCTCACCAACGCTTAACAATGAAAAACACTGTTTTGACAATCTGGTAAGGTAAAGTCAAACTTTTTATTATTAAATAGCATCATTACTATTAATAAGCCCAGACATCTATTCATTTTATTAGACTTCCATGTTTCCTTAGTGACTTGACTATTTGTGCCTATGTCAATTTTCTATTGTCATTTGCCTTTTACTGATTGATTAGTAGAAATATTTTATATATTTTGGGGACAATACTTTGTCAGTTATTACCATTGCAAGTATCTTTCCCAGAGGGAGTTTTGTTTCGTAACTTTCTTTATGGTATATTTTGATGAGTAGTTGTTCTTAAAATTTTTTTGAAATTAAGCTTTATATGTTGAGTTAGCTTTATTTTAAAACACAGTTGAAGAAATGAAGCAAAGAGAACATTTGTATCCTTCAACCAATTTCCCCCAATGGCAACAACTTGAAAAACTGTAATGCAGTTTTTATATACAGCCCGTATACTAACATTTTTATAGTTTAAATACAAAGCACTTTCAGCTATACAAGAATCCCTCCCTTTTATAGCCATATCTACCTCCTTTTCCAACACCCTTAATCCCTGGCAATGACTACTATGTTATCCAGCTCTATGATTTTGTCATTTCAAGAATGTTATATAAATAAAATCAAACAATGTGTAATTTTTTGAGATTGCCTTTTCACACTTAGCTTAGTTCTCTAGAGATTCATCTAGACTTGTTTGTACAACCATAGGTCATTACTTTTTATTACCCAGTGATATTTTATGATACGAGCGAACCAAAGTCTATTCACACATTAATGTTTCCACATTTTGGCTATTATAAGTGAAATTGCAGTAAATATTTCTCTACACGTTTTTGTGGAAGCATACGTGTTCATATCCCTGATATAAATACCCAGGCTTACAGCTGCTCAGTTATATAGTAGTTGAATGTTTAGTTTTTAAAGAAGCTGCCAAAATGCTACCTGAAGTGTCTATACAGTTTTACATTTCCACAAACAAGGTATGAGTAATCCATTTTCTCCACATCTTCACGAGTATTTGGTATTGTTACTATTTTTTTTTAAATTTCAGTCATCTTAATACATAGATAGGGATCTCTCATTGTGGTTTTAATTTACATTTCCCTAGTGGTTAATGACATTGAGAATCTTTCCTTCTTTTATTTGCCATTTGGAATGTTTCTTCACTGAAATGTCTCTTTTATCTTTTGTCCATATCTAACTGAAATTTTTACAGTTGAGTTAAAAAAAAAGCTTTATTTAATGTGTAGTTGTTGTAAAATAAAACTGCATATATTTAATGTATTCAATTTAGTGGTTTTGAACATATGCATACAACCATGAAACCATCACCGCAATAAAGGCAATATACATCCCTCACTTCCAAAAGTTTTCTCATGCATCTTTTTTCTTTTGGTTGTTTAATTGCGTATGTGTGTGTGCGTATGTGTGTGTGTGTGTGTGTGTGTGTGTGTGTGTGTAAGAATATTTGAAATCTACTTGCTTAACACATTTTTAAGTGTACAATACAGTAATGTTAAAATACTGGCAATACAATATACTACAGATCTCTAGAATGTATTCATCTTACATAACTAAAACTTTACACCCATTGAACAATTCCCCATTTCTGCCTCCCCTTTAGCCCTTTCTTTTTTTTTAAATTTTATTATTATTATACTTTAAGTTTTAGGGTACATGTGCACAATGTGTAGGTGTGTTATATATGTATACATGTGCCATGTTGGTGTGCTGCACCCATTAACTCCTCATTTAGCATTAGGTATATCTCCTAATGCTATCTCTCTCCACTCCCCCGACCCCACAACAGTCCCCAGAGTGTGATGTTCCCCTTTCTGTGTCCATGTGTTCTCATTGTTCAATTCCCACCTATGAGTGAGAACATGCGGTGTTTGGTTTTTTGTCCTTGTGATAGTTTGCTGAGAATGATAGTTTCCAGTTTCATCCATGTACCTACAAAGGACATGAACTCATCATTTTTTATGGCTGCATAGTATTCCATGGTGTATATGTGCCACATTTTCCTAATCCAGTCTATCATTGTTGGACATTTGGGTTGGTTCCAAGTCTTTGCTATTGTGAATAGTGCCACAATAAACATACGTGTGCATGTGTCTTTATAGCAGCATGATTTATAGTCCTTTGGGTATATACTCAGTAATGGGATGGCTTGGTCTAATGGTATTTCTAGTTCTAGATCCCTGAGGAATCGCCACACTGTCTTCCACAACGGTTGAACTAGTTTACAGTCCCACCAACAGTGTAAAAGTGTTCCTAGTTTTCCACATCCTCTCCAGCACCTGTTGTTTCTTGACTTTTTAATGATCACCATTCTAACTGGTGTGAGATGGTATCTCATTGTGGTTTTGATTTGCATTTCTCTGATGGCCAGTGATGATGCGCATTTTTTCATGTGTTTTTTGGCTGCATAAATGTCTGCTTTTGAGAAGTGTCTGTTCATGTCCTTCGCCCACTTTGTGATGGGGTTGTTTGTTTTTTTTCTTGTAAATTTGCTTGATTTCATTGTAGATTCTGGATATTAGCCCTTTGTCAGATGAGTAGGTTGCGAAAATTTTCTCCCATTTGGTAGGTTGCCCATTCACTCTGGTGGTAGTTTCCTTCACTGTGCAGAAGCTCTTTAGTTTAATTAGATCCCATTTGTCAATTTTGGTTTTTGTTGCCATTGCTTTTGGTGTTTTAGACATGAAGTCCTTGCCCATGCCTATGTCCTAAAGGGTATTGCCTAGGTTTTCTTCTAGGGTTTTTATGGTTTTAGGTCTAACATATAAGTCTTCAATACATCTTGAATTAATTTTTGTATAACGTGTAAGGAAGGGATCCAGTTTCAGCTTTGTACATATGGCTAGCCAGTTTTCCCAGCACCATTTATTAAACAGGGAATCCTTTCCCCATTGCTTGTTTTCGTCAGGTTTGTCAAAGATCAGATGGTTGTAGATATGTGGCATTATTTCTGAGGGCTCTGTTCTGTTCCATTGATCTATATCTCTGTTTTGGTACCAGTACCATGCTGTTTTGGTTACTGTAGCCTTGTAGTATAATTTGAAGTCAGGTAGCGTGATGCCTCCAGCTTTGTTCTTTTGGCTTAGGATTGACTTGGCGATGCAGGCTCTTTTGTGGTTCCATATGAACTTTAAAGTAGTTTTTTCCAATTCTGTGAAGAAAGTCATTGGTAGCTTGATGGGGATGGCATTGAATCTATAAATTACCTTGGGTGGTATGGCCATTTTCACCATATTGATTCTTCCTACCCATGAGCATGGAATGTTCTTCCATTTGTTTGTATCCTCTTTTATTTCATTGAGCAGTGGTTTGTAGTTCTCCTTGAAGAGGTCCTTCACGTGCCTTGTAAGGTGGATTCCTAGGTATTTTATTCTCTTTGAATCAATTGTGAATGGGAGTTCACTCATGATTTGGCTCTCTGTTTGTCTGTTATTGGTGTATAAGAATGCTTGTGATTTTTGTACATTGATTTTGTATCCTGAGACTTTGCTGAAGTTGCTTATCAGCTTAAGGAGATTTTGGGCTGAGACAATGGGGTTTTCTAGATATACAATCATGTCATCTGCAAACAGGGACAATTTGACTTCCTCTTTTCCTAATTGAATATCCTTTATTTCCTTCTCCTGCCTAATTGCCCTGGCCAGAACTTCCAACACTACATTGAATAGGAGTGGTGAGAGAGGGCATCCCTGTCTTGTGCCAGTTTTCAAAGGGAATGCTTCCAGCTTTGCCCATTCAGTATGATATTGGCTGTGGGTTCATCATAGATAGCTGTTATTATTTTGAGATACGTCTCATCAATACCTAATTTATTGAGAGTTTTTAGCATGAAGGGTTGTTGAATTTTGTCAAAGGCCTTTTCTGCATCTGTTGAGATAATCTTGTGGTTTTTGTCTTTGGTTCTGTTTATAGGCTGGATTACGTTTATTGATATGCGTATATTGAACAAACCACCCTTGCATCCCAGGGATGAAGCCCGCTTGCTCATGGTGGATAAGCTTTTTGATGTGCTGCTGGATTCGGTTTGCCAGTATTTTATTGAGGATTTTTTCATCAATGTTCATCAAGGATATTGGTTTAAAATTCTCTTTTTTGTTGTGTCTCTGCCAGGCTTTGGTATCAGGATGATGCTGGCCTCATAAAAAGAGTTAGGGAGGATTCCCTCTTTTCCTACTGATTGGAATAGTTTCAGAAAGAATGTTACCAGTTCCTCCTTGTACCTCTGGTAGAATTCGGCTGTGAATCCATCTGGTCCTGGACTCTTTTTGGTTGGTAAGCTATTGATTATTGCCACAATTTCAGAGCCTGTTATTGGTTTATTCAGAGATTCAACTACTTCCTGGTTTAGTCTTGGGAGGGTGTATGTGTTGAGGAATTTATCCATTTCTTCTAGATTTTCTAGTTTATTTGCGTAGAAGTGTTTGTAGTATTCTCTGATGGTAGTGTGTATTTCTGTGGGATCAGTGATGATATCCCCTTTATCATATTATATTGCACCTATTTGATTCTTCTCTCTTTTATTCTTTATTAGTCTTGCTAGTGGTCTATCAGTTTTGTTGATCTTTTCAAAAAACCAGCTCTTGGATTCATTAATTTTTGAAGGGACTTTTGTGTCTCTAGTTCCTTCAGTTCTGCTCTGATTTTAGTTATTTCTTGCCTTCTGCTAGCTTTTGAATGTGTTTGCTCTTGCTTTTCTAGTTCTTTTAATTGTGATGTTAGGGTGTCAGTTTTGGATCTTTCCTGCTTTCTCTTGTGGGCATTTAGTGCTATAAATTTCCCTCTACACGCTGCTTTGAATGTGTCCCAGAGATTCTGCTATGTTCTTTCTTTGTTCTCATTGGTTTCAGATAACATTTTTATTTCTGCCTTCATTTCGTTATGTACGCAGTAGTCATTCAGGAGCAGGTTGTTCAGTTTCCATGTAGTGGAGTGGTTTTGAGTGAGTTTCTTAATCCTAAGTTCTAGTTTGATTGCACTGTGGTCTGAGAGACAGTTTGTTATAATTTCTGTTGTTTTACATTTGCTGAAGAGTGTTCTACTTCCAACTATGTGGTCAATTTTGGAATAGGTGTGGTGTGGTGCTGAAAAGAATGTATATTCTGTTGATTTGGGGTGAAGAGTTCTGTAGATGTCTATTAGGTCTGCTTGGTTCAGAGCTGAGTTCAATTCCTGGGTATCCTTGTTAACTTTCTCTCTTGTTGATCTGTCTAATGTTGACAGTGGTGTGTTAAAATCTCCCACTATTATTGTGTGGGAGTCTAAGTCTCTTTGTAGGTCACTCAGGACTTGCTTTATGAATCTGGGTGCTCCTGTATTGGGTGCATATATATTTAGGATAGTTAGCTCTTCTTGTTGAATTGATCCCTTTACCATTATGTAATGGCCTTCTTTGTCTCTTTTGATCTTTGTTGGTTTAAAGTCTGTTTTATCAGAGACTAGGATTGCAACCCCTGCCTTTTATTGTTTTCCATTTGCTTGGTAGATCTTCCTCCATCCCTTTATTTTGAGCCTATGTGTGTCTCTGCATGTGAGATGGGTTTCCTGAATACAGCACACTGATGGGTCTTGACTCTTTATCCAATTTGCCAGTCTGTGTCTTATAATTGGAGCATTTAGCCCATTTAAAGTTAATATTGTTATGTATGAATTTGATCCCGTCCTTATGATGTTAGCTGGTTATTTTGCTCATTAGTTGATGCAGTTTCTTCCTAGTCTGGATGGTCTTTACAATTTGTCATGTTTTTGCAGTGGCTGGTACTGGTTGTTCCTTTCCATGTTTAATGCTTCCTTCAGGAGCTCTTTTAGGGCAGGCCTGGTGGTGACAAAATCTCTCAGCATTTGCTTGTCTGTAAAGTATTTTATTTCTCCTTCACTTATGAAGCTTAGTATGGCTGGATATGAAATTCTGGGTTGAAAATTCGTTTCTTTAAGAACGTTGAATATTGGCCCCCACTCTCTTCTGGCTTGTAGAGTTTCTGCTGAGAGATCCACTGTTAGTCTGATGCGCTTCCCTTTATAGGTAACCTGACCTTTCTCTCTGGCTGCCCTTAACATTTTTTCCTTCATTTCAACTTTGGTGAATCTGACAATTATGTGTCTTGGAGTTGCTCTTCTCGAGGAGCATCTTTGTGGTGTTCTCTCTATTTCCTGAATCTGAATGTTGGCCTGCCTTGCTAGATTGGGGAAGTTCTCCTGGATAATATCCTGCAGAGTGTTTTCCAACTTGGTTCCATTCTCCCCATCACTTTCAGGTACACCAATCAGACGTAGATTTGGTCTTTTCACATAGTCGCATATTTCTTGGAGGCTTTGTTCGTTTCTTTTTATTCTTTTTTCCGTAAACTTCCCTTCTCGCTTCATTTCATTCATTTCGTCTTCCATCACTGATACCCTTTCTTCCAGTTGATCACAACAGCTCCTGAGGCTTCTGCATTCTTCACGTAGTTCTCGAGCCTTGGCTTTCAGCTCCATCAGCTCCTTTAAGGACTTCTCCACATTGGTTATTCTAGTTAGCCATTCGTCAATTTTTTTTTCAAAGTTTTTAACTTCTTTGCCTTTGGTTTGAATTTCTTCCTGTAGCTCGGAGTAGTTTGATCGTCTGAAGCCTTCTTCTCTCAACTCGTCAAAGTAATTCTCCACCCAGCTTTGTTCCATTGCTGGTGAGGAACTGTGTTCCTTTGGAGGAGGAGAGGTGCTCTGCTTTTTAGAGTTTCCAGTTTTTCTTCTCTGTTTTTTCCCCATCTTTGTGGTTTTATCTACTTCTGGTCTTTGATGATGGTGACATACAGATGGGTTTTTGGTGTGGATGTCCTTTCTGTTTGTTAGTTTTCCTTCTAACAGACGGGACCCTCAGCTGCAGGTCTGTTGGAATTTGCTAGAGGTCCACTCCAGACCCTGTTTGCCTGGGTATCAGCAGCAGTGGCTGCAGAACAGCAATGGCTGTAGAACAGTGGATTTTGGTGAACCGCAAATGCTGCTGCCTGATCTTTCCTCTGGAAGTTTTGTCTCAGAGGAGTACCCAGCCGTGTGAGGTGTCAGTCTGCCCCTACTGGGGGATGCCTCCCAGTTAGGCTGCTCAGGGGTCAGGTACCCACTTGAGGAGGCAGTTTGCCCGTTCTCAGATCTCCAGCTGTGTGCTGGGAGAACCACTACTCTCTTCAAAGCTGTCAGACAGGGACATTTAAGTCTGCAGAGTTTACTGCTGTATTTTTGTCTGTGCTCTGCCCCCAGAGGTGGAGCCTACAGAGGCAGGCAGGCCTCCTTGAGCTGTGGTGGGCTCCACCCAGTTGGAGCTTCCAGGCTGCTCTGTTTACCTAATCAAGGCTGAGCAATGGCAGGTGCCCCTCCCCCAGCCTTGCTGCCACCTTGCGGTTTGATCTCAGACTGCTGTGCTAGCAATCAGCGACGCTCTGTGGGCATAGGACCCTCCGAGCCAGGTGCGGGATATAATCTCCTGATGTGCCATTTTTTAAGCCTGTTGGAAAAGCTCAGTATTAGGGTGGGAGTGACCTGATTTTCCAGGTGCCATCTGTCACCCCTTTCTTTGACTAGGAAAGGGAACTCCCTGACCCCTTGCACTTCCTGAGTGAGGCAATGCCTCGCCCTGCTTCAGCTTGCACACGGTGTGCTGCACCCACTGTCCTGCACCCACTGTCTGGCATTCCCTAGTGAGATGAACCCGGTACCTCAGATGGAAATGCAGAAATCACCCGTCTTCTGCGTCGCTCACGCTGGGAGCTGTAGACTGGAGCTGTTCCTATTAGGCCGTCTTGGCTCCACCCCTCCCTTTTAGCCCTTTCTAACCATTCTAACCTGTGTGTCTATGAGTTTGACAGTTTTAGATGCCTCATATAAATGGGATCATGCAGTATTTGACTTTCTGTGGATAGCATATCACTAGTATAATATTCTCCAGGTTCATCAACACTATTGCAAATGGCAGCATTTTCTTCTTTTTAAAGCAGAATAATATTCCATTGTATGCATACACTATATTTCTTTATTTGTTCATTTGCCATTGGACATTTTTTTGTTTTCATATTTTGGCTATTGTGAATAATGTTGCAATGAATGTGGGAGCACAGATATCTCTTCAAGATACTGACTCCATTTCCTTTGGATATAGAATTGTCAAATCATATAGTTTTGTTTTTAATTTTTTGAGAAACCACCAAACTGTTTTACACAGTAACAACACCATTTTATATTCCCACCATGTACAAGGGTTTCCATTTTTTCACATCCTTACCATCACTTATCTTTTGACACACATATTTGCTATTGAGTGTCACAGTTCTTTATGTATTTTAGATATAACCCCTTACCAGATATATGAACTTAAAATATTTTTCCCATTCTGTAGGTTGCCTTTTCACTCTCTTGACTCTTTTCTTTGCTGCACAGAAGCTTCTTAGTTTGACATAGTTTTACTTGTCTGGATTTGCTTTTTTTTTTATGCTTCTGGTGTTATGCCCAAGAAATCATTGCCAAGACAAATGTCAAGAAGCACTTCCCCTACCTTTTTCTCAAAGAGTTTTATGGATTCAGGTCTTACTTTTAAGTCCTTAGTCCATTTTGAGTTGATTTTTTTTGTATGGTGTAAGTTAAGGGTCCAATTTCATTTTCTTTTTTTGCATGGGGACATTCAGTTTCCCAATACCATTTGTTGAAAAGAATATCCTTTCCTCATTGTGCATTCTTGGCAGTTTCACCAAAGATCACTTGACTGTATACGTATGAGTTTACTTCTTGGGTCCCTATTTTCTTCCACTGGTCACTATGACTGTCTTTATGTCAGTTCCATACCCTTTTAATCACTTTGGCTTTTTAGTATATTTAATTTTTTTATTTTTAATATTTTGTGGGTACATAATAGGTATATATATTTATGGGGTATGAGAGATATTTTGGTACAAGCCTATAATGTGTAATAATCACATCAGGGTAAATGGGGTATCCATCACCTCAAGTATTTATCCTTTTTTGTGTTATAAACAATCTAATTACAACTCTTAGTTATTTTAAAATGTACAATAAAATATTGTTGACTGTAGTCACACTGTTGAGCTAGATCTTATTCATTCTATGTAAGTATATTAATGTACTCATTAATCATTCTTACTTTTCTCCCACCTCCCTCACTACCTTCCCAGCCTCTGGTAACCATCCTTCTCTCTATCTTCATGAGTTCAATAGTTTTAATTTTTAGTTCCCACAAATAAGTGAGAATGTGTGAAGTTTCTATTTCTGTGCTTGGCTTATTTCAATTAACATAATGACCTCTAGTTCCCTCCATGTTGTTGCAAATGACAGGATCTAATTTTTTTTTATTATTGCTGAATAGTACTTCACTGTGTATATGTACTACATTTTCTTTATCCATTTAACTATCGATGGATATTTAGGTTGCTTTCAATCTTGGCTATTGTGAACAGTACTGCAACAAGCTCAGCAGTGCAGATGTATCTTCAATATACTGACTTCCTTTCTTTTGTGTATCTACCTAGCAGTGGGATGCTGGAGCATATGGCAGCAGTATTTTTAGTTTTTTGATGAACCTCCAAACTGTTCTCCATATTGTTTGTACTGATTTGCATTCCCACCAACAGGGTACAAGGATTCCTTTTATATAACATCCTCGCCAGCATTTACTATTGCCTGTCTTTTGGATAAAAGTCATTTCAATTGGAGTGAAATGCTATCTCATTGTAGTTTTGATTTGCGTTTCTCTGATGATCAATGATGTTGAGCACATTTCCATATACCTGTTTGTCATTTGTACATCTTTTCAGAAATGCCTATTCAAATCTTTGCCTAATTTTAATCACATTATTAGATTTTCTCTTATTGATTTGAGCTCATTATAGATTCTAGTTATTAATCCCTTGCCAGACAGATAGTTTGCAAATATTTTCTTCCATTCTGTGGGCTGTCTCTTTACTTTTTTGATTGTTTATTTCATTATACAGAAGCTTTTTAACTTGATGTAATCCTATTTTTCCATTTTTACTTTCATTGACTGTGTTTGTGGGATATTACTCAAGAAATCTTTACCCAGACCAATGTCCTGAAGAGTTTCTCCTACGTTTTCTTGTAATCGTTTCATGGTTTGAGGTCTTAAATTTAAGTCTTTAATTCTTTATGATTTCATCTTTACAAGCAAGAGATAAGAATCTAGTTTCATTCTTCTGCATATGCACATCCAGTTTTCCCAGCACCATTTATTGAAGAGACTGTCTTTTCACCACTGTATGTTCATGGCAACTTTATAAAAAAATGAGTTCACTGTAGGTGTATGGATTTGTTTCTGCGTTTTCTCTTCTGTTCCACTGATCTATGGGTCTGGTTTTATGCCAGCATCATGCTATTTTGGTTACTATATCTCTGTAGTATAATCTGTAGTATAATGTGATTCCCCCAGTTTGTTTTTTTGTTTGTTTTTTTTTGTTTTTTTAGTTTAAAATGGTTTTGGGTATTCTGAGTCTTTTGTGATTCCGTACAGATTTTAGAATTGTGTTTTACTATATTTTATGAAGAATACCATTGGCATTTTAATAGAGATTGCATTGAATCTTTAGTGTAGATATTTTTACAAAATTTATTCTTCCAATTTATGATCATGAAATATCTTTCAATTTTTTGTCCTTTTCTATGTTTTATAGTTTTCCTTGTAGAGATCTTTCATATCTTTGCATAAGTTAGTTCCTAGGTATTTTATTTTATTTGCAGCTATTATAAAATGGAATCACTTTCTTGATTTCTTTTTCTGATTGTTCACTGTTGGCATATAGAAATGCTCCTGATTTTAGAAGGCTGACTTTGTATCCTGCAAATTTACTGGCTTCCTTTATCAAATCTTATAATTTTTTGGTGCAGTCTCTAGGTTTTTTTAAAATATAAGATCATGTTGTCTGCAAACAAAGATAATTTGACTTTCTCTTTCCTAATTGTGATGCCCTTTATTTTTTTTCTTGTCTTCCAGTACTATGTTGAATAACAGTGGTGAAAGTGGGCATCTTTGTTATGTTCCAGATCATAAGTACAGGCTTTCAGTTTTTTCCCATTCAGTATGATGGGCCTGTGATACATGGCATTTATTGTGGTGAGGTATGGTCTTTCTATACCCATTTTTTAGAGTGGTTATTGTAACAGAATGTTGAATTTTAACAAATGCTTTTCAGCATCAATTCAAATAATTATATGGTTTTTGTCTTTCATTCTGTTAATATGATGTATCACATTGATTGATTTGCCTGTGATGAAACTTTCTTGTATCCTTCGAGTAAATCCCACTTGGTCATGTTGAATGAACTTTTTAATATGTTGTTGACTTCAATTTGCTAGTATTTTGTTGAAGATTTTTGCATCAATGTTCATCAGTGATATTGGCCTGTAGTTTTCTTTTTTTTTTCTTCATGTGTCCTTATCTGGTTTTGTATCAGGGTAACACTGGCCTTGTAGAATAGGTTTGGAAGTATTCCTTTCTATTCTATTTTTCAGAATACTTTGAGTAGAATTGGTATTAGTTTTCTTTAAATATTTGGTAGAATTCAGCAGTGAAGCTGTCGGGTCCCAGGCTTTTCTTTGCTGAGATACTTTTTATTACAGCTCCGATCTTGTTACTTGTTATATTTCTCTGTTCAGGTTTTGGATTTTTTCATGGTTCAATCTTTGTAGGTGGTATGTATCTAGCAATTCATACAGTTCTTCTAGATTTCCCAATTTATTGGCATATAGTTTCTCAGTAGCCTCTAATGATCCTTTGAATTTCTGCAGTACCAATCCTAATACCTCCTTTATGATCTCTCAATGTATTTATTTGGGCCTTCTCTCTTTTTTATTAGTTAGTCTAACTAAAGATTTGTAAATTTTATTTATGTTTCCCAAAAATATCCTTTTAGTTCATTAATCTTCTGCATTGTTTTCTTCACTTCTATTTCATTCATTTCTGCATTGTTTTCTTTTTCATTGTTTTTCATTTCTATTTATTTCTCCTCTGAATTTATAATTTCTTTTTTCCTGTGAATTTTACATTTTGTTTACTCTTGTTGTTTTTGTCCTTTAAGAGGCATTGTTAGGTTGTTTATTTGAAGTTTTTCTACTTTGTTGATGTAGGCTCTTATACCTATAAACTTTCCTCATAGTACTGCTTTTGGTGTGTCTTAAAGGTGTTGGTAGGTTGTGTTTCCATTAACATTTGTTTCAAGAAATACTTTAATTTCCTTCTTATTTACTTTATTGACCCATTCAGGAGCATATTGTTGAATGTGCATGTGTTTGAATAGTTTCCAAAGTTTCTCTTCTTAATGATTTCTAGTTTTCATTGTGGTCACAGAATAAGATACTTGATATAATTTCAAGTTTTTTGAATTTTTTAAGACTTGTTTTGTGATATATCCTATGGTCTACCCTTGAGAATAGCCCGTGTCCTAAGGAGAAGACTGCATATTCTATAGCCATTAAATGAAATGTTCTGTATATATCTATTAAGTCCATTTATAGTGCAGGTTAAGTCTACTGTTTCTTTGTTAATTTACTGTCTGGATGATCTATCCAATGCTCAAAGTGGGGTGTTGATGTCACGCACTATTACTGTGTTAGAGTCTGTCTTTTTAGCTCTAATAATATTTGCTTTATATATCTGCTCCAGTGTTGGGTGCATATATATTTAAAATCGTAATATCCTCTTGCTGAATTGACCACTTTATCCTTATATAATGACTGTCTTTGTATCTTCTCATAGTTTGTCTTGAATTATATTTTGTCTGATATAAGTATAGCTACTCCTAGTCTTTATTGGTTTCCATTTGCATGAAATATCTTTTTCCATCTCTTTATTTTTAGTCTACGTGCATGTTTATAGATGAAGGGTATTTCTTCTAGGCAACAAATCATTGGGTCTTTTTTTAAATCCTTTCAGCCCTCTATGTCTTTTGATTTGAGTTTAATCCATTTGCATTCAGTATTATTGATAAAGACTTACCCATGCCATTTTGTTATTTGTTTTTTAAAAGGTGATTTTCTCTGGTGGTAATTTTTAATTTATTGCCTTTTATTTTTTTGTATCTGTTATTTGAGGTTACCATTAGGCTTGCAAATAATATCTTGTAATCCATTATTTTAAACTGATGACAACTTAAAATTACATAAAAAAAGTAAAAAGAAAGCTAATAAAAATTCTACACTTTATCTCTCCACTTTTTAACTTTTTGTTTTTTATATTGATATCATATTGTACTGTCTATGTCTTGAAGAGTTGTTGTAATTGCTATTTTTGATCAGTTCATCTTTTAGTTTTTAAGACATGAGTAGTTTATACATCACAACTACAGTATTATAATATTGTATGTTTTTCTTTGTATTTACTATTACCAGTGAGTTTTTTCCCTTAAGATAATTTCATATGGCTCTTTAACATCCTTTTTTTCATGTTAAAATACTCCCATTAGCATTCCTTGAAGGACATAACTGGTATTGATAAAAAAAAAAAAAAAAAACCTCAACTTTTGCTTGTTTTGGAATGTCTTTTATTTTTTCTAGATGTACTATTCTAGGATAAAACTGTTTTGGTTTTTTAAGCACATTAAATTCATCATGCCATTCTCGCTTGGCATATAAGATTTCCACTGAGATGTTTGCTGGCAGACATATTGGAGCTCCATTGTATTTTATTTGTTTCTTTTCTCGTTGCTTTTAGGATCGTTTCTTTATTCTTGACCCTTGGGGGTTTGCACATTTAATGTCTTGATGTAATCTTATTCATGTTAAATCTTCTTTGTTTTCTGCAACCTTTTTGTATTTGAATATTTACATCTTTCTCTAGGTTTGGGAAGTTCTCTTTTATTATCCCTTTGAATGAACTTTCTTCCCCCATATTTCTATCTCTTCTTCAAAGTCAGTAACTCTTTTCTTTGCCCTTTTGAGGCTGTTTTCTAGATCTTATAGGCATTCTTCATTTTTTTATTTGTCTCCTGTGATTATGTATTTTTAAATAGCCTGTCTTCAAACTCACTAATTCTTTCTTTTGATTGATCAATTCTGCTATTAAGATACTCTGATGAATTCATCAGTATGTCATGGGCATTTTTCAACTCCAGAATGTCTACCTGATTCTTTTAAATTATTTCCATCTCTTTGTTAAATTTATCCAAAGGTATTATGAATTCTTTCTCTGTGTTATCTTGAATTTTGTTGCCTTTCAAAAAAAAGCTATTTTGAATTCTCTATCTGAAAGGTCACATATCGCTATCTCTCCAGGGTTTGCTACTAGTACCTTATTTAGTTTGTTTGGTGAGGTTATGTTTTCCTGGATGGTCTGATGCTTGTGGATGTTCATCAGTGTCTGGGCATTGAAGATTTAGGTGTTTATTGTAGTCGTCACAGTCTGGGCACAGTCTGGGCTTGTTTCTGCCAGTTCTTCTTGAGAAGGCTTTCCAGGTATTTGAAGTTACTTGAGTGTTGTGATCTTATTTTTGGTCACTGTAGCTGTATTTCCCTTAGGGGCCACCCAAAGCCCAGTAACATCATTGATCTTGCAGACTCAGAGAAGTAGCAACTTGGTGGTCTTTATGAGATCCGAAGAATTCTTTGATTTACTATGCAAACACTCTGGTTCTCTTCCTTTCTTTCTCCCAAGCAAGTGAAGTCTCTCTGTGTTTTACACAAGGCCCACAGAGAGTACTGTCTGGTTACCACTGCTGATTATTCTGGGCCTGAGGGCTCCTTAATCAGCAAGCGATGAATTCTTTCAGTACGAGGTCCTTCCTTTCAAGGCAACAGGTACCCTTCTGGCCCAGGGTGTCTCTAGAAACGTCATCCAAGAATGAGAGCCTGGAATGGGTGCCTCAGGACTCTGCCCAGTACTCTGTCCTCATGTGGCTGAGCTGGTATCCAAGTTAAAAGACAAAATTTCTTTGCTCTTCCTTCTCCTCTCCTCAAGCAGAAGAAAGGAGTCCCAATTGGAGTTGCATGCTGTGTTGCCTGGGGTTAGGGGACATGTGGCACAAGCACCTCCTTGGTCACCCTGGCTGGTGTCTCACTAGGTTGGGTGCCCCCCATGTCTACTGGCTTTGAACCCAAAACAGCACCAGAAATTGACCAGGCATTGCAGTTCTTGTGAATTAAACTGCCTTTCAAGTTTATTTAGAATACCAGAGCCCTTTAACCCATGGTGCTGAGGTTTGATGGAATGCAGATTCCAATGATTCCCCTCTGACTAAGGCTAGTCTAAATGCTCCCTCCATGGGCACTGATTGAGTTCTGTCCAGCATTGTTTTTGATGTGACTGGGCAGCACTAAGTTCCAATGCAATATCTCACAATCATTATGCTCTCCGTTTCCCAAAATCACAGATTCTACCTCCATGCCATGCTGCCACTGCTAAGGAATGTGGGAATTCAGCAATTCAAGACTGAATTCAATATAATCCAATTCCTACCCTCTTTGGTATCTTTTTCAGTGATATGAAGTTGAAACCAGGTACTGTGATTGCTTATCTGATTTTTGGTTCTTATGAAGGTGTGTGTGTGTGTAGATACTTGATCGAGTTGGTGTTCCCAGGGAGAGATGCTAGGTGGAGGTTTCTCTTCAGCCATCTTGCTCCATCTTCTCCCTCCAGCTTTGTAATATAGTTTGAAGTTAGGGACTGTAGTGTCTCCACCTTTGTTCTTTCTTTTCAAGATTGCTTTAACTGTTAGCAGTTTCTCTTTAGTTACGTACGTGTTTTAGGATTGTTCTATCTCTGTAAAAAAATGCCATTCAGGTTAGGATAAAGATAACTTTATATCTATGGATCACTTTGGGCAGTATGGACATTTTAATAATATTAAATCCTCTAATCCATGATTGCAGAATGTCTTTCCATTTATTCTTCTGTAATTTATTTAATCAATGTTCTATGATTTTTCAGTACACAAATCTTTTACCTCCTTCTTAAGTATTTTATTCTTAGGTTTATTTCTAAGCATTTCATTCTTTTAGATGCTATTCTAAATGACATTGTTTTTTCTTAGTTTCCACTTCAGATATTCATTGTTAGTGTATAGAGCCACAACTGCTTTTGCATATATATATAAAACTGTTGCAAGTTCCTGTTGAATAGACCCACTTAATTATTATATAATGCCCTTCTGTCTCTTTTGACAGTTTTCAATGTAAGATTCATTTTGTTTGATTTAAACACAGTCACCCCTGCTCTCTTTTGTTTACCATTCGCATGGAATATGAGGACAAAATCTAGGCAGGTCTTATATTTTTATCAATTTAACCACTTTATGTGTTTGCATTGGAGAGTTAAGTCCACTTATGTTTAATTATTGATAGGGAAGTGCTTACTATTGCCATTTTGTTGTTCTCTGTCTTGTAGTTCCTTTGTTTTTCTCTTTTATTTTTTGCTGTTTTTAATTGTGTTTGTTGATTTCTTAAATTTTTAGTTATTCTTTTATTCTTTTCTTTTTTGCTTTTGTGTCTCTCCTATGATATTCTCTTTGTGGTGATTATGAGGCTTATATTATACATCCTAGGGTTATAACAGCTGATAACAACTTAACTTCAATCACATACACTACATATTTATATTTCCCAATTCACATACACACATATAATTCCTTAATCCAACTTAAATTTGTAAATTTGGTGAATTATGTATCTGTTTACTTACATTTCTTCTCAGGTAAGTAACAAATTGCCTCAGAACTATTTATGTAAAATTTACCCTTTTCCCCTATAAATATAAAATGCTATCTATCATAAATAATATTTTCATGTGTTTGTAGATTAATGTTTAGGTTTTAAATTTTCTCATTGCTTTTTGCTTGTTTCCTTGTTTGTTTATCTATGAGACAATGCCAACCTGCCTTAATTATTCTGGCTGTGTAACTCCTGATATCTGGTTGGATCTTCTGTGCTGCCTAAAGAATTATTATCTGTCTTTACTGCTGTATATAGTATAGAATATATTTTAAAATCTATTAGTTTTTTTACCTCTTGAGTTTTTATTTTTTAAATTAAGCTAAAGATATAATTGAATTTTGTGAGAATTGTATCTTTTATTATATATGTGAATATGTATGTTGTTTATTAAACTCTTATTTAAATACAATTTTATGTATGTTTATATTTTCCATCTTACAATGGATTTTTCCCCAGGTATCTTTTTATTATTTATATTACAAATAATATTTTAATGGCATATTCTAACCACTCATGCCTTTGTGAAATGCAGCTGATTTGTGTATGAATCTTATATCTAGATATCTTGCTAAACTCATAATTCTCTCTCTCCCTCCTTCTCTTTTTGTCACTTTCTCTCTCCTCTCTTTCTCATATGTACCCACACATGTCCTAGTTGTTTTGAAGAATTTTGCTGGTACTATTCTCAGTGGGATTTCTTGCTTTGATGTAGGCCGACTCATGGATTTATCTTTTGGCTTGTCAATTTGTAAATTCAAATTTAGAATCATTCTACAGATTGTTTGATATTCTATGTATAAATGGATATTCTCTACAAAAAAATATAATTTTCATTATTTGACTTTTGCTTTTTAATAATATGATCTAATTACATTGATTATTGCTTTCTGATAATAATCCCTTTATTTTCTCCTGCTTATTGCATAAATATTATCTTTCAGTATGATAAAAAAAAATTTTTGCAACTTTATTGATTATATTATTAAATCTTCTGACATCTACTTTGTCTACTTATTATAAGAAAGTGAATAAAGCCTTATTAAATTAACACACAGTTATGCTTCCAACATTTTCTTGCATTTTTAAATATTTCTTTATTTTTTAAAGAATCTAAACCATAATGCTTTACAAATATATTTTTAATACTTTGCACTTCTTATGAATACAAAATTACCTTCTTTCTCATTTAGTGCTTTTTAATGTGTTTACTACTTTATGTAAAATTAACCATGTTATTATTTTCATTTGATTTGAATTTATTCGATAAAACTATATAATTCTTCTCATTTTTAAATTTCTAAGAAAGTTTCAGTCTTCACTCACATAAGCAGCAAAGATTTCTAAGATTATTTTATGACAGAGGAAAAATAAATATTTGTGTTTATTACCATAATATATATGTTTACTTGTATTTACTTTGAGCAAAACCTTTTCTAATTTTCATACTTTCTTCTTTTACTTTTTCAAAAATTTAAAACTTTTGCTATATATTCAATGCTTTTAATGTTATGTTAATGTTTACTAGTTATTATTTTACAAATACTTCCTCTTAAAAGTTTTTTTAAAAGGTTTTTAACATTTATTATTCTATATAACAACTTAGGATGACAAATAAAAAAAGTATTTGCTATATTTTTATTTTCCACCCACTCTTGCATACATGGGTTTTTGTAAGTGTAATATATATCTTAATATCCCGCTTATCTTGAAGTCATTTACATTTAACATATTCTCATAATAGTAAAGTTGACATTATCTCTCAGATTTGTAACATATTAAAGCACTTTTAGATGTAATTTTTATTATTATTTTTAATGCTTACCATGTATTCAGATACACTAATTTTATATTCTTGTGTTTCTATTTTAATTAAACTGTTAGTTGATTGAGTTATTTTTTAACCATTTTGTCCAAACATATGCATGTTTAGGAAGGTTTCTGAGCCCTTGAGCATTTTCAGAATGTTTTTCTCTTTTCTTTCAAATATCAAAACCATGTAGATTATTATAAAATTTGAAAAACACTAACAATTATCTCTCAAACCTCTATAGACACTGTCAGATCAGGAATAATCTACTGCAAATAGAAAACCAAAAACAGCTTGATTTTTGTTTTTTTGAGGAAATTTGGGTAAGTATAGAATTATTTTCATTAACCTATTATGGACAGTTTAAGATAACTTTTCCTGGTGTCTCTTTTCATTAACTCAACTAACGTTTAATAAGCTCTCTTTTTCTACATAGGTATAATTTTTAAGCCTCAGGAGAAATTATTTTAAATTATTTTATCTTTGATTGTAAATCTTGTTCTAGTTGTTGCCCTTTTATAATCAGAAAAGTATTTAATTCATAGTTTGGCTTCTGTCCACTGTCACCTGTATCCTTTTATAGATGACAAGGTTTTCATTTTTTTTAAATATTTTTCTGATCTATAAAGTAAAGATATTTCACAGGCCTACAATTTATTAAAATCCTGAATACCATAAGATATTCCCTTTGTTCTCCTAGAATATTCTTTATAGAACCCATGTGTGGTTTTTCTTTTCTCTTTCTTTCTTTTTCTCTCTTCCTTCCTTTCCTTTCTTCTTTTTTTTCTTTCTTTCTTTTTCTTATTGGTTTATATGTAATTCAAAGAGATGACATTTATGTAGACCTGTGCCACTAGTCACATACAGCCATTTAACTAAATTTAAATTTAGTTAAATTTAAATTTAAATACAGCCATTTAAATTTAGTTAAATGGCTGTATGTGACTAGTAGCACAGGTCTACATAAATTAAATTCGTTAAATTAAATTAAAAAGTAAATTTCTCTGTCACACTAAACACATTTCCCATACTTAATGACGCCTTTGAGTTACAAATCTTTGAGACTGTCGATTTTGTCAGTTGGAGGCTCTGGTAAAGAATCTACCTGGAGGAACACTTTGAGTTTTGTACCCATTGCCTTCCTGACATAGCTAATAGTTACACGATCTTTGAAAACTTTGCATCCGAAAAGAGACTAATATCCAGAATCTACAAAGAACATAAACAACTCAAAGGAAAAATAACCCCATTAAAAATTGGGCAAAGGACATAAACAGACATTTTTCAAAACGTGACATACAAATGAGCAAGGAGCATATGAAAAAATGCTCAACATCACTAATCATCAGAGAAATGCAAATTGATATCACATGAGATATCATTTTACACTTGTCAAAATGGCTATTGTTAAAGTCTCAAAAATAACAGATGTTGATGAGGATGCAGAGAAAGGGAAGGGTTTTATACACTGTTGGTGGGAATGTAAATTAGTACAACCTCTATGGAAAACAGTATGGAGATTTCTCAAAGAAATAAAAATAGAACTTTCATTCCATCCAATATTCCCATTCTTGGGTATCTACCCAAAGGAAAAGAAATAATTGTATCAAAAAGAGACCTGCATTCATGTTTTTTACAGTATATTCACAATAGCAAAGATATGGAATCAAACTAAGTGTTCATCAATGGATGACTGGATAAAGAAAATGTGGCATATATATACAATTGAGAACTATTCAGTCATAAGGAAGAATGAAAACACGTGTTTTGCAGCAATGGGGATGGCACTGAAGGCCATTATCTTAACTGAAATAACTTAGACACAGTAAGTCCAATACAATATGTTGTCCCTTATATATGGAAGCTAAAAAGTGTGTACCCAATGGGTATAGAAAGTGGAATAATAGACAATGGAGATTTAGATGAGTGGGAGCGTGGAAGGGGGGTGAGAGATTAGAAATTAGTTAATGTCTACAATATATATCATTTAGGTAATTGTTACACTAAAAGCCCAAACTTCAACACTATGTAATATATTCATGTAACAAAACTGTACTTATACCCCTGAAATTTATACAAAAAAGTAAGGACCCTATTACAATTGATACTGGGCTCTTGTCACCACTGAATGTATGACCCATAGAGGCCTTATTAATAATGTTGACCCTGATGTTCCTAATTTGGTGTTGGTCAACTCAGAATGAATGATTACCAAGGAAGGAAGGGCCCAATAATCTTCCCCTGCTCAGTGAAAATGGTATATTCAGTATCATAGCTGGCTTAGCTTCAGCAGCATCTTGACCTCACGTGAAAAGGTGGCAGCTATGTTTTTATGAGAAAATATGGCCGTTACTCTATTGTCTGAAGTAAAGCCAGTGGATCAATGGGAACAAAAGCTGATTCCATTGTCACTAAGTGAAAGGCCACATTCCATGGGCCTGCCCCTGTCTAGTCCTAGAAGATTGACTTTCTTAGCAGATTGACTACAACAGACCTTTGATATTTACTTGTGACTATCAAAAATTCAAAAAATTATCTGACATTCCTGGGAAACATTGTTCTTTCCTCCTCCTAACAAGAACCCCAGGTTGGCCTGATTCATATCCTGTCTGAGTAATAACCTAGCAAAATGGAGCCTAGATAATCAAAAATTAATTTTAGGGCAGCCACCTTGATTGTCCTGTTGAATTCGTATAGTAGCAAGTCATAAGTATAATGACCCGTTGGTTAAGCACACTGCTCTCAAAGTCAAAGAGAGGGACACTTTGGCCCTCTGTGAGTTTTCAAACAATATCTTTGCCCCTCAAATCTAACTCTACTATATAAAAGCAATGGGTGTGTGCAGAAGATGGTTGCAACTGTGAAGTTCCACTTCATGGAATTAGAAACAATTTTGGGGTATCGGTAGGAAAGCAACCACTCTGGCCATTGAGAAGGCAAACCGTCCGGCCTTTGAGGTGTAGACGGGGAAGGCACATTAATAATAGTTAGAGCTGCCCTGGCTCCTTCCACACCAAGAAAAATATCTTGGTAAGGACAAAACAAACTGTTGCATCTACTTTAAACAGGCTGCTGGGTCAGTTATGCTAACCAAACAACTCGAATCACAATTTATCTACCTTTTCTTCTAATGACATTAAAAGTCTATCTCAAGCAACAGGGAATGATTCCAACTTTTGTACCTCCCAAAGAAAAGTCTTGTCAACACCTCTGTAAGTCCACCATCCATGTTCTCAGTCATTGCATGAGGCAAATGAATAGTACCCAATGTTGACATAAACATACAAGACAGATTAAACTGTCTGCCTTCAGAGTCTTTCCAAAATCAGGGACTAAACTCCATCCTAAGCCCTAAAAGTGGCCCTGGAAGACACATTAGAGAAAGTGTCAACTTGTGCCCAATGCTGACTGTTGGAGGTTCCATGAGCAGGACCTCAACAACTGAAATATATCTTTTCTCTCCTGAGACAACATATGCATATGCATATATGTATAGTCCTTGTGTAAAAGCTAGAGATTAACTTGATTCACTTACAAAAACATTGTGATTTGAGTCTTGGAAGTGGTGATGAGCCCTTCAAATCTCTAAGGAAACACCACCAGTAAACTATAAGTCTAATGAATTTTCTCCAAAATGAGGCTGCCTTTAGTTTTCCAAGGTAGTGTTTTAGAGGCATAACTAACTCCTTATGTATTTGATGCTTTTGGCTGTTATTCCCACAATATGAGTCAGCAAATTAGAAAAAGTAGTATAGTATTTGTTAGAATGTAGCTGAAGTAAGAAATAAAATTATCACAGAACTGGGAGGAATTCATCTTGGCCTCAACTCACTGACTAGGGATGTTAGGGATACTGGAATTGCTGTAGATTTCCTCCTTATTGGTCAATGTGGAGCCTGTGCAATTGCTAATATATCCTACTTTATATGGATGAATGACTCAGGATAAATGGAAATGCCTATTTAGAACCTTAAGGAAGAAGACTTCTGGCTCTCTAAAATAGACTGCAATCATTTATGGGTTTGTTTAGCTGCTTGGATCTAGGACGTGAGCAGGCATGTTTGAGGTCAATACCACCGACTGACTTCATTTTAACATGTGGAGTCCTGCTGATAGTATTCTTAATTAAAAGCTATATGTGGCAAGTTGAATGAATTTAGTTTTAACCTCTGTTGGTCACATAATCCAGTGGCCAACAGAATGTATACTCACAAAAAATATTTTACAGAAGCAGAGGCAGTTTAAAAATGAATGGGTGTTGTTCAAGACAAATATCCATGTATTTCTTGCATTTTTGCATGCCTAATTAAAAATGGCATAGTTTTCTTTGTTGCAGATTATTTCAAGAATGTATGTGCAAAAAGGGGCTGTAGCCAGTGTCTTCAGTAACAAATTACCAAAAACCGGGTGGCTTAAAATAACAGAAATTTACTGCCTCACAGTTCTGGGAGCCAGAAGTCTGAAATCAGGTTGTGAGAACTTTCACAAATCCTTTTGAGGCTTTAGGGGAGAATCTGTTTTTTGTCTCTTCCAACTTCTAGTGGGCTGTAAGACATTATTTGATTTGTGGTTGCATTACTCTAATCTCTGTCTCCAATATCACATTTCCTCCTCCTCTTCTGGCTGTGTAAAATCTCCCTCTGCCTCTATTCTATAAAGATATTTGTTACGGTGTTTATTGCCATCTAAAATTATCTGAGGTAATCACCTCTTCATAAGATGCTTAATTTAATCACATCTGCAAGTAGTCTTTTTACAAAATGTGGTAACACTTACAAGTTTCAGGGATTAAGACTTGATATCTTTGTTGACTATTTTCCAACCTGCTACAGGGGCATATTGTAGCTTTCTTTAAGGATCAACTCGGATAATTTAGGTGAAACACTTAACAAACTCTGAAATTATATAGGTATGTAATGTATAATTTAAATAGTCTGTCAATTCCTGACATCCACTATCCACTATTCTCATGGCTAATGCAATCTTCGTTATATATGATTTCTCACATATAAGGTCCATGATAAATTAGTAATTTATACATTTGTATTAGGTGATTATAATATTATTTCCATCCACTCTTCTTAAGAGCTTTTCGTCAGATGTGATAAACACTATAAACACTTGTTAATCAACCATCTGTCTGATGTTTGGTGCTCATAGATATTTGGAAGATAAAATTGACCACACTCAATATCCTGTCCTCGTAGTATTACTTTTCTTGTACTAGATTAGCAACCATTGTAACTCAAACTAAAGATTGTCCCTAAATACATCCACTATCGAATGTGGCTTGGATTAAATTAAGTTTCCCGTATTTTGTCGTTGGTTGACATGGTTATCTCTGTCTCTAGTTTCTATTAAAGAGAGGAAGATATAACAGAATATTTCAAAGTTCATCTTGTTCTTAAATTGGTCCTCTGTTCAGGCTTTTATTACTAAGACAAAAAAACATGATGCTTTTAATGCATTCCTGGATTCTGCTTTCCTGATGATTTTATATAATTTAACATTTATTTTTCATATTTGGGAGTAAGTGTTTAGTCCTTGAACTTTCTTCCCAGTTGAAAGAAAAAAAAAATATCAGTGTTGAGACCTTGCCATCTTTAGTGGTGCATACCAGTTAAAAATAAATGTAAAATAGTGTGCCACCCTGTTTATAGGAATATTGTGCAGAGAAAAAGATAATGCTGTAAAATATTTCACATCATTTCTGGGGATTAAAATATAAAGAGAGTAATAGAAATGAAAGACACACATGACAAACCATTTAGAATGAAATTCAATATTTTCAACACTATTGGGGTCTATTTATACATAAGATATTTGTTGGGCTAAACAGCTGAGGATTGATAAACTTATCTTTTGTATAAAGAATTGCTCTTTTAAAAATCCTTTCTCATGACTTAAGAAAAAATCTGTAATAATAACTCTAGTGCAGTGGTTCCCAAAACACACGTATGGTCAGAATTAAGATATTTTTAAATGATAATTTCTATGCTTCACTTCATGGAATTTTTATGTAAACCATAGAACCTGGAAAGTGGCATAGTTTAGACATAATATTTGTGCTTTTTGAAAACCTCAGCAGGTCATTCTGATAAGCAACCATGCTTGGTAACATAACCGTTGTGAACAGTGAAGTGTTCTAAACATTTAGTTCTGCTAAACTTTTCCTCAGTTTTATAGGAATACTATGAAAATATCAATATGGAAAAGTAATTTGTGGCTATTTTTTAAAAATTTTATTTCAGTAGTTTTTGAGGAACAGGTGGTTTTTGGTGACATGAATAAGTTCTTTAGTGATTTCTCAGATTTTGGTGCACCCATAGCCAGAGCAGTGTACACTGTACCCAATACGTATTTTCTTATCCCTCACCCCCAACTCTTTCCCTCAAGTCCCCAAAGTCCATTATATCATTCTTATGCCTTTGATTCTCATGGCTTTTCTTCCACTTATAAGTGAGAACACATGATATTTTGTTTCCCGTTCCCAAGCTACTTCACTTAGAATAATGATCTCCAACTCCATCCAAGTTGACCAAAGGCCATTATTTTGTTCCGTTTTATGGCCGAGTAGTATTTCATGGTGTGTATGTATGTATATGTGTGTGTGTGTGTGTGTGTGTGTGTGTGTGTGTATATATATATATATAATATATATATATATTTTATATATATATATATATTTTATATATATATATATATATTATATATATATACCATATTTTCTCTATCCACTCATTTGTTGATGAGCATTTAGGTTTGTTCCATATTTTTGCAATAGTTTTGCTATAAACATGTGCATGCATGTGTCTTTTTCACACAATGACTTACTTTCCTTTGGGCACACACCCAGTAGTGGGATTGCTGGAATGAATCTGTAGATCTACTTTTAGTCCTTTAAGGAATCTCCACACTGTTTTCCATAGCAGTTGTACTAGTTTACATTGCTACCAGCAGCGTAGAAGTGTTTTCCTTTTCACTACATCCATGCCAACATCTATTATTTTTTGATATTTTAATTATGGCCATTCTTGCAGGAGTAAAGTGGTATCACATTGTGGTTTTAATTTACATTTCTCTGATAATTAGTGATGTTGAGTATATTTCCATATGTTTCTTGGCTCTTTGTATACCTTCTTTGGAGAATTGTCTGTTCATGTCCTTTGCCCACTTTTTGATTTGATCATTGGTTTTTTTCTTGCTGATTTGCTTCAGTTCCTGGATTCTGGATACTAGTCTTTTGTTGGATGCATAGTTTGTGAAGATTCTCTCCTACTCTGTGAGCTGTCTGTTTACTCTGCTGATTATTTCTTTTGCTGTGCAGAAGCTTTTTAATTAGGTCCCATTTATTAATTTTTGTTTATGTTGCATTTGTTTTTGGGTTCACAGTCATAAAGTGTTTGCCTAAGCCAATGTCTACAAGGGTTTTTCCAATGTTATCTTCTAGAATATTTATGGTTTCAGGTCTTAGATTTAAGTCTTTGATCCATCTTGAGTTCATTTTTGTATAAGGTGAAAGATAAGTTTCGTTCTTCTATTTGTGGCTTGCCAGTTATCCCCGGACCATTTACTTAATAGGGTGTCATTTCCCCACTTTATGTTTTTGAATGCTTGTCAAAGATCATTTGGCTGTATTTGACTTTTACTCTGGGTTATCTATTTTCATCCATTGGCTACTTTTTTAATAAGGGAATATCTTTAATTGGACTATATTTTTATCCATCTTGGTCTGCAAACACACTATATTGAATAGTAGATAAAGCATAGCCAAGAAGCAAGCAAAACTTGCTCACAGTAGATCAGCTCTGGACAGACATCCTCCAGAGATCATGGAATTATGAACTTAATAGAATCATTCTAGATGTTCTTATACTGACTAGTTCAAACTAGTGTTTTCTTTAATCTTTATAGTTGTTATGATCATTATGAGTTTGAGTAGTATATGATGTGGTCTGTTATGACGGATTTGAATCCCAATGAACCGCAAACTCAGAATGAATCTGAACCCAAGATGTGCATTAGGGCAATATATTGAATACAGGAAATCAACTAGAAGGGCTGTGAGAGTTTCACAAAAGTAGATGGAGCCCTCCCCAAGTGCAAGTTAGCATTCTGCTAAAGATTGTATCCAAGGCAGGAGAACTGATAAAAATTACTGTAGGAAATTCTGCATCATGATCAAGCTCAAAGCATTAGATGCCAACTCTGGGGACAAGTTAAGAGTGCTAAGAAATCTCTCTGTGACCTCCAGGCACTTACTATCTCCACACTAGAGGACTTCCAAAGACTGAGGAAAGGATGACAGAAAAATTTCTCTGGAGTTTCAAGGACATCTCCAAGTATACAACAGGTGTTTTCCAAAGGCTGGTAGCAGAGTAGCAGGAGAATAGACATCATCTGAAAGCAGAAAACTAGGAAGCAAATTGACTGACCAAAAAGTTGACAATCTTTAAAGCAGACAGAACCCTTCCATGGTTTGCAGAGCTAGAAGATCAGCTATATAAAGATACCCTGACTCTCACGCATACGCAGACCTCAAGCCCCGCTGCAGAGAAAAATCTATCACACTAATAAAATTATTTAGAGCAATGGTAAAATAATGCAAGTAAAGCTGCAATAAAGCCTAGACCCAAATCAACCTCAGATTGGATTTACTCAACTTTCTAAATTAACTCTCTAACAGAAGAATAGGTAAATATTTAGTGGTAAATAATATTTTCTATTCTCTCTCCTGTTCTTTCACAGACCATGTCTGTATAACCAAAAATGATAAAAAATTATAACACATGTAAAAATGCAACAAAATATGAACATTATGCAAAAGAAAAAAATGCAGACATGGCCCAGAAGTTAAATTGATCAAGTAAGGCATTTAAAATCACTATGATCAATATACTAAAGGATTTAATAAAAGAGATAGAAAATATGTTTACATAGATGAAAATTGAAACAAATATTGTAAATTTTACAATGAAAAATATGTCAGAAATTATCACCACTGTCTTTCAGCATACTGAAAGGAAAAAAAAAAACCCTGTTAACTTGAAGGAGGATGAATAGAAATTAACCAAATCCCAATATTAATAGATAAAACCAAGTAGCTGAGATATGTGGAACAATATTTAATAGACTAACAAGTGGGCAATGAGGGCTCCAGAGAAAGAGAGAGGGAACTTGGGCAAAATAATTATTTGAAAAGAAAACAATCAAAATTTCAATGAACAGGCTGAGCACAGTGGCTCATGCCTATAATCTCAAACACTTTGGGAGGCCAAGGCAGGCAGATCACTTGAGGTCAGGAGTTCAAGACCAGTCTGGGAAACACAGCGAGACCCGGCATCTAATAAAAATACAACAAATCAGGCAGGTATGGTGGCATATGCCTGCAATCCCAGATACTAGGGAGGCTAAGGCATGAGAATCACTTGACCCAGGAGACAGAGGTTGCAGTGAGCCGAGATCATGCTACTGCACTCCAGCCTAGGTGACAGAGCAAGACTCTGTCTCAAAAAAAAAAAAAATTTCAACAAATGGCATAGGAGATAAATAGCAAGAAAACAAACCACACCTAGCAACATCATGATAAACTGGCTAAATAGAAAAAAAAAAGAGAAAAAAGTTTAACAGCAGCTACAGCACAGACACATTAAGTACAATAGGAATTAAAGCTGGGTTTTAGTCAGAAAAGTGGGGTACAGGAGAAAATGAAATGGCATGTTTAAAGTGCTCAAAGAAAAGAAGTCAGTCTAAAATTTTGTACATATTGAACATATGATTTAAAAACAAATGTTAAATAAAGACATTTGCAAAAAGACAAAGCTGAAAAAGTTAGAATCTAGCAGCCCTGCAATGCAAGAAATGCTGCAAATGGAGTTTTGGATCTGTATGAATGATCAAATTTTATATATATATATGTATAGAATAATATATGATATATAATATATAATATGGATCTGTATGAATGATAAAATTATATACAAAGGTAAACTTATATACATATAATTTAACATGATTATATAATATATATTAAATATATATGCAGTTTTACCATTCACACATATATATGTATGTGTATGTGTGTATACACATAAACATATATATTTAACTTAAAAATATTAAATATTAATTTTAGACCATATAACTTTAATAGAAGAAAAACACACAATCACAAGAGCACAAAAGTAGAAGGGGGAAGAAAGCTAGAATGATTATTTTATAATTATCATTATAAAATGATTAAGTACTCTGATAAGTACTTATTATTTTAATAAGCACATAATATAGTATGTACTTATACAGTAAGTTCTCACTTAATGTCATCAATAGATCTTTGGAAACTGACTTTGAGTGAAATGACATACAGCAAATGCCAGAATAACATAATTTCCTTTAACACCATTTTGTTATAGTGCTGAGGAAAAAAATGATATTGTTATACATTATTTCACCTAAAGTTATTGTTTCCAAGGACCTATTGAGGATATAAGTGAGAACTTACTGTATTGACTATGATAACTTAAAAAAAGTAATGTAACCTCTAAAGTAACAACTACAATAATTGCCACAAGAGGAGTAGATTAAAAGTAAAGAGATAAAGATGGAATACTAAACGCTAAAATATGTGCAATTTACTCAAAAGAATGCAAACAAGGAAAAAAATCAAGGGACCATAGAACACATTTAAAAATAAAAATACATAGCAATATGATAGATTTAATCACAAACATATTAATAACTATATAGTTATAAATGAACCAAAACTCCAATTAAAAGGCAGAGATTGATAGAATGGATAAATATACAAGACCTAACTAAATGTTGACTGCAAGAAACACATTTGAACTATAGAAAGGTATTCAAGTTGAAAGCATAAAAGTTTAAAATATTGCAAGCAAACAGTAAGTGTAATAAGTTTTATGTGACTACTAATAGCAGACAAAATCAACTTAAAGATAAAAAATGTTACTACAGATAAAGAGAGGTATTCCATAGTATTAATAGGGCAAACTCATAAAAAAAATAGAGCAATCATAAACAAATATATACTTAGGAATACAGTTTCAAAATACTTGAAGAAAAAATTCACACAAGTAAAAGCATAGTAGACAAATGCACAATCACACTTAAAGACCTTAATATTCTAGTGCAATATTTGATAAAAAATAAATAATCCATAAAAATATAGGAGATTTTGATAATATTAAGCAAATTGGCCTAATTAATATTTTATATACCGTGCAATTGGAGAATACATATTCTTTTCATATACAGATAATTCATTCACCAAGACAGATGATAGGGTGGGCCATAATTTGGTTGTTCAAATTTCAAATACAAATTACCCTTACAGTTACAATATTGTCCATAAAAATCTTTAACAACCATTACAGGAAAAATAGTTCCAGTGTCATAATTGTCAAATCAATATATCTGACTTAAATATAAAGACAGTCTTGCAATTACACTGCCAAGAGGGAAAAAAATTTCCAACATGCTGACCAGACTGCATTTATGAACAATTTAATTTTTATTATTTTCTAAGAGGTTACTTTTTTATTCTTTGAAAATATTTTATAAATAATTTTCTTCAGCTAAAATGGATCAATAATAATAAGGGAAAATTAAAATGAGAACTATGAAATATTTTGCTCTTAAATGAATGACTATGGAAGGCACCTACCGTATTCTAGGTAGAGATTATGAGACTCTACTTTTTTTTTAATTTTATTATTATTATACTTTAAGTTTTAGGGTACATGTGCACAATGTGCAGGTTAGTTACATATGTATACATGTGACATGCTGGTGTGCTGCACCCATTAACTCGTCATTTAGCATTAGGTGTATCTCCTAAAGCTATGCCTCCCTGCTCCCCCCACCCCACAACAGTCCCCAGAGTGTGATGTTCCCCTTCCTGTGTCCATGTGTTCTCATTGTTCAATTCCCACCTATGAGTGAGAATATGCGGTGTTTGGTTTTTTGTTCTTGCGATAGTTTACTGAGAATGATGATTTCCAATTTCATCCATGTCCCTACAAAGGACATGAACTCATCATTTTTTATGGCTGCATAGTATTCCATGGTGTATATGTCCCACATTTTCTTAATCCAGTCTATCATTGTTGGACATTTGGGTTGGTTCCAAGTCTTTGCTATTGTGAATAGTGCCACAATAAACATACGTGTGCATGTGTCTTTATAGCAGCATGATTTATAGTCCTTTGGGTATATACCCAGTAATGGGATGGCTGGGTCAAATGATATTTCTAGTTCTAGATCCTTGAGGAATCACCACACTGACCTCCACAAGGGTTGAACTAGTTTACAGTCCCACCAACAGTGTAAAAGTGTTCCTATTTCTCCACATCCTCTCCAGCACCTGTTGTTTCCTGACTTTTTAATGATCACCATTCTAACTGGTGTGAGATGGTATCTCATTGTGGTTTTGATTTGCATTTCTCTGATGGCCAGTGACGGTGAACATTTTTTCATGTGTTTTTTGGCTGCATAAATGTCTTCTTCTGAGAAGTGTCTGTTCATGTCCTTTGCCTACTTTTTGATGGGGTTGTTTGTTTTTTTCTTGTAAATTTGTTTGAGTTCATTGTAGATTCTGTATATTAGCCCTTTGTCAGATGAGTAGGTTGCGAAAATTTTCTCCCATTTTGTGGGTTGCCTATTCATTCTGATGGTAGTTTCTTTTGCTGTGCAGAAGCTCTTTAGTTTAATTAGATCCCATTTGTCAATTTTGGTTTTTGATGCCATTGCTTTTGGTGTTTTAGACATGAAGTCCTTGCCCATGCCTATGTCCTGAATGGTAATGCCTAGGTTTTCTTCTAGGGTTTTTATGGTTTTAGGTCTAACATGTAAGTCTTTAATCCATCTTGAATTTAATTTTTGTATAAAGTGTAAGGAAGGGATCCAGTTTCAGCTTTCTACATATGGCTAGCCAGTTTTCCCAGCACCATTTATTAAATAGGGAATCCTTTCCCCATTGCTTCTTTTTCTCAGGTTTGTCAAAGATCAGATAGTTGTAGATATGTGGCATTATTTCTGAGGGCTCTGTTCTGTTCCATTGATCTATATCTCTGTTTTGGTACCAGTACCATGCTGTTTTGGTTACTGTAGCCTTGTAGTACAGTTTGAAGTCAGGTAGTGCGATGCCTCCAGCTTTGTTCTTTTGGCTTAGGATTGACTTGGTGATGCGGGCTCTTTTTTGGTTCCATATGAACTTTAAAGTAGTTTTTTCCAATTCTGTGAAGAAAGTCATTGGCAGCTTGATGGGGATGGCATTGAATCTATAAATTACCTTGGGCAGTATGGCCATTTTCATGATATTGATTCTTCCTACCCATGAGCATGGAATGTTCTTCCATTTGTTTGTATCCTCCTTTATTTCCTTGAGCAGTGGTTTGTAGTTCTCCTTGAAGAGGTCCTTCACGTGCCTTGTAAGTTGGATTCCTAGGAATTTTATTCTCTTTGAAGCAATTGTGAATGGGAGTTCACTCATGATTTGGCTCTTTGTCTGTTATTGGTGTATAAGAATGCTTGTGATTTTTGTACATTGATTTTGTATCCTGAGACTTTGCTGAAGTTGCTTATTAGCTTAAGGAGATTTTGGGCTGAGACGATGGGGTTTTCTAGATATACAATCATGTCATCTGCAAACAGGGACAATTTGACTTCCTCTTTTCCTAATTGAATACCCTTTATTTCCTTCTCCTGCCTAATTGCCCTGGCCAGAACTTCCAACACTATGTTGAACAGGAGTGGTGAGAGAGGGCATCCCTGTCTTGTGCCAGTTTTCAAAGGGAATGCTTCCAGTTTTTGCCCATTCAGTATGATATTGGCTGTGGGTTTGTCATAGATAGCTGTTATTATTTTGAGATACGTCCCATCAACACCTAATTTATTGAGAGTTTTTAGCATGAAGGGTTGTTGAATTTTGTCAAAGGCCTTTTCTGCATCTATTGAGATAATCATGTGGTTTTTGTCTTTGGTGCTGTTTATATGCTGGATTACATTTATTGAGACTCTACTTTCTAATCCCTGAAATCCTCTGAATTGAATGTTATATTTAAATCTGCAAACTCTCCTTCAGCATGTAAGATAAGGAAATTTGAAAAATTAACTTGGAGGTAGAGTTTTAGGACACACACACACATACACACACACACACACACACACTTGTGTGTTCTTATGTGATAAACAAAAATAAACACTCTTACAACCTCTAATGGGAATAATCTAATTATATAAAGGGGTGCTGCATTAGGGGGAATTGGTATTTATTGAATACCTTCTATATGTCAGACAGTATCTTAGGTTTTTCCACATATTTTCTCACCAAGCCTTGTGGAAGTCAGAATTTTGACTCCCATGATTTTTACCCAATGGTATCAGATACATGAATATGCTATATTACATGTCAAAGGGAATTTGCAGATATAGCTAAGGTCACAGATATAACTAATCATTGCCCTTAAATAAGGATATATTCTTTGATTATCTGGTTGTACACAAGGTAATTACATAAGCCCTTAACACAGAGCTTTCTCATGGCTAAAAGCAGAACTGAAAATCAGAGAGATATGTCAAAAGGAAAGGTCAGCCCCAGACTGAGAGAGAATATTTGCAAAACACATAACTGACAAAGGGCTTACATCTAAAATAGAAAAAGAACTATTAAAATATATTAGTAATAAAACCAACAACCCAATGTAAAAATTGGCAAAATATCTTTTTTTTTTTTTTTTTTTTTTAAGACAGAGTCTCGCTCCGTCGCCAGGCTGGAGTGCAGTGGCACGATCTCGGCTCCCTGCAACCTCCACCTCCCAGGTTCAAGCGATTTTCCTGCCTTAGCCTCCTGAGTAGCTGGGACTACAAGGCGTGCCACCACACCTGGCTAATTTTTTGTATTTTTAGTAGAGACGGGGTTTCACCATGTTAGCCAGGATGGTCTCAATCTGGCCTCATGATCCGCCCGCCTTGTCCTCCCAAAGTGCTGGGATTACAGGCATGAGCCCCCGCTCCTGGCCCAAAGTATCTTAATAAATGTATCACCAAATAAGATATACAGATGGCAAAGAGCATATGAAAAAAAAAAAGCTCAACATCATATAACACTAGATAATTGCAAATTAAAACAATGAGATAGTAGTATACATCTATTAGAATGGCTAAAACAAAACAAGGCAATATTGACAATATCAAATGCTGGTGAGAATATGGAGCCAAGAAGACTCTCGTTACTTTGGGGGGAATATGAAATGGTACAACGTCTTTGGAAAACAGTTTGGCAGTGTCTTACAAAGCTGACCAGAGTCTTACCACATGGTCCAGAAATCTCCTTCGTATTTAGCCAACTGAGTTGGAAACACGTCCACCCAAAAGCCTGCACATCATTATCTATAGCTTCATCCCACAAATTTTTATATGTTTTATATTTTCCTTTAAAGCATTTTCTATTTTTTCAATTTACTTTATTGTTTGACGTATGAGTTATTTAAAATTGTGCATTTTTAGTTTCCAGATAGTGGAGATTTTAGGTTAACCTTCTGTTATTAGTCAGTAGCATAGTGTTACGATCCCAACTCTGAAAACTTTTAGACTTGCTCTACTTTGTGATATGTGTACCTTTTTATAGATGTTCACTGTATTTATGAATAATTTTCCATGATCCAGTTGTTGGGTACTTCAGTATATGTCCCTTCATTCAAGTGCATTAATTTTGTTTTTTTTTAAGTCTCATAAATACTTACATCATTATTATTTTGCTGATTCATGCTACCATATAGCTTAGGTGAGTTTGTTAAATTTATTACCAGGATGATGGATTTGTCAATTTCTCCTGATTTTAAAACCCTTGCTCCATGTATTTTTACTGTATATAATTCTATGCTTACAGATTCATATTATTATATTTTCTTGGTCAATTTAATCTTTTATAAATATGCAGTGGTCCACTTACTGCTACTAATGGTTTTTGTCTTCAAGTCTATCATGTCTCATACTAATTTTAGTACACCAATGCATTTTGTGCTTTCATTTGTTTTAGATACGCTTCTTCTAAGTATCACATAATGGATACTTTAGAAATTCAAAATGATAATCTCTGTTTTCCTCTGAGTATTTATTTCATTTATGTTGATTGTGATTAACTAATATATTTAGTTTTCCTTTAATAATTTTGTTTTATGTTTTATGTATCCTGCTTTTTCTGGTTTTCTTTTTGCCTTTTTTAATTTCTTTTTTATACTAGGTGAAATTTCTTTAATCATCTCACTCAATTTCCCTTCTAACTTAGAAGTATACACTCATGCTTCTTTAGTGTTTTCCCAGAAATTTTCAAATGAGTATTTAATGTATTTACATTTAATTAATATATTTGTCCGTATCCTAAAATAATGGCAGGATGTCAGAAAACATTAATTCAGTCTTCCCCCAAAATAATATATTTATTCATTTGGCCAGTATTTTATGACTATATTGATTTTTAAATTTCCTCAGACATTACTTTTTTGTATTATGAAGTGTCGATTTAGATTTTCCAATATGTCTACCACATTTTCCTTGTTCATAATTCCTTTATCTCAGACATCCTCCTAATATTATTTTTTCTTTTTGCATTAATACATTTTTACATTTTTTAATGAAGTTATGCTGATAATAAACGTTTGCAATTTTGTTAATTTCCTAATAATGTATATGTTTTGCTCTTATTCTTCAGAGACGGAATTGTTTTACTCAGATGATCTTATCTTGTGACAGTTACCCTTTCTTAAAACTTCAAGAATAAATATCTTTTCATTGTCTCTGCCTTCCACCACTGTGGAGAAGTCAAAATCATCTATCTTATCTTATCCGTAATCTATTTTCTTTCTGGCTACTGATAAAAATGAAATCTTCATCATTGGTAATTTTTATCTCATTATGAAGTATGGAGTATGGCTTCATTTTTCCAACTTGTGATTTGTTGAGCTTCTTAAGTCTGAACATTGGTATCTTTTTAGAAATTCTGGAAAACGTTTGGTCATTTTCTTTTCTAATGTTGCCTTGCTCTGTTTTTTATACTTTCTTCCTAGAACGCTGAATAGACTCTTATAAGATATCATTATGGTATTTGGGGGATCTTTTAATCTATTTCTCCTAACATATATCTTAGTCACTCTATTTTTGATAATTATTTTGTAAGTAGACATATTAAAATTCAATAATTATCTTTTTGTCCATGTCTCATCACTGTTTAATCTACCTGTTGAATTTAAATTTAATTATTGCATTTTTAATTACCAGAAGTACTGTTTAATTTCTGTTCTAATCTATTTGGACCCATTGGTATTCTCTGCCTCTTATATTTATATTATTTAAATGATAAATATATTTATTTCTTATTTGGTATCTGATTTGTCTTCCATCTATAATTTTTGTGAAATTGATTCTCAAGCTATTATTAGTCTTAGTCTTAATCATTATGGCTTATTCCCTCATGTATTTAGTGAATTTGATAGTTTGAGTTTCCTTGAGTTTTATTTGTGGGATAATCTTTTTCTTTTAGGATTAGGTTTAAAATGTTAATTTTTCCTTTATCTCATTCCTAGAAAATGTACGGATATGTGAACCCTTTCCAGTCTTCTCTTACGGTTTTAGACAACACAGTTCATCCGAGTCTTTCCCCAAAGGAATGTAAGTGTGGGCTAGCAGTGAATATGTAACTTTAAGAATCTCAGGACATGTATTGGGAAGCAGTTTTTTTAAAAAAGCGTAACACAGTTTCAAAATAACAAAGAACCGAGATTTGGGTGCAATTCTTTTCAGCCATGACTCTGAAATTGAAATGTGCACTACTTTGAAAGTAGGAAAATTGCATTTTAGTAATAGATTAGAAATACATATATTTTAATGGATCCAATAAAATTACACTAGAGATATTAACATACAGAAGTAAAAACAAATAAATTACCTATCAAAAGGAAGCAAGACAAACAGAGCCCTTTCACAGATGTGTATTTGGAAAATAATAACTCATGCATCATACAAGTAAACACCTAAAGGAGAAATATAAACTGGTGGCAATTTAATTAACTACACTGATCTCATTGTGACAAACATAGCAATGGCATTTCATTAAAATTTATAAAAGAACTACAGAGGTTACAAACAGTTTATGGCTGTAATGTTCCTTCAGTGCACAATTTCTTCCCCTTCTTCTTCTACTTCTTTTATGCTTTAAACAATATTCGGTTAGCATTCAGCCAAAAGAAACAGCAGGGCGCTCTTGAACCTGCCACCAATGATTTATTATGCTCATTTTCTATTCATTTGTTTATAGATCAAACACAGAAAGAAAGGCACAACGATATTGAACATATTTAATAAAAAGCACACACTGAGTATTTAAACTTCACATTGTGCTAGGTTAGACATTTTGGAAGAAAGACAATAATTACACACAGGCAATTGCTTTGATGCAGCCTCTCAAATCAATACAGCTACTTAGTACAAGGTAGGCATTTATGTATGTTTAACATTGGCACTCTTTCCAGAGTATGACATTTCAGGTAAATGTGTTTTATAGCAGACATGGGAAAACAAATATATGAACTTCTTATTGACAGCCTCTTTCTCAGTTGCTAGCTTTTATAAATGGGATGTCATTAATCTCTCATTCACTACAACAGCAGTCTCCAAATTGGTTGATTGTGCACTCCATTAGTAAAATTTTCGTTTTGGCTACTCTACTTTATTTGTAAATAATAGAATGTGTTTCTCTCATGTACATTATACACAAACATTTCTGAAAGTAGAAATGTTAAAAAATGTGACTAATACTTGCAAAAAGTTTTATTATTTTGTTCCTGGGTTCTATGGATCATCTTGCTTACTCCCTGCTTGCATCACTGTGAAGACCATCATTCTAGAAGACCTGTTTCCTTGTGATATTCAGCAAACAATGAAATAGAATAAGTACCTACAGAATGTAGCAAATTATATTAAGTGCTTTTCTGATAGTTTCTCATAGACTCAGAAGATTTCATTAAGTAATCTTCACATGTAATGAATATTATTAATCTTTAATATCATTTCCATATATTACAAATTTTTTACCACTCGTAAAAGCAAATGTCTCACCAATAGCTAGCATTTAAGAGTTAATAGACTGATCTCAGTTCCTTATAATTATGGGATATTTTACATAGTCTAGCTTATTTTTTATTGTGCCATATTTTTTAAAATTAAATGATTGATTTATCCATTCTAAAAATGAGGACAGGATGTATTACCAAGCTGGACTCTCTGAGATTGTATATTCAACATTCTTTAGGCACAGGAAGACAAATAGGGCATGATCTCATATATCGGAACCAAAAATATTTGAACTCATAAAACAATGGTGCATTTACAAAAGAGGAATAATTTTTTGAGATCTGTTACACACTATGTTGACCACAGTTAAGAACTATTGTGTATTTCAAAATTGCTAAGTGAATTTCAAGTGTTTCACCACACACAAAAAAATGATGCATAAGTGAGATGGTGGGTACGTTAATGAGCTTTATTTAATCATTCCATATTATATATATCAAAATATTGTATTGTTTTCCAAAAATATACATAATTATAATGTATCCATTAAAATAATATTAACATTTTTAAAAAATATTCATGTATGGGAAATCAATATCTACATTTTGCCATTTAGGTAATTTTACTGCTATATTCAGTGGTCATAGTTTGCTCCTGTATGCATAAGTTTTAAATAGTGAGTGGCAGCCAGAAGTAATTTTCATTTAGAAGTCATTTTTTTAAAGAAATGTAGAGAGTTGCATTATTGCACAAGTATTCCTGGTTATAAAGAATTTATAAATCTAAGCCACCAAAATGTAAATTACTAAAATAAAAGGCTTTTGGATGTAGCTGCATTTGCACTGAAATCTCTCATAAGTGGTGGAGTGATGAGAGCGGATATCATTTAGAATATTTTCTCACATTACACCCACTGGGCTGTGTAAGTGTTTCATAATAACACTGCTGCGTTTTCATGGTATAAGTAGACCCCACTCTGTGGAGTTGATGAATCTTCTTAGAGAGGACAGGATCTGTAAGGTGAGTGTGTGACAGACTATAAGACATTCTATATGATTACTATAGACCAAGCCAAGTGAGATATTGTAGCAAAGGGAAACATTGATTTAATACTACATTTTTACACCTACAATGTGGCATTAACTAGAAAAAGAAGAGAATATCATATTTTAAGACAATGTATCACTATGTTCACACTAATTAACATAACTACTGGATGTTCCTTTTATGCTAGAAAATTTTTAGACATCCACATAAACAAATGATACATCACATTTGGTACAAACAGATGTGAGAATTAATTTTAATTATTAATCTTATTGCACTGTAAAATCATAATGTCTTTGATTTTCATATTCTGGGGACAATGTGAAAATCAAAGACATTTTATACTACAAATAAAATCTGATTATGAAATTATACAAATATTAATTTTTAAGAAATAGCTGGAATCCTAGGACCTTAGAATTTAAAAGTTAGAAAATATATTAATTTAATACAATTTTCTTTTGTTTTTATAGATCAGAAAACTGAAGAAGTGAAACGCCTTACTCAAGGTCACAAAGAGGGGTAGTGCAGAACAAAGAACAAATCTTGACGTCCTATTTCTTAGTCTAAAACAATCTTGTCATTGCCCCACCTATAGCACATTTCTTGGACTATTTAAAAGACACTATTTTATAATTTAAAAGTAAATTTTATTTCTTTAACAATGAAAAATCACTTAAAGTCCACGTTGGGAAACAAGGCTGATTTTTAGAAAAAAAAAAAACTTCTCTAGCTATAAAAATATAGGAATAACTTTTTCCTCATCTTATTTTGAAAGCAGTTCCAACATGTGTAGACCCAAGAGAAGAAAAAAAATATATACACACACACACACACACATATGTTAATATAGACACACAAATGTATACATACACATATATAAAACATTCATAAATATGACATTCACTTGGGTGACTATATTTGCATTTTAAATGTTTTTATTTATACATTTTTATTGATACATATATTAGTGGTACATATTTTGGGAGTACAGGTGATATTTTGATACTTATAGACAGTGTGAAATAATCAGACTAGGGTGGTTGGGATATCCATTGCCTCAAACATATGTCTTTTCTTTGTGTTGAAAACATTACAATTCTTATTTTCCAGTTATTTTGAGATATAAAAGCAATTATTAACTATAACTATCCCACTGTACTATCAAATACCAGAACTCATTCCTTTCATCTAACTATATTTCTGTCCCTCCTAACCAACTTCTCTTTATCCCCTCTCCACTCTTCCCTTCTCAGACTCTGATAACCACCATTCCACTCTCTATCTTCCTAAGATCCACTTTTTTAGCTCCTACATGTGAGTGAGAACATGTGACATTTGTCTGTCTGTTCCTGGTTTATTTCACTTAGTGACCTCCAGTTTCATCCACGTTGCTGCAAAGACAATATTTCATCCCTTTTTATGGGTGAATAATATTCCACTGTGTATATATACCACATTTTCTTTATTCATTCATTCATTGGTGAACAATTAGGTTGATTCCATATCTTTGCTACTGTGAATAGTACTACAATAAACATGACAGTGCAGATATCACTTTGATATACTGATTTCCTTTTTGCGGGGGATATGTGTGACATTTCTGGATTATGTGGTAGTTCTGGTTTTTAGTTTTGTAAGGAACCTCCACACTGTTTTCCATAATGGCTGCACTACTTTACCACCAACGGTGTCCACTCATTCCCCTTTCTTCATATCCTTACAAGCACTTGTTATTTTTTGTCTTTTCAATAACAGTCATTCTAACTGGGGTGCGATGATACTTCATGGTGATTTTGATTTGCATTTTCCTGATGATTAGTGATATTCAGCTTTTTTATTATTTATTTATTTATTTATTACAAAACGCTAGCAAAAGGTCTTCCTTTTATGATATATATGTGTGTGTGCATATGCACAACATGCACACACACACATACACACCACTTATACATGCCACAGGCTAATATCCTGTTGGCCATTTGGATATCATTTTTGAGAAATGTCTATTCAAGTCTTTTGCCCATTTTTAAATTAGATTATTTGTTTTTGGCTAATCAGTTTGAGTTTTTATGTATTCTTGTTATTAATCCCTTGTTGGATGGATAGTTTGCAAATATTTTCTCCCATTCTCTGAGTTGTCTCTTCACTTTGTTGACTGTTTCCTTTATTGTGAAGAAGCTTTTTAGCTTGATGCAATCCCATTTCTCTAATTTTGTTTTGTTGCCTCTGCTTTTGAGGTCTTACTCCCAAAAATCTTTGCCCAGACTATTGCCCTGGAGCATTTCCCCAATGTTTTCTTTACATTTAAGTCTCATCCATTTTGAGTTGATTTTTATATATAGTGAAAAATGAGAATCTAGTTTCATTCTTCTGCATATGGATATCCAGTTTTCCCAGAATCATTTATTAAGAGTTTGCTCTTTTTCTCTAATGTATTTTCTTGGTGCCTTTGCCAAAAATGAGTTGAATGTAAGTGCATAGATTTCTTCCTAGGTTTTACATTCTGTTTCATTGGTCTATTTGTCTATTTATACGCCAGTGTCATGCTGCTTTGGTTGCTACAGCTTTGTAGTATAATTTGAAATAAGTTAGTGTGATGCCTCCAGCTTTGTTCTTTTTGCTTTATCTATTTTGGGTCTTTTGTGGTTCCATGTGAATTTTAGGATTGTTTTTATTATTTCTATGAAGAATATCATCTGTATTTTGGTAGTGATTGCATTGAATCTGTAGATTGCTTTGGGTATTACAGATATTTTAACAATATTAATTTTTTCCGTCTATGATCATTGGTTATATTTCCACTTTTTTGTGTCCTCTTCAATTTATTTCATTGGTGTTTTATATTTTTCTTTGTAGAAATCTTACACTTTTTTCGTTAAATTGACTAAGTATTTTTTGTAGCTATAGTAAGTGGGACAGCTTTCTTGAATTTTTTCAGATTGATAACTGCTAGCATATAGAAACACTACTAATTTTTGTATGTTGATTTTATATCCTGCAACTTTGCTGACTTCATTTATCAATACTTTTATTTTTTGGTGCAGTCTGTTGGTTTTTCTAAATATAAGATCATGCTAGCTGCAGATAAGGATAATTTAAAATCTTCCTAATTTGTATTCCTTTTAATTCTTTCTCTTGCCTAATTACTCTGACTAGGACTTCCAGTACAAGGTTGAATAGAAATGGTAAAAGTGGGCATCTTTCTCTTTTTTCAGATCTTAGTAAAAAGAATTTCAATTTTTCCCCATCCAGTATGATATTAGCTGTGTGTGTGTCATATGTGGCCTTTATTATGTTAAGTTACATTCATTCTATAATCAATTTACTGGTAGTTTTTTTAAGAATATGGTTTTATTGTTTTATAAACACTACATATGAAATAAAAATGATGAGTCTGTAACATATTGAAATGGAGGAAATTAAATGGCAAGGCATATAATTTAACTATTCTCAAAGTAGATTTTAATAGAGAGGAAAGGAGGAAAACTGATAAAATAGTATGTACTTCTCTTAATCAGCAGTATAAGAATCTCAAAACTATTCAAACAAATTCAGGGAGGTCTTCACTGTACTACAAACTAATTTTTTTTTATAACTATGATTGATGGGAGCCTTCATGCCAAAAATGAAGCAAAACGAGGCATCTTTAGCAGATTGTTTTATGCAAAGCAATTTGAAGAAACATGAATATTACAATTCTGCATAGTTTATTTCACTATGAGGTTTAGTTTGATATAATTTTTTTAATGTTTGCTTTTATTCCTTTTTTATATTCCAGTGAGCTTCATGGCTTCCTTGTAAGATCATATATTTTATTGTTGTCTTGCCTTTGAAAATTAAAAAAAAATTCAACTGGAAATTATCAACAGAAAAGGATATAAAAATAATATGCATACATATATTATGTATCATAGGGACTGTATCAGGAAAAAAAAATTCTTTAAAAAACCTGGGTTGTCAGGCAGAAATCACCACTCAACCTTAAGACACGATTCCGGCAAGTGACTAAAGAACAGAAATTAACCCTTTACAGTTTTTGCACTCTAAAATTACACACAGATTACAAAACAATATTTACATTGCATTTTCACAGATTTATATCCCTCCATGAAAAATGAACATAAAAGGGAAGTGATATAAGGAAAGCTAGAAACTGCCAAATTCCCTCCAGTGACACTGCTTGTTGACATTCTCCTCAATTCATTCTGCATGGTCTCTCAACATTTAATGTGCAGAACATTCACATTTGCTGGCCCGTTGCTTTTCAATTACATCCCTTTGCTTGGCCTGATACTTAACGTGCCACAGGGTGACAGGCAAAGCGAGATGAAAAGACTCATGTTCCTTCCCTGCTTCATGCTCGTCTCCCTTTCTGACACTATTTTTACTAGGAAGATCACAATCTTTGTGGTGTATTGCTCTGGAGTTTCTTCAAAAATTTCTCAGTACCTAGACTGTTCTCCATCCAAGAAAGATACATATCTCTTTCCCCTAAGTAACGAACAGATCTTTAGTCATTTTATTTAAAATTTCCACGGAATGTGATCAGTACCAAGAAAATGGTATATTGCTACATGATTTGAGTACTGCATATAGCAGCCCCATCAAAAGCAGCACCATTCATTCAGAAAGACCATATTTTCAAGAAGAGATTAAATGAGTTATATATGCCAATTAGTCACACTGTTGATTGATTTTTATTTGTAATAATAGGTACTCTAACATTTGCTCATTTAATCAAAGGATGAATAACTTTTGATCCTGGATTCTTTTTTCCTAGCTAAAGAAAAAATTTAGTATATGAAAATTATTATCAAGAATATTATAAGACATATCACCGCATTACCAATCTAATCATTTTTCTATTTATTTTTATGTGAGAAATTAAAATGTTGCCATTACCTAGCCCCAGAATTGCTAGAAAATCAGGATACTAAACTGAGATTTATTCTACTTTCAATAATGGCCTTGATACCAACACATGGAAGAATTTAAATCTTATCTTTTTCAAAGCTGTTGATCTTTTACTTGACATAACAATACAAGCTTAGTTCTCTAAGTAGGACTCCACAGTTACTCTCTTCCTTAGAAACTACTCAGAGTTCAATCTTAAGGCATTATATTTTGTTCTTATTTCTCTAGATGTCTGTATAAATCCCATCTAAAATCTATCTGAAAATTAGGGGATCGTGTTTCCTTCATAAACAAGTTCATAGGAATCCCATAGTTCTTTTATCTGTAGTGAAAATACTCAGAGAAACTATATAGCAAACTATGACTAGGATGTTTAGGTTATAAGACTTCATTTATTTATACTCACCTTTATGTCCTATAAGGACTCTTGAATTTTTTTTTAATCAAAAGGTGATTTCAGCCTCAATGGTAATTGGGAGTCCCTATAACCAACAAATACTTTGGAAGAGTGGGAAAATGTGGAAAATAAAATATTCCAGGCCTTTTTAAAATACATTGCTTTCCTTAGGAAAACATATACTTATTCTGTGAGTTTTTTTATTTATTTTGCTGTGCAGGCAAAATAATAAGTATTTCTTAGGATCTACTTCTAGTGTTTGTGAAGTTCCATTTTAGATTAATATCTAGCATATAAGCAATATTTTTTCTTTTGTATAACAGCCTAATTTAAGATGGTTTCATATTAAAACTTTTTACCAGAACATTTTGTAGCAATTTATTCACAGTTTCCAAAAAAAGCCAAGATAATTTGAAACAAGGGATGTGGAATAATCTAATTAAAAGGAAAACATATATTGGAAATTCAAATTCTATAATAAACCATTAAAATAGCTTTGCAATATCACTTTGCTTAGCAGATTGACAAAATTAAGTAAAACATTATTAAATCAATGAGCATTCTTATAAATTGAATATAAACTGCAAAATTTTATAGGTAAAAAAAACAAAACAGAATGACACCATGGTGAATGTCTGAAGGTGGAATTATGGCACTTATTATTTTAATGTTTCTGCTTTTCTGTGCTTCACAAACTTCCAAAAACTTCCATAAGTTACTAAGTTTAAAATTTTTATTTTAAATATACTACAACTGTAACGTAGGGTAATTCCTTGATTATAGAATCTTCTAGAAAGGATTGTCTTGGCAGAAATAACCACATTCCTGAAAATTATCCTAGATGTGTAGCTATGATTTGGGCTTCTGTGCCTGTTCTTCAGGTTTTTTTGTTCCTTGATACCCTCCTGCTCCTAGAAGACTTATGCTCTTATTAAAAAGGCTAAATTGGGCATGTTGATAACTGAGTGAGCAATTTTCACTATTCATTAGTTCAAATCCAGGTTCTATCTTAAACAGGTATAGAACTGTAGTTGATAAAGATCTTTACATTTAATTCTTTAGTTTGTTATTGTTAAATGAAAAAAAAACGAAAAAGCTTTGTCTTTGAAAGAATTTGATAATCAGCTCTGCTACAAAAAATACATAAGTTTCTGGTTTTACCTCAAGGAGTTCATGTTGTCATCAGAAAATTAGATACAGTAATCAAATAATTGCAAAATGGTGTGAAAAATACAAAAACAGATGTCTATTTAGAAGTACTAAGTGAGCACAATGAAGCCAACCATTTTACTTGGGGATTCTAAATAAGAAGATGGCATTTGGGAAAGAGTAAATGTGACATGGAATAAATAAAGGGAATCTGAGGCAGAGAAAACAATTCAGGCAAAGGCATGGAGGCTCTTAAGCTTGCATTGTTTCCTAGGGAACAGCAAGAGTTACAGCGACTAGATTGAAGGGAGAAGCCGAAATCCATTTTGGGGTCAGCTTCAGCTGAACTAGTAGGGCATGCTAAAGGATTGGGTTATATGCTACGCATAACAGAACAAAGGACATTGTAGAAATGAGTGTGGCATAAGTACTCTTGAAATCTCACTCAGTACTAATGAGGTTTACATATTAAATAGAAGTCTTTTAGGGTATCTAAGCACAAGTCATCTATCAAAAGTTGTAGGGCTGTTGTGGAGAGTACCCACAGTTCCCCCATGTCTATTATTCCCTTCTTCCTGTAGCAGTAGATTCATTTATTCATAGAATCCCTGCCTTCCTAGAACAAATAAACTGAAATTAGAGAGATGATGGTAGCTGAGACAGAACCCAAAACCTTCTCAGTCCTAAAGCACAAATGGTTTGCCAGTTCATTGTTTTTTGACTTTTACCTCCTAAGAGTTGCCCTCCATATGGTACCTCATAGTAACAATATGATTCATCTTTTAATTATTTGATTCTTTATTTTGGTTAGTCATTTTGGTTTAAATGTCATTTTGGTTAAAGATTTCCAGTCAAAAAATATTTCTATTTATGTGAAAATATTAAAATAGAAAATTTATATTAATACTTATATAGAGATATTATCTCTATACAATATCTATTATTTCCATTACAAGGGGAAACATAGTCTAAAGATAGTTTATCTTTCATTAAGAGTTGAAGTATTAATTTAAAGATATCATAGAGAAACTTCTGCAATTTTGTTTCTTTTATAACATTGGTAGTTAAAATAATTTTTAAGTTTCTATTTAGTTCTATTATTCTTTGAGGTTATTAATGACCTATATATTTATATTTGTAAATATGTGTATACATTATATGTCAACATAAAATTGAATTGACTGAATACCATCACCTACTTTATTTCCTTCCCATTGTTATTAATTCATCCATTCATTTAAACATATTTACTTAGCATTATTCTATACTAGGTACCTTTTCATATATTGAAGAAGGAGCAGTGAACAGAATAAAATATTTGCCCATATGCAGTTCTAATAGAAGAAACAGACAAAAAAGTAAATACACAAATATATTATATAACACAATTTATAGTAGTGGTAAGTATTGTGAAAACAATTAAAATTGGAATTAGAGAATCAACCTTGCATGGGAGGGAGGGCTATTTCAAATTGGGTGGTCAAGTAAGAGTTCTCTGTTATGCTAACATTTTTACGGTACTCTAAGTAGACTGGTTTCGATGTTTTTAAGATACCTATGACAGCAAGAGAGAAGAAAGGGACACTAACAGCATTCTGAAAGTGATTATAATGCCAAACTATGGAAAAAAGAAGGCAAAGAAGAAAATTTAGAAGCTCCTGGGGAGGCGAGGAGATTGATAATGAAAAAGTGGATGGGGCAATAGATGTGAGATCTGAGAATTATTAGAGCATTGATAGGGAGGTGCTGGACAGTGTAGACTAGTTGAACTCAAGATTTCAGAGGTATTGCTATTGTTATTAACGTAAGAAGTGATAGAGACTACTCACATTTCCCCAAAGTCCATTATCTCTTTTTTGCAGCACAGACTCACTCAAATTTCATCTAGGTATATGAATGCCAAGCTACAAACTATATTTTTCAGCCGTCCCTGAAGCTATATGTGGCTATAGAAGTGATGGTTGCTGCATTTAGATCATCTCTATAAGGGAAAGCTATTTTCCCTGGACTCCCTACACTGTCCCTCTCAAACAATAAATTCCCATAGTCTATACAAGCATAAGTCAGAGGTATTACAGGCTTGACCACAGACCACTGCAATAAAGCAAATATTACAATAAAGCAAGACAAACAAATTTTTGGTTTTCTAGTACATATAAAAATTATGTTTACACTATGGTATAATCTATTAAGCATGCAATAGTATTATGTCTAAAAAATATACATACTTTAAAATCCCTTTTTGCTAAAAAAAAAAAAAGTTAATGATCATCTGAGCCTTCAGCAAATCTTAATCTTTTTGCTGGTATAGGGTCTTGCCTTGATGTGGATGGCTGTTGATTGATCAGGGTGGTGGTTGCTGGAAACTGTAGTGGCTGCACCAATTTTTACAAACAGGACAGCAATAAAGTTTACCATATTGATTGACTCTTCCTTTCGTGAAAGAGTTCTCTGTAGCATGCCATGCTGTTGGATGGCATCTCACTCACAGTGCAACTTCTTTCAAAATTATTCAGTCCTCTCAAACACTGCCACAGTGTTATCAACTAAGTTTATGTAATATTCTAAATTCTTTGTTGTCATTTCAACAGTATTCACAGCATCTTCACCAGAAGCAGATGCCATCCAAAGAAACAATTTTTTTTGTTCTTTCCTAAGAGGGAACTCATCATCCATTCCATTTTTATCATGAGATTACAGAAATTCAAGTCCCATCTTCAGGCTCTACTTCTAATTATCTTGCCATATCCACTACATAATGTAGTTACTTCCTCCACCGAAGTCTTGAATCCCATCACGTGATCCATGAGGTTTGGAATTAACTTTTTCCAAATTCTTGCCAATATTGTTATTTTTACCTTCCCCACTGAATTACAAATGTTCTTAATGTCATCTAGAATGGTGAATGCTTTCCATGAGGTTTGCAGTTTACTTTCTCCAGATCCATCAGAGGAATTACTACCTACGGCAAGTATGACCTTATAAAATGTGTTTCTCAAATAAGACAACTCAAAAGTAGAAATTATTCCTTGATCCATGGGTTGCGAAATGGATGTTGTGTTAGTAGGCATAAAATAACATTGATCTTCTTGTACATCTCCATCAGAGCTCTTGGGTGATGAGGTCACTGTCAGTGAGCTGTATATTTAGAAAAGAATGTTGGTTGGTTTGTTTGTTTGTTTCTGAGCAATAGAGCTCAACAGTGGGCTTAAAATAATGATTAAACCATACTAGAAACACATGTGTTGCTCTTCAAGCTTTGTTGTTCCACTTATAGAGCATAGGCCAATTTGAATTAGCATAATTTGTAAGGCTCTTAGGATTTTTGGAATGGTAAGTGAGTGCTGGTTTCAATTTAATGGCACCAGCTGCTTTATTCTCTGATAACCCTCAGCCTGTCCTTTGAAGTTTTGAAACGAGGCACTGACTTCTGCTTTCTAACTAGGAAAGTCCTAGATGGTGTCTTATTCCAGTAGAAGGCTTCTTTTGTCTACATTGAAACTCCATTGTTTAGTGTAGCCACTTTTATCAATGATCTTGGCTAGATCTTCTTGATAACTTGCAGCTTCTATACCAGCATTTGCTGCTTCATCTTGCACTTTTTAAAAAATTCTTAATTTTAATTTTTGTGGGTACTTAATAGGTATATATATATGGGGTACATGAGATATTTTGACACAGGCATTCAATGAGTAATAATCACTTCATGAAAAATGGGATATTCATCTCCTCAAGCATTTATCTTTTATGTTACAAACAATCCATTTATACTATTTTGGTATCTTAAAATGTACAATTAAATTGTTATTGACTACAGTCACCCCATTGTGCTATCAAATGCTAGGTTTTATTCATTCTTTCTATTTTTCTGTATCCATTAACCATCCCCACCTCCCCACTGTCCTTACCCTTCCCAGCCTCTGGTAACCATCGTTCTACTCTCTATCTCTATGAGTTCAATTATTTTGATTTTTAAATCCTACAAATGAGTGAGAATGTGAAGTGTGTCTTTCTGTGCCTGGCTTATTTCACTTAACATAACAATCTCCAATTTCATTCATGCTATTGCATGACAGGATCTCATTGCTTTTTATGGCTGAATAGTATTCTATTGTGTATATGTACCATATTTTTTAATTCATTCATCTGTCGATGGACACCTAGGTTGCTTCCAAATCCTAGCTATTGTGAACAGTGCTGCAAAAAACATAGGAGTGCAGGTATCTCTTTGATATACTGATTTTCTTTCTTTTGTGTATATACCCAGGAGTGGGATTGCTGGATCATATGGTAGCTCAATTTTTAGTTTTTTGAGGAACTTCCAAACTGTTCTCCATAGTGGTTGTACTAATTCATATTCCCACTAACAGTGTGTAAGAATTCCCTTTACTCTACATCGTTACCAGTATTTGTTATTGCCTGTCTTTTGGCTAAAAGCCATTTTAACTGGGGTGAGATAAGATCTTACTGCAGTTTTGATTTGCATTTTCTTGATGATTAATGATGTTGAACATCTTTTCATATACCTGCTTGCCATTTGTATGTCTTCTTTTGAAAAACCCCTATTCAAATCTTTTGCCCATTTTTTTATTTGATTACTGGATTTTTTTCCTGTAGAATTATTTGGGCTCCTCATATAGTCTAGCTATTAATCCCTTGTCAGACGGGAAGTTTGCAAATATTTTTCCCATTTTGTGGGTTGTCTCTTCACTTTGTTGATTGTTTCCTTTGCTGTGCATAAGCATTTTAACATGATGTGATCCTATTTGTCTATTTATGCTTTGATTACCTGTGCTTGTGGGGTATTACTCAAGAAATATTTGCCCTGACCAATGTCCTGGAGTTTCCCCAATGTTTTATTGTAGTAGTTTCATGGATTGAGTTCTTAGATTTAAGCCTTTAATCCACTTTGACATGATTTTTTTATATGGCAACGATAGGGGTCTAGTTCTTCTGCATATCGATATCCAGTTTTCCCAGCACCATTTATTGAACAGACTGTCTTTTTTTCAGTGTATGTTCTTAGCACCTTTGTCAAAAATGTGTTCATTGTAGGTGCACGGATTTGTTTCTGGGCTCTCTATTCTGTTCCACTGGTCTATGTGTCTGTTTTTATGTCAGTAACATGCTGTTTTGGTTACTGTAGCTCTGCAGTATAATTTGAAGTCAGGTACTGTGATTTCTCCAGTTTTCTTCTTTTGGCTAAGGATAGTTTTGGCTATTCTCGGTCTTTTGTGGTTCTATATAAGTTTTATGTTTTTTTCTATTTCTCTAAAGAATGTCATTGGTATTTTTATAGGAATTGCATTGAATCTGTAGATTGCTTTGGGTAGTATGGACATTTTAACAACATTGATTCTTCCAGTTCATACACATGGAATACTGTTCCTTTTTGTGTGTGTCCTCTTCAATTTCTTTAATCAGTGTTCTATAGGTTTTCTCGTAGAGATTTTTCACTTCTTTGGTCAAGTTAATTTCTAGATATTTAAATTTATTTGTAGCTATTGTAAGTGGGATTACTTTTTAAATTTTTTTAGATCACTGTTGGCATATAGAAATACTAGTAAATTTTGTATGTTGATTTTATATCCTACAAATGTACAGAATTTGTTTATCAGTTCTAATACTTTTTTGGTAGAGATTTTTCCAAATATAAGATCATATCATCTGCAAACAAGATTTTAATTCTTCCTTTCCAGTTTGGATGTTGTTTATTTTTTTCTCTTGTCTGATTGCTCTAGTTAAGACTTGCAGTACTATGTTAAACAACAGCAGTGAAAGTGAGAATTCTTGTCATGTTCCAAATCTCAGAGGAAGACATTCCATTTTAGCTCCATTCAGTATGATATGAGCTATGGGTCTGTCATACATAGCTTTTATTATGTTGAGGTATATTTCTTCTATACCCAGTATTTTTAGGGTTTTTATTGTGAAAGGGTGTTGAATTTTATTAAATGCTTTTTTTAGCATCATTTGAAATTATTATACAGTTTTTATCCTTCATTCTGTTAATATGATGTGTTACATTGATCAATCTGCACATGTCGAACCATCTTTGCATCCCTGGGATAAATCCCATCCTGCAGTTTTATGTTATGAAGATGGTTTCTTTCCTTAAATTTCATGAACTTCTTCTGCAGCTTCTTCACCTGTTTTAAACTTCCTAGATCTGAAGAGAATTAGGGATTTTCACTGAATTAAGCTTTGGCTTAAGGAAATGTTGTGGCTAATGTGATCTTCTATCCAGATCACCCAAACACTCTTCATATCAGCAGTAAGGCTGTTTCATGTTCGTATCATCCACGTGTTCATTGGAGTAGCACTTTTAATTTCCTTCAAGCAGTTTTCCTTTGCATTTACAACTTGGCTAACTGTTTGGCTCAGGAGGCCCAGTTTTTAGCCTTTCATGGCTTTCAACATGCCTTCCTCACTAAATTTCATCATTTGTAGCTTTTAACTGAAAGTAAGAGACTGCTACTCTTCCTTTCACTTAAACACTTAGAGGCCATTGTAGAGTTATTAACTGGCACAATTTCAATATTATTGTGCCTCAGCCAATATGTAGGCCCAAAGAGAGGAAGAAAGTACAAGGAATGGCCAGTCACTGGAGCAGTCAGAACACACAAAATATTTATCAGTTAAGTTCACTGTTTTATATGGGCACGGTTTGTGGCTCCCCAGAACAATGACAATAGTAATGCCAAAGATCACTGATCACAGATCACCATAATAGATATAATAAGAATGAAAAATTTTGACATATTTGAGAATTACCAAAATGTGACACAGAGGTGTGAAGTGAGTACGTGCTATTGTAAAAATGATGCCAAAAGACTTAACTCAATGCAGGGTTGAGATACACCTTCGATTTGTTAGAATTGCAACATCTTCAAAGCATAATAAAGTGAACCACTATAAAGGGAGGTAAGCCTATAGTACAGGCAAGTGAGATACAACTATACATCCCCCTACGGAATGGCATAATGACACCATGGAGAAACCTGGGTCTCTGAATTAATTACTGGACAGAACTATCTTTTCAAACTAGATTTTATACGTCTAAACTATTATGTGATAAAGAAAGAATAACTTCTTTTTAAACACTGAAGGTTGTGGTTGTTTTGACATGTTAGCTTCTACGAGGTATCAAAACACCTTAGTAAGCAAGCTGTGATCCAGGGAGCAGCAGCATTGGTACCACCGGTATCTTGTTAGAGATGCAGACTTTAATACTTCACTCCAAACTTTTACCAAATCAGCCTAAATTTTTAAAAAGTGTCACAGGTGACTTTTATCCACATTAAAGTTTTGGAAGTATTGCCTTAATGCACGAAGTCTGATCATAGAAATCTAATTCTCTGGGTCTAGGTACTTTCAAGGCCATAGGGGTTAAGGTTGGGTGGATGAAAAAAAATACTAAAATTAGGGGTACCAATTAAATGAGAGTCTGGGTATTACAAATATATCTATGTGGTGGTTGAAGCAAGCTAGAATGATGAGAGGAAAATACTTGGGAGAAACAGTGATCCAGAACCAAAATATTCGGTTAGGAGAGTGTGATTGATAATTTTATGTGTAAACTTGTGTAGACCATGGGGTGCTCAGACATTTGGTCAGATTTTATTCTGTGATGGCATTTCTGGATAAGGTTGGAATTGAATTGTTAAACTGAGTAAAACAGATTATTCTACCCAATGTGGGTGAGCCTCATCCAGTTCTTTGAAAACGTGAATAGAACAAAAGGCAACATAATGGAGAATTTGCTCTCTCTTTCTGCCTGATGATTTGAGCTAATTATTTGTCATTTCACGCCCTCAGACTGGAACTTAAATCAGCTCTCCTGGTTTTCAGGCTGTGGACATGGACTGGAACTACCCCCATTGACTTTCCTGGGTCACCACCAGCTTGCAAGTAACAGATCATTGATTTTCTCATCCTCCATAATTGCATGAACTAATACCTTATATTAAATATCTCATAGATATGTATATATGTGTGTATATATGTATGTGAATATATATACATGTATATACACACACCCTATATATATGTACACACATATACATACATATATCTATAATTACATAATATATTTTCATATATATTATAATATATATATTATATATGCCTGGAATATATATACACACATATATACATACATATAATTACATAGTCATACCGGTTCTGTTTCTTTGGAAAACATTGATTTAGTACTGAGAATGATTATAAAGCAGTGGTCCTGACCTTTTTGGCACCAGGAACTGGTTTTGTAGAAAACAATTTTTCCATGGATGGGGGCAGGGGGATGGTTTGAGGATGATTCAAGCACATTACATTTATTGTGCACTTTATTTCTATTATTATTACATTGTATTACAGAATGAAGTAATTATACAACTCACCATAATGTAGAATCAGTGGGATCCCTGAACTTGTTTTCCTGGAACTAAATGGTTCCATCTGAGGATGATGGGAGATAGTGACAGATCATCAGGCATTAGATTCTCATAAGGAGTGTGCAACACAGGTTCCTCACATTCACAGTTCCCAATAAGGTTTGTCCTCCTATGAGAATCTAATGCTTCCTCTGATCTAACAGGAGGTGAGCTCAGGCAGTATTGTGAGCAATGGGAAGTGGCTGTAAATACAGACGAAGCTCCCCTGGCTCACCTGCCTCTCACCTCCTGCTGTGCTGCCCAGTTCCTAATAGGCCACGGGGACCCTTGTTCTAGAGGAACAGAATTTTAAAAATGAGTTTTCTGAATTGGTTCTGGAATTTCTGAAATTGGCTCTCCAACGTGATTAAAGACGCTAATGATTTTATTTTTAGTAGTAAAGAGAGTACTGATAGTCTATGGCATGAATTGGTAATAGAGACACGCAAACTATCTGCATTGGATACAATACTTCTAATCAGCAACTTATAAGAAAAAAGGAACTGAGTTCTGAGTACTTTTGAATATTTATAGAAAGCTATAAAATGTATTGACATTGGCTAGTTGCATCTAACTTCACTGGTCAAAGTGGTGAAAGAAAAAAATGAGCTCAGAAATTTGAATTCACAGCTTAAGCAACACACACATGCCCTGAAAGCATTTATATGTGCCCTGAAAGAGACCCTTATCACCCATATTTGCAGGGTTGAGATTGCTTAAAATCCAGTGTCAACTCTTATCCTGTGACTGGCTGAATTAGAAGGCAAATTGAACTGCTAGTCTCATAGACTGTCTACCATTCAAGTATGGGCATTTATTAGGAAAGAATGGAATCCTATGAGTTGGAATAGGGATGTATGGGAATACTCTGATGAATCGAGGGACATTGAGCTCCTAAATTTTGATGAGGCTTCTTTGCTAGAGGAAGAGGCTTCTCAACCTTCTGTGGAAGAAGCCTCCCTAATCCCCAGTAGAATCAGGCTCCCCACCAGCAGGCATTCTCATACCTAGTGGTATCAGCCTCTCCACTGAACTAGTGGAATTAATCTGCCTTGCCTGAGGAAACTATAATGGCCTTCCCTGTGGCAGTTGTCATCTAAGACAATGCTTATTCTCAGGACCCATTTCTGACACCCCATTCAACTTCCTATTTAGCCTGTGTAGAAGCCAGACAGATCTTGGGGTATGACAGCAAGTTATCATATGTTTATTATAAGTGATGACTCCAATTGTAGCTGCTGTAACAGATGTGGCTTTATTGCTTGAGCAAATTAGCAAATCTTGTACTTGGTATATAGCTATTGAAATGGCAAAACCTTTTTCTCCATTCCTGGCAATAAGGACCACCAGAATCAGTCTGTTTTCAGTTGGCAAGGGTAGCAATACACCTTCATTGTCCTGCCTCAGAGATATATCAAGTCTCCAGTCCTATGTCATAATTTAGTTTGCAGGCATCTCAATCACCTTTCCCTTCCACAAAATATCACATGGTCCATAACACTGATGGTATTATGCTGACTGGGCCTAGTGAGCAAGAAATGGCAACAACTCTAGACTTATCAGTAAGACTTTTTGTGTCAGAGGGTGGGAAACAAAAGCTCAGAGGCCATGGTACAATTTCAAGAAGTTCAGTGGTATGGGACATGACAAAAATATCTCTCAGAGGTGAAAGATAAGTTGTTACATCTGCTCCCTCCTGCAATCAAGAAAAAGGCTAAATGTCTAGGGGGTCTCTTTTTATTTGCGGGACAAAATATTTCTTATTCAGTTGTGTTTCTCTGGACTGTATCTAGTGATCCAAAAAGCTGCTAGTATTAAGTGGTGCCCAGAACAAAAAAGGGCTCTGTAGCAGATCCAGGCTGTTATGCAAGCTGCTCTGTCACTTGGGCCATATGGTGTTTCATGTGACAAGGGCAGATAGGAATGCTATTTGAAGCCTTTGATAGGTCTCTATAGGTGAATGCAATTAAGCTCTCAAGATTTGAGAGCAAAGCCCTGGCATCCTTTGCAGAAAACTACTCCTGTTTTTAGTAACAGCTCTTGTTCTACTACTAGGCATTAGTAGAGCATATTTAGCTATGGACCACCAAGTTACCGTGTGACTCGAGCTGCCTATCATGTTCTGGGTATTATCTGACCTACCAATCCATAAGACTGGGCACGACCAGCAGCACTCTATCATTAAACGTAAGTGGTATATACATGATTGGGCCTGAGCAGGCCCTGAAGACACAAGTAAGTTACATGAAAATGTGGCCCAAATTTCACAGCTCCCAATCTTGCCACACTGCCTTCTGTCTCCCAGCCCACACCTCTGGGCTCATGGAAATTTCCCTATAACCAGTTGGCAGAGAAAGAGAACTTGGGCCGGCTTTACAGATGGTTCTGCATGATATGTAGGCACTACTTGGCAGTGAACAGCTATAGCACTGCAGCCCCTTTCTGGGACATGGCTAAAGGACAGCTGTGAAGAGAAATCCTCCCAGTGCACAGAACTTTGAGCAGTAAACCTGGTTGCTCACTTGGTTTTGTAGGAAAAATGGCCAATTGTGCAATTATTTATGAACTATGGCCTCTGAGTTGGCTGGATGACTAGTAACAGGGAGCTGCCAGTGATCAATGTCAGGAGTACTCGGAACATTGAAGACTTAAGGGAGGCTGAGAATTCCAGTGTTACCGGCAATTGGACTAACATTTGCCCAGCACTTGGTAAACATTGCTCTAAAAGACTACATAAGTACATTTGTATTATTCTTAAACAATATCAATTAATTATGTGTTATGATCTGTTCCTGAATAATTGCTGATAGCTGTTTTGCTCTATCATACATATATAAACACATCTTATAATTGTTCAGCAAGTAAGCTTTTAGAATATACTATAACATAAAGAATTTCATACATTTATGAATGGATGGAGAAACATGTAAATATCCCAGACCACTTTGTTACTTTGCCAACTCTTTGAATTATGAATAGGTAATTTGGCAAGTATTTTCTTATATCATAAAAAATATATTTTGATTGGAAACTAAAAGCTATCACTCAACTTTGGCAAACGTAAGATGCCGTATAATTTACTACTCAGTTAAACTAACAACTTTGAGATATTTATAATAATTGTGCCAAAGTCTTGACAGAACCATTTTACCCAGTACTTTCAACCTTTGTTTGTGTTTAGTCTCATACAGGAATTTTGCAGCAGATGGATTTTTAAAGTCCATCTGCTTTAAAATTTTTTCATTATTGATTTTCCAATCTTCTTTAATATTTATGTGCTAACAAAAGCATGTTTCTGACCAAGGAAACTAAAGGCTTATATAATATATAAATTATAACATTAGATAAATCTTTTTCTTTTTTCATCTTAAATATTCTTAGTCTTCTGAACCTCACATAGGCCTTGCTTTCTGTAATTTAGAATATTCAGCTGAACAGATTTAGTGACAGAATAGAAAGCATTGAATTGTTGTTTTAAATACACTAAAAAATTGTTATTGAATTAATTATATGGCTTGAATTTATAAAATACCACTCAAGGCAACAAAAAATTAAGTAATACTTCTAGTTTCTAATAAAATTTATTTTTAATTATTCCCCATTTGTTTATAAAAATATTCCCTCCATTATGCACTCTCATTATAATTTTATTGCCTCTCAGTTTAGAAAATGGTTTGATTCTTTTTCTTGACATCCCCAATACATACATTTATTACAGTGAAACTACCGAGGCATCACAGTGGAATTTTCTATTTCTTTTATTCTCCATCTCGCTTCTCTTGCTACATACACACACACACACACACACACACAGAGAGAGAGACACACATACACTTTCACTCTTTCACTCAACTAAAAACAGAAACAATCAGAAACAATAATTTTTTTGGAAAAATAAAAAAAATAAGATGAGACCAAGGTTTATTTTTTTCTCCTTAATTCCCTGTTGCCTCTCCTTATATGCAGTGTGGTTTGGGAAAATAAAACAAACAAAACAAAAACATGGGCTGAAGTCTCTGATAGATTTGGGTTCAACTTTCAGATATATTTTCAATGACATAGGCTTGGATACATTTAAAACTTTTTGGAATCTCAGTGTTCTCCTATGTAAAATGAGAATATGTGGTGATTTCATCTATTGATGCTTGTGAAGAATTGTCTGAGGTTCTCAACTTTTATGCTACAGTCCTCCTAACTCACAAGAGTGTAAATGCACATGGACTTCTGAAAGGAGAGTTAAAAAATTATTTCAAAACTCAAAAATGTTTTTGAGGTTTTACGTTTTCCATCAATATTGAAGAAGAAAACCTTAACATGTGGGGCCTCTCCGCTTTTCTGTCCGCTTTTTCTCACTTTATGATTATCCTCTTCTATGAGGAATAAAATAGCAGAATCGATGAAGAGTATTTTACTTGAAAAGTAATCAAAACAGAAGAAATATTATGCCACACCCTCACATGGAGGGCTGCACAATGAAGGATAAAAATGTTACAGGACACATATCATACACAACTTTGAATGGTATGAAAGAGAGTATTGGTAGAGATGTACATCGTGGAAACATAGTGGGATGGACAAGAAGCTTTTTTGAATTTTCAACCCCTTGGAGATTTAAGATGCTAGAGAATAGGAAAGAAGCAAAACTATTAAGAGTTGTAATGTATCAACATTGTAATGTGGTATTGAGTTGTGATGTTTAAAACATTACTATAAGACTCAACCAGTGTCATAACTTTAAAAGCATAATAAAATGCTTATGTATATTGTGGCACACTCTATTATATAACCATGTTTATTTTAATATTAAGGTGATATTTATTCTTATAAGTATTTGTGGAAAATTGATATCACAAGAAGTTGAGCATGCTTATACTATGATTTCAAGGGTCTAGTATTCCTGTTGGTGAAACATTTAATTAGCTATCTTACCTGCTTAGCACAGTACTTGCCACAGTGTGGTGGATTAGTCTATACAAGCATCTATTCTAAGTCACATTTATGATGGTTAATTTTATGTGTTACCTTGGCAGGGCCACAGTGCCCAGATACTTGGTCAAATATTATTCTGGATATTTCTATAAGGGTGTTTTCTAAGGAGATTAACATTTAAATCGGTGAAATTGAGTAGAGCAGATTGCCCTCCAGATGCAGGTGAGCCTCATCCAATCATTTGAAGGCCTGAATAGAAGAAAAAGACTGACCTCTCCTAACATTTCTACAGCAGATGGCCTTCATACTTGAACTGCAACATCACCTCCTCCTGGATATCCATGCTGCCAGCTCACTCTGCAGATTTTGGACCTGCCAGCCTCCATAGTCTCATGAGCGAATTCCTGAAAATAAATCTCTCTCTCTTCTTCTCTGTACACACCACACACACACACAAACACACACACGCACACACACACCCGCCATTGGTTCTATTTCTCTGGAGAACCCTGACCAATACAGCAATCAATGACAAAATCATTTACTATCCATTAGAAGACATTGATGCAGTGATCTCACCTAATTTTAAACACAGAACTGGAGTGAAATTAAGAACTATTGAGCACAATGAAATTAAAATTGAATGTTTCACGGACTGAAATGTGGGCACCCAAAATTCATATGTTGAAGTCCTAACCTGCAGTCCTTTAAAGAAATAATTAAGGTAAAATGTGGTCATGTGTGAAGCCCTCATCCAACATGGCTGATATCCTCATAAGAAGAGGAGATTAGGATGCTCACACACATAGAGAGATGATGTAAAGACAGCCATCTAACAAGCCAAAGTGAGATCCCTCAGAAAAAAATCAACTTTGCTGACAACTTGATCTTAAACTTCTAGTTTTCAAAAATGTGATAAAATAAATTTATGTTGTTGAAGCCACCCACTTCGTGGTACTTTGAATGACTGCCTGAGCAACCCAAACTCATTTTTGGTGGCAGAACAATTATTCCCTGATCCATATCACAGAACTCCATATCAAATTGATCAGCAAGAGATGCAGAAAATTGAGTAGATCCGTTAGCAAATAGTAGGTTCTAAGGCTTTTTAAGTGTGACATTTATTTGAGAAACAAGATATTTTAAAACATACAGTTTTAAAATTAAAGCATTAGATAACACTCCAACAATGTTATCACCTTCATAAGCACAAATTGCATGCAGCCTTCATTGCCTTCCCTTTCAAAGCATGGCTTGCCTTTGGACTGAGGTAGTCAGGCAAGGCTCCTATGAGAACAATAAAGAATAACCTGATCTTTATGATCTTCTATTTAAGGGATTGTTATTTATCAGCCAGTCCTGAGGCAGCCAGTCTTTTTCTCTTTAAGATGAAACAGTAAACAATTGAATCACTCTCCTGACAACTCTCCTAATACCAAAATATCTCTTGTTTTCCCTGGCTACCAGTCCTACTAGGTTTATAAAATGTTTTGAAGCATTTAAAAGCCTCACCTGAAGCATACAAGTTGCTCATTTGTTGAGTGTATCTAAGAAGATGAGTGATGCACCATTTAAAAAGTTTTACAGGAAGATTATTTAGTGAAACAGCTCTGAGTTTAAGAGTATCACACACACACACACGCAAAATCTCTCACAGGAGTGCAAGTTCTAAAATCAGATCTAAAACGTATTTAGTGAAAAGTTTTTGCCATGAGCTTTCAGCTTTCATTTTATTTTATATGAAGTACATGATCAATCTTAGAAAAACTTTGTTATCCGTTTTCTTCCAGAAGCTAACTACTAATTGTTGCTTTAAAAAATTACCGCCAGTGCTCAACATCTATAATATTTGTTTTTTTTGTGTGTGAACTTTCTGAGTTTTTCTATTAAATCACTTTATAGAGTTAACGTGACTTAAGATTGTGGAATAATATGTATCAATTAATCCTGTATGACATTTATAATTAAATCCAATATAATTTTATCATATCTTGTATGATTTCAAATAAAATCCTGTGAGTAAAAATTATGGCTTTTACCTTTAATTTTGCAACAAATAAATAATTTCACAATAAAGATTTATTTATCTAAGTACTCTCTTCAATTCCTATTGACTTGATAGAAGCCAAACACTTGGCACCACTAGTTTTAAAAATTATTTTAAATTAGTTATAAAAATTAATTCTTCAAATAAGATATTTGATTAATATATTTCTAAGAAGACCACTAGTCCCATGAAGTCTCACCTTGTTGACTTCCACCAGAACAAAACCTGTTAATTCAGCTTGACTTCTGATATGTGTTCTTTGTTCAAGCTCCTGTGGGCAACTAAATTGTTTTAAGAAAACAATATTTCTGTTCATATTAATTCACTTGCCAGACTCCAATTCTGAAAGTTGTCTAGTTCTTCCTTCATCACATGTGCTTCTCATCGAAACCCTTGTTTCAGGATGGATCAAGTGATGTTACAGCTCATGTTCCTTAGACCTGATTTGTTTTGATGTTTTATTGCTTTTCCTTTTAATTTTTGTTTGAATGAGAAAAGTTTAATACCACAGGTGTCCAGAATTAAAAAATAATAATAATTCTGTAAAATGAATGCTGCTAGTGCAGACATTCTGTTTGAAGAAGCCACAATAAAGACGAAGTAAGTATCCACTTATTTTTCCACAATTCAACCAGAGGCAAGGAAAAAAATAAAAATGCAGACCCCCCAGTGTCAAGGAAATCGGGAGATCAAACTCTGAAGCACAATGTATATGCAAAGGGAGTCAACTGCAGTGGAGACAGTACATGAATGTGAAACAAAAGCAGAGAAAGAATTAACACTTGCAGACATCAGAAAGATTTAGGAGGCCAGGGGTGGTGGGTCAAGCCTGCAATCCCAGCACTTTGGGAGGCCGAGGCGGGCGGATCACGAGGTCAGGTGATCGAGACCATCCTGGCTAACACGGTGAAACCCCGTCTCTACTAAAAATACAAAAAATTAGCCGGGCGTGGTGGCGGGCGCCTGCAGTCTCAGCTACTGGGGAGGCTGAGGCAGGAGAATGGCGTGAACCCGGAAGGCAGAGCTTGCAGTGAGCAGAGATCGCGCCACTGCACTCCAGCCTGGACGACAAAGCGAGACTCTGTCTCAAAAAAAAAAAAAAAAAAAAAAAAAGAGGAAATAATACCTTTCCAAAGTCGAGTACAAACCAAAGTGCAAAATAAAATCCCTCTGTCTATCATAGCAGAAATAACCATAAGTTGGGGACAGGAAAGTCTCTGGAATTACTTGGCTCTTTGAAGCAAAGTGACAGGCTGATCCAGCAACAGACTTAGCATAGATTGCAGGAAAAAGCTCTCCCACAAGGGGTCAGAAGAGAGAATGTCAAACTGTTTCCAACACTAAACCGATTGGCCAAAGAGAAATAAATGCTGAAAATAAATCTCAAACAAAATATTAATATGTCAAAAAAACCCTCATAATAGACTGGAACACAGCCTGAGACCCCCTTCTCCATCAAATACTCACGATTTAAATATGAGTAACCAGTATAAGCACAGGATCTCTATGAAAGATTGTATGCAAAAAGGATGGGAACAGGATATCAAATGACCAATCAGAACATGTTGCCATGCGGGCGCAGTGGTCACGACTGTAACCCCAGCACTTCTGGGAGGCCGAGGCAGATGGATCACCTGAGGTCAGGAGTTCAAGACCAGTCTGGCCAACATGGTGAAACGCCATCACTACTAAAAGTGCAAAAAATTAGCTGGGTATAGTGGCGCACACCTGTAGTTCCAGCTACTCAGGAGGCTGAGGCAAGAGAATTGCTTGAACTGGGGAATCGGAGGTTACAGTGAGTCGAGATTACGCCATTGTACCCCAGCCTGTGCGACAAGAGTGAAACTCCATCTCAAAAAAAAAAAAGTTGCTGCCATGCTGAACACAAAAATAATGCCAATTATCCCACAAGTTATATATTTTAAATTCAACAAAATCACATTTTCTAACAAAAACCAGAGGACAAAGCAGGGATATGAGTTCTCAGTGAAAAGAAGGCAATATGAAAATCAGGAGATGAAATGCTCAAATATCATCTTATCAATAGGGTGCTCTGATGTTTTTGGTATTAGGGTTCTCTAGAGGGATAGAACTAATAGGATAGATGTATATGTAAAGGGGAGTTTATTTAGCAGTACTGACTCACATGATCATAAGGTGAGGTCCCACAACAGGCTGTCTGCAAGCTGAGGAGCAAGGAAGCCAGTACGAGTCCCAAAGCTGAAGAAGCTGGAGTGTGATGTTTGATGGCAGGAAACATCCAGCATGGGAGAAAGATGTAGGCTGGGAGGCTAAGCCAGTCTAGTCTTTTCACATTTTTCTGCCTGCTTTATATACTGGCCATGCTGGCAGCTGATTAGATGGTGCCCACTAAGATTAAGGGTGGGTCTGCCTTTCCCAGCCCACTGACTCAAATGTTAATCTCCTTTGGCAACACCCTCACAGATGCACTCAGGATCAATACTTTGTATCCTTCAATCCAATCAAGTTGACACTCAGCATTAACCATCACACTTCTTAATTCATAAAATACCCTCACAGCACTCTCTCTCATTACATTGTTTTTTTCCAATAACATTTAATTTAATGATGTTCTCTCCCCATTATAATATCAGCTCCATGAGAGCAGGGATTTGCCTAAATGATGTTTATGTAATATCAAGGCCTAGTAGGTGCCTGGCACAAAGTATGTCCTCAATAAGTATTCATTAAATAGATGATTAATACATGAACTGACAGCTCAATAAAGAAGTAGAAGAAAAAGTAGAACCACCGTATCAATGAAAGTTCAATCGAGAGGAGCATTAAAGAGAATTAACAGAGCTGAAAACTGAAGTAAGATAAACAGTAGTTAGAAATAAGAGAAAAGAAAATAATTAAATTCATATAAATAATTTGGAAAGATGTGAAGAATAGTTAGATATAGCAGAAAGAAAAGCCAATGTACTCATAATCATTACTGTGATATTACCATATTAATGATAAAACTCACAGTTTCAATTAAAGAAAATGTCCCAGATATAAAAGAAAAGATTAATCTATAGAATAAAAAGAATAATCTATGTCTCAGAAAAAAAAAATGTAGCCCAACCAACTCCATTCCAGGGTATGCATAGAAAATTATATGGACTTTAAAAACAATAATCTTTTGGGCAGTAAGGCAAAAAGTAAGGTATTTGAAGTCTTGCTAGCCTCAAGACTCACTACTGAAATATTCAATGAGGAAGAAAATGGAGCAAAATTCATGAAGTACTTAAAGAGTCTTTCATTAGTTTTCATACTTTTATGAAAAGTCATACGTTTATGACTAAAAATAATTACACTAAACCAAATTGTCAGTCATATAACACAACCAACAATAAATGATTTTTGAATGTACAAAGACTCAGGAAACATCATCCCTATTAACTTCTAGAAAAACCTAACAGGGATCAAATTCACCCAACCAAAATATGAATAGAAAAGCCTATGGCAGACAGATGGGCATTAAAAATTAAATCTCCTGAACTCTAAAATAAGATAAAAATGAGGACTTCCATTTCTGCCTTTGACGGAATCATAGACTAAGACTGGACATGCTCTCCTGCCACATACACAAAAATAAAACTGGACAAACTGTGAGATGACAGTTTTCAATCACTGGACAACAGGAACCACAGGACTGATCCCTGAGAAGAGCAGCACAGAAGCACAGTGAGGTAGAAGCCAAGCAGAACACAGTAGTCCCACTGAACTTAGAGGCACAAATTGGAGTCTGGACTGCAGAAGTGACTGCAATTTGGGGGCAGAGTCTTGAGAGGAGGATCCCTAAGGGTGGAAGTGAAGGGCATACATCTATGTTAGGATTGCACACATATTATTGGCTGAGGACTTGTCTGCAAATATTAAACACAAGACTCCACAAAGCCTGTCAGAGAGAAGCTGCTACCAAGTTAAGAGCATAACAGAAATAGTGAAGGGTGCTTGGTGATAGGAGATGTTTAGGTTTCAGCTTGAGAATGAAAGGATCTTTTTTCTTTTTCACAAGATATTAAAGCAAAGAAAGATGACCTGGTCAAATCCCCTTGCAAACCTGCTAATAAGATTATCTCCTGAAAAGCGGAGTATGAGAGTCCTTATCTGTAGAATGCATTTAGCAGGATGTACCTGGAATATACTAGGCTTGCTTAGAGAAAACAATCCCGAAGTGTGTGGATTGATGGGAGATGACTTCTTGTAATAATGTTACTTAAGTTATGTAATTACTAGTGAACAAAATGAAGATGTTTAATGACCAAATTAATTTCCTTTTGTGTAAGTGGCACCCTTCATGCATAACTTAGAGACTTCAAGGACTAAATCTGACCCAGAATGTATCCTAATGCACCATGAATCTGAAGAACAGCATTAGCATTCTGGATGTCTCTCTTCTCTTTTCTGCAAGTACTTGTATCCTTGAAATGATTAAAACAGTTTAATACCAGATAAAATCTCTGATCTATGTGGATATGATTCAACAGTCCACTTTTTGTATTAACTCCTACTGGCACAGTAAACAGAAGTTTCTTTCAGTCTCAAGGATCATAATGGCCAGGCATTAATGGAAAAAAAAAGAAAGAAGGGATTAAAAAAAATGAGGATTTGATCCTAGGTATACTAGCTATTCTTTGTTTAAAGTAAAAATATCCTTTGAGGCAAAATATTTGGACAAACCTTTCCAATAGAATTTTGGGGAAATTAAGACAGAAACACGAAAGTGGCTTTTCAGATATTCAGAGAGTATTAGGTAGAAGAGAAATTAGTGGAAATTTCTATTCCCTGCCTTTTGCTAGTTACTCAGGTAAAAGCCAGACCTCAAAAATCTGAAGCTGCAGTAGTGGGCAAAATAGCATTAAAGGCAGTTTTTCCTGTTCCTAGAAAGTTGTCTCGTGCTTCAGTGGCCAGTTGGAAAGATGTTACCTTCACTCACAAGGTAAATTAAGACCATTAATCAATCAGAAAACAATGCAGGTGGCAGGATCCCCAGCCCAATGACCACAAAATCCCAAAAGTATACTGAAAAATGTTAGGTTACTTTATAAAGGAATATCAGCAGAAACTTGGTTAACAATTATTGGCACAAGTACTTAGAATTAATGATCTGAAGAAATATCACAGATCCTAAAGACTCATAAGTAGGATAAATCATATGAATTAATAATTAAACATCAAGCATCAAGTGGCAACAAACTTCTGTCAGCTGATGCTTTTGACAGTGTGACAATTAACTTGCTGCAGTGGGTGAAGTCAGTAGTTTTGCAGACCAACCTGAAAAAGTTAAGACCTACTCTATCATCAATTCAGCAATGGAGAACTCTTTCCAAAGTAGTAAGAATAGCATGAGTGCAGGTGACCCTAAACTACCTTTATGGTTATCAGAGGGACTTACCTAACTCAATGCCTTCACTGCTGACTATGGTAGATGCTATAATAGTTAGATCCCCAGAGCTAGCTAAATTCATGAAAGAAGTAAGCATATGAGTGCATAGCTATGCACCAGTAGGAAAAGAGAGGATATAACTAACGTGACAAACAACTTCACTCAGTGTCAATGGGGAAGAAATCACTTAAAAATGACTATGGAACAAATTTCTCATGATCAAGGGGGATGGCATAACTGGCAAGTGAATTATATTGGTCCTCTACTAGCAGGTTCAAGTGGGCTGCAAATTGGAGTTAGCAAGGATTGCCACTACTCTACACTTTGGTTACAAAACAGAAACAATCTCAGAGAATATTGTCCAGTGGTATGTATTAATGTTGATGACAATGTATAATTTATTACTACCAATGTACAAAATTGGGCAAGGAAACATTACACAAACATATCACATTCAGTTTCATCCACAGAGCAGTGGTTTCACTGAAAATTAAAATGGGAAATTGTAAAACCAGTTATGAATGAAATCTGGTGGTAGAAAAGATTTAAAGGTTTGGCTTCATTGTTTAAATAACTGAGTCATTAGGTTGAATATAAAAGAAAGTAAGGTAGGGACTCCACTAAGATTTCTAAAATTAGGTAAAGAGAATGAGGAAACTGGGGAAAATGTAACTGCACAACTTTACTTCCAAAATTCACTAATTTTTGCTTGGCTTTTCCTGTTACAGTGTGCCCAAGGAAGATGATATAAACGGTCAAGATACAATACTAATAACATAAAATTTGACAGCAAATTTTCATAAAGTACCTTACAATGCGTTATAACTTTACTCTCTTCACCAAATTAAGACTAATTGTGAATTCAGTTTATTCCCATAAGTAATATGTAATATTTAGATCATCAGATTTAATATTGGCCCAATAGTGAGTGAAGGTGTTATAGTTTTCTGAAACTGTAAAGCCCTATGGTTAAATATTATATTAAGCCAGGCAACCCAACCATTGCAGAATTAGTGCATATCAAATGGAAACAGGATATTGCAGCAAACAGAAGAAACACTTGTAAGTGGATCATAATTTTAAAACACAACAGTACCACACTATTTCTATGAGAATGTCCCAGAGCAAGAAAATAATACTCTTAGCTATCTCTCAGATCCAGCACCAACTAATGGCCAAGCTGGAAAGAAGAAGAATACCAGATCTGTTTTCCTCAGAGAAAGTGATCTGGACTTTTTCTAATTAATGTATTTGCCAAAAAAAAAAAATCATCTGAAATATTTGGGGAAAATTAATGAGTGCATAATTTCACTAACTCAACTCACTGGTAGCCAACTATAGCAATCATTAGGCTAATATTTTACATAAGCTATATTTTTCATTAGGATTATTTTTACAGATGACCTAGAGAGATATTACCATTGAATCATACAGGGTGGTGAATGTTGAAGAGCAGAGTTTCTGTTCTTAATCAAGTCATAAATTACAATGATATGTTGCCAAGACAGTAGCCTGCTGATGATAGGAAGCAGATTGCTGCAGCCTGCTCAATATATCAGAGCTTGAGCTTCTCCTTTTCATACGTCATATGTAGAGAAGAATGGAACTTAAGGAAAGTGTAAATGTTACCAAGCAATCCTCAAAGAAGGTGATATTATTAATAACTCCTCTCTGGAGATACGAACAACATTTATTGGAAGTTTTATGGCAACTCAGATAGAGATTTTTTTTATTACATTCTCATGGAAATAGGGTGTTTTGGAATTATGATCCACTTGTAACTGCTTCTTCTGTTTGCTTAAATATCCTGTTTTCATAAATATACATCTATCTGGTTGATGTTTTGATGAAACATACAATATTTTGTGGTGCATGCACACTATTTTCTCAAACTGACAAATCTTGTAAAGGTCCAATGGCAGCAATCTATATGACTTTATTAACACCTGCCTTGGCATGCCAGAAATTCTGTAGGCATTTTAGGAATTGGACTTGGGATAATGCTTCTTGCTGAGTTAGGGTGAACTAACTAATGCAACTGGAGCCTTAAAACCATAAGTCAGCATAGAAAATTCAGTTTCCACTCCAACATGTAAACAAACTGAAAGTCATCTTTTTCGTACTTACAAAGAGAAAAAAAATCTGAACAGACTAAAAAAATCAATGGCATTTATTGGGTCCTTCTAAGAATTGAGGTTTCAGGGAAAACTGCCTCCATGAAATCTGAAAAACAGGTGAATACAGAGAATCACTGCTGAGATCAGCTTACTATATGCAGAAACTGCTGGAGCCATAAACTAGTAGGAACACTTAAGTAACAACTATGATAAACTGCTGGAGGATAAATGTGGATGATGAAGAGAGCATGAAAGTTTACAGGGAATCAGTCACATACAGACCCCTAATCTTTGAGGGACTTTTCCTTGGGAAACTCATCAGATTCTCACAGTAAAAAGCCAATGAAAATCCTCATGTCATTCTTGCAGGGGTAGGGGAAAAGTAATCATTTTGAAATATACCCAGTGTTCTCTGTAACAAAGACCTACTCATCATGGGAAAACACATTACTAGAGCCATATTCAACATGGGAGAAGGGAAGTTACCCACTCCAACTCCTAGCCTTCCTGTTTCACCTAAGTAAGTGGTGGAGGGTGCGGGGTAAGAGGGAATGGGGATAAAAGTTAAGAAACACTTGCAAAGGTCACAACCTAGGAACTGACCACTAAGAGACTGAGAATAAAACATAGGATTATAGAACTCTTTCCCTCCCTTTCTCATATTACCACCACATCAGAAAAGCCCTTGTACGACAGCAAGTAATTATAACTGAAAGAACTGCCAGGTGCAAACTTCATTTAAGGAGTTGCTGGGGAGATGCAGAAACAATAGAAGAATAAAAACAAAAACACTGGAGAGATCTTAACCTCTGGTGCTTACAGCTATATAGGAAACATTGAACACAGTCCAACTTTTAGCCAAATTAACATAAAAATTTATACAAAAACATTATTTGCCTATATAAAAAAGCGTATTTACCTCAGTCCCTATTACCTGATGCATGATGCTGGCTTTCAACAACAACAAAAACAAAATTACAAAGTATGCTAAAAGGCAAGAAAGAACAGTCTTAAGAGACAAATCAAACCTCTAAACTAGACTGAGATATGAAATATGTGGATATTGTTAGGCAAGAAGTTTAAAATAACTGTGATATGTTAAGAAATACAATGGAAAAATTAGACAACATCCAAGAACGTATATAAATAATGTAAACAGAAAGGTAGAAACTGTAAGAAGGGGCCGGGTACAGTGGCTTACACCTGTAATCCCAGCACTTTGAGAGGCCGAGGCATATGGATCACCTGGGGTCAGGAGTTCGAGACCAGCCTGGCCAACATGGCAAAACCCCATCTCTACTAAAAATAAAAAAATTAGCTGCCATGATGGTGCGCGACTGTAATCCCAGCTACTCAGGAGGCTGATGCAGAAGAATCACTTGAACCCGGGAGGCAGAGGTTGCAGTGAGCCGAGACTGCACCACTGCACTCCAGCCTGGCTGACAGAGTGAGACTCCATCTCAATCAATCAATCAATCAATCAAAACTATAAGAAAGAATTAAAATAAAATGTTAGAGAAATAAAAATACTGTCAAGGAAATAAAGAATGCTTTTCATGGGTTCATCAGTACAGTTGACATGGATAAGCAAAGAATCAGTGATCTTGAAGATATTCCAATGGAAACTTCCCAAACTGCAATGTAAAGAGAAAAAAAATGAAAAATACAGAATACTCAAGAACTGTGGGGTAATTTCAAAATATACAAAATATGCATTGTTGAGGAAGAAACAGAGAATGGAGCAGAAAAGATGTTTGGAGTAATACTGGGTGAGAATTGCCTAAAACTAATGGCAGACATCAAACCACAGATCCAAGAAAAATGTCAAGCAGGATAAATACTCAAGCTAAAACTTTTTCACAGCATAGGAAATAATCAATAAAGTGAAGAGACAATCTTCAGAATGAAGAAAATATTTGCAAACTATCAACCTAATAAAAGGTAAATAACAAAAATATATAAGGGGCTCAAACACTTCAATAGCAAAAAAATCAAATAATCCAATTTTTTAAAATAGACTAAAGACCTAAATAGATGTTTCTCAAAAAAAAAAAAAAAAAAGACATACAAATAGCCAACAGGTATACAATGTTCAACATCACTAATCATCAGAGAAATGCAAATCAAAATCACAATGAGATACCATCACACCCCAGTTAAAATGACTATTATAAAAAAGATAAATAATAATAGAGGCTGGTGAGGAGGTAGAGAAAGGTAAATGCTCATACACTGTTGATGGGAATGTAAAGTAATACAGGCACTATGGAAAACAGTATTTTGGTTCCTCAACAAAATAAAAATAGAACTACTATAGGATCCAGCAATCCTACTGCTGGGTATATATCCAAAAACAAGAAATCAGTATATCAAAGAGACATCTGCCCTTGCATGTTTATTGCAGCATTATTTACAATGGCCAACATATTGGAACCTAAATGTTTAACAATGAAGGAATGAATAAAGAAAATTCAGTATATATAAAAATAAAATATTATTCAGCCATAAAAAAGAATAAAATCTTGTCATTTGTACCTACGTGGATGGAGCTGGAGACCATTATGTTAAAGGAAATAAGCTAGACACAGAATGACAAACATCACATGTTCATATTCATGTGGGAGCTAAAAAAAAATTGATATAAGGGAGATAGAGTATAAATAGAATGATGGTTACCAGAGGCTGGGAAGGGTAATGAGGAAAGAGAGATAAAGAAGGGTTGGTTAAGGGATATAGGGATGATTTAACATATGCAAGTCAATAAATGTGATACACCATATAAACAGAATTAAAAAAACAAAAATCACATCATCATCTCAATAGATGCAGAAAAAGCATTTGACAAAATCCAGCAACATTTTATTATTAAAACCCTCAGCAAAATTGGCATAAAAGGGACATAACTTAATGTAATTAAAGCCATCTATGACAAACCCACAGCCAACATTATACTGAATGGGGAAGGTTGAAAGCATTCTCCCCCTGAGAACTGGAAGAAGACAAGGAAGCCCACTTTTACCACTTTATTCAACATAGTACTGGAAGTCCTAACCAGAGTAATCAGACAAGAAAAAGCAATAAGGGGCATCCAAGTCATTAAAGAGGAAGTCAAACTCTCACTGTTTACTGATGATATGATTGTATACCTAGAAAACACCAAAGACTCATCCAAAAAGCTCCTAGAACTGATAAATGAATTCAGCAAAGTTTCGGGATAAAAAATTAATGTAAACAAATCAGTAGCTCTGCTATCCACCAATAGTGACCAAGCTGAGAATCTAATCAAGAACTCAACCCCTTTTACAATAGCTGCAAAAAAATAAAAAAATAAATAAAGAATATACTTAACCAAGGAAGTGAAAGATCACTACAAGGAAAACTACAAAACTAGTATTTTGATGGGGATTACCCATCAAAATACTACCATCATTCTTCAGAGAACTAGAAAAAACAATCCTAAAATTCACATGAAACCAAAAAAGAGTCTGCATAGCCAAAGCAAGACTAAGAAAAAAACATTTGGAGACATCACATTACCCAACTTCAAACTATACTCTAAGGCCATAGTCACCAAAGCAGCATGGTACTGGTATAAAAAGAGGCACATAGACCAATAGATCAGAATAGATAGCCCAGAAATAAATCTAAATACTTACAGCCAATTGATCTTTAACAAATCAAACAAAAACATAAAGTGAGGAAAAGACACCCTATTCAACAAATGGTGCTGAGATATTTGGCAAGCCACATGTAAAAGAATGAAACTGGATCCTCATCGCTCATCTTATACAAAAATCAACTCAAGATGGATCAAAGACTTAAATCTAAGACCTGAAACCATAAAGATTCTAGAAGATAACATTGGAAAAACCCTTCTGGACATTGGCTTAGGCAAAGACTTCATAATCTATAACCCAAAAGCAAATGCAAAAAAAATACCCACACATAAATAGATGGAACTTAATTAAACTAAAAACCTTTTGCACAGCAAAAGAAATAATCAGCAGAGTTAACAGACAACCCACAGAATGGGAGACAATCTTCACAATCTATACACTTGACAAAGGACTAATACCCAGAATCTACAAGGAACTCAAACAAGTCAGCAAGAACAAAACAAATAATCCCATCAAAAAGTGGGCTAAGGACATGAATAGACAATTCTCAAAAGAACACATACAAATGGCCAGGTAACATACGGAAAAAAAATGCTCAATATCACTAATTATCAAGGAAATGCAAATCAAAACCACAATGCAATACTACCTCATTCCTGCGAGAATGGTCATAATCAAAAAATAAAAAAAAATAGAGGTTGGCAGGGATATGTTGAAAAATGAATATTTTTACACTGTTGGTGGGAATGTAAACTAGTACAACCACTATGGAAAACTGTGTGGAGATTCCTTAAAGAACTAAAAGTAGATCTACCATCTGACCCAGCAATCCCACTGCTGGGTATCTACCCAAAGAAAAAGAAGTCATTTTATGAAAAAAATACTTACACATGCATATTTATTTCACAACAATTTGCAATTGCAAAAACATGTAACCAGCCCAAATGCCCATCAGTCAATGAGTGGATAAAGAAAATGTGGTTTACCTATACCGTGGAATGCTACTCAGCCATAAAAAGAATGAAATAATGGCATTCACAGCAACCTGAAGGGAATTGGAGACCATTATTCTAAGTGAAGTAACTCAGGAATGGAAAACCAAACATTGTATGTTCTCACTCAGTGGGAGCTAAGCTTTGAGGACGCAAAGGCAGAAGAATGATACAATGGACTTATGACACTCAGGGGAAAGGGTGGGAGGGGCATGAGGGATAAAAATCTGCACATTGGTTACAGTGTACACTGCTCAGGTGATGGGTGCACCATAATCTCAGAAACCACCACTAAAGAACTTATTCATGTAACCAAACACCACTTGTTCCCCAAAAACCTATTGAAATAAAAAATTAAAATTCAAAAAAGAAGGGTTAAATAATGGGTACAAAATACAGTTAGATAGAAAGAATAAAATCTAGTGTTCAATAGCACAACAGGGTAATAATAGGTAACAATAATTTGTTGTATATTTCAAAATAACTAAAGGAGTGAATTTGGAATGCTCTCAACACAAAGAAATAATAAATATTTGAGGTGATGGATATCCGAGTTACCCTGATTTTTGTACGCATGAATTAAAATATCACATGTGCCCATAGATATGTACCACTATTATGCATCCATAAAAATTAAAAATTAAAAAATCTATACCTATGTATATCATATTCAAACTCCAAATAACCAAAAAGAAAAGAAAAATATTGAGGGAAGTAAAAAGATAAAAACCTGTAAGAAACAAGGGTAAGAATTACAGTGGACTTCTCATTAGAAACCATGTAAGCAAGAGGATGTACTATTTTAAATATAAGAAAAAATATTCCATCAAACAATAATTGCATATCCAACAACATTATCTTTCAAAAATGCATTTAAAAGACCAGCTAACCCAAATAGACACTGGAGCTAACCCAAACTTCTCTTCTAGGACACCGGATTGAAATCAGCCTGGGAAAAAAATTAAGGTATACAAGAGTAGAAAAATGAAATAATTATCCTAGGCCAGGTGCGGTGACTCACGCCTGTAATCCAAACAATTTGGGAGGCTGAGGCGGGCAGATCACTTGAGGTCAGGAGTTTGAGACCAGCCTGGCCAACATGGTGAAACCCCATCTCAACTAAAAATACAAAAATTAGCCGGGTGTGTTTGCAGACCCCTGTAATCCCAGCTACTCGGGAAGCTGAAGCACAAGAATCGTGTGAACCCAGGAGGTGTCGGTTACAGTGAGCCAAGATTGTGCCACTGCACTCCAGCCTGGGCAACAGAGTGAGATTCTGTCAACAAAAAAAAGAAAAGAAAGAGAAGAGAAGAGAAGAGAAAAAAGAAAAAAGGAAAAAGAAAAGAAAAGAAGTAATTATCCTAGTAAAAAACTAGAACTACCCTCATTGCTGGAAAAAATTTATCCTCCTCTGAAAGGATTACTGGATGTTCTAATCATTATGAAATTTGATGTCTTTAATGGTCGGAAGTTGGGCTAAGGTGGTACATTTATGGGAAAACCATGATAAGCCTCAATCATGGAAGAATCTCATTGGACAATAGGAGCCTAATTGTTCTCTATTACTCTAGGAACACAAACAAGATTTTTAAAAAGCCAGGGATCGGGGGAGGGAGGGCTGTCTTCCACATGCTACAAATAAAAAAACAACACTATATGGTCCTTACGGAATGTAGCTGGACAATACTACATAATGATATCCAGATGCCAATGTCTGTAAAAACTGGCACCGTGCTATCTGAGGTATTATTATGTCCAAACAACAGAATGGATCCATAATTATTGAACTACGGCTTCAAGTCATCCCTGCAGGTACTTGATATGTGGTTCATTGGGAATATCATTCTGGCTGAGAAGGAACAGAGAATGATACTATAATTGTAAATGATGTATGATGTGTCAAACGTTAATTTTTTGCTAAAAGTATCTTGTGTAACAAAGGAGTTTTGAGTTTGTTGATAAAGTCAAATAAAAATACACTTTTGTAGATGATGACTCCAGGATGAAAAGCATCTTAGGAGGATAATTTAGAGTGTCAAAGGAAACAAAAGCCGGACAGTAGCTAAAGCATAAAGACCGGATTCTTTTTTCCCCAGGAATTGTTGCAAAAGAGGAAAAGAACCTTGGTATAATACTTGGCTTAATTTCAAATACAGTTGTACAGGTGGAGATTTACAGCTAAGAAGCATGGGGTTACTGGACAGAAAAATATTAACAGGAAACATCAGGAGTAAAGGGGATTCTTGCTAATCTGATGTGTCAGGATTCTTACTGAAGGCAGGCCAGAGTGATCAAATATGAAGGGTGGTGGCTCAAGAATTTGATCAGATATTGAAGATGATTAGCTATCAAGGGTGCAGAGCTCTCTCTAAACTGACTTAGTAAGATTGTCGTTACAACTGGGCAATGTAGGCTTGACAATTCCGAACACTAAGGTTGAGGCCTAGAGGGCTAAGAGTCTGACTAGAGTTCAGTCCAGCAAAGAGTCTGTTTCCGGATCCCTGTTGTGGGGAACTTAATTGAAGGAAACATGGACAATTAAAAGAAGGTTCAGGCCTTAGAAAAATTGCATGTGTACTTAAATATTTACATCAATACATACTAAAACCTTTGGATAATTGGAAAATTGAATAAAAATAACAATTGAGTTGGAATTCTTACTCAGCATTAGAGAGTTCAAATCCCGGTATTTGATGGAATGTTTCTAAGATTATGCCTTTGCACGAAATGTTTCAGAAAATTATGTAAAATAAACTATAAAAATAAACTTGAGAGATGTGTGGCAAGATCTTGACCAAGAGTTTACACAGGGAAATATGAAGAAGAGGACTGTCAGGCACGGTAGCTCACACCTGTAATTCCAGCACTTCGGGAGGTCAAGGCAAGAAGATCTTTTGAGACCAGGAGTTTGAGACCAGCCTGGGCAATATAGCCAGACCCCGTCTCTAAAAGAATTTAAAAAAAAAAACAAAAACACATTATCCAGGGGTGGTGGTACATCCCTAAAATCTGCTGCTAATCAGCGGACTAAGCCTGGAGGATTGCTTGGGCCCAGGAGTTTGAGGCTGCAGTGAGCCATGATCCTGCCACTGCACTTTAGCCTGGGCAACAGAGACTCTGTCTCAAAATGAAAACAATAAACAAAAAAAATACTAAAACAGAGAAAAAGCAACAGGACTGCAATTCTTTCTCTCGCTTTACTGGAAGACACCTGGTAAGAAAGATCACTCAGTCAGATTCCCTTGTAAAAACACCTCTGCAACATGTGACAGCAGTGACAGGCCTCCTGACAAACATGCTACTAGTATTCACGAGCAAGAGAACCCTCTTCTCTATAACGGTGAAGGTAGAATATATCTAATCTTGAGTCCTGGCTCTTTGATAAATGTCACAAGAACTATGCAATTACAAATGGAAGATGTTTCATGACCAAAAGAGCTCCCTTTTATGTAAGTGATGTTCAACGTATACTATATAGAAACCTCATGTGACAACTGGGCCAGAGCCGTGCTAATGTATGAATATGGACCTGAGGAGCTCTGTTATGGGCCCAGAAATCTCCATGCTCTCTGTCTGTGTCTCACACCACCTGTGTCCTTTAAATACTGCCAATTCTTGACACTCTGTGAGATCTCTGTTTTTGTAAGTCTGACTTGAGATTCTGATCATCAGTGTTACTGTATGGAAGCCAAGCGATCTTGTTCACATACCATCCATTCTACTGAGACAAGAAAGGCTGTACCTTGGGTATGAGGATCATGCCCTGGAGTAAAGACTACGCCAGACCCATTCTTCAAAAAAAGCCTACAAAAATCTAGCTAAAAGGGGTTATTTCTTATTATTTCTTACTTAAAGAATTTAAAAGATTCTTTTGATTACAGCAATCATCCCTTTTAGTCTTTTTTAGCCACGTACTTTGCATTCAGATAGGAGGTTAGATAACATTAAAAAAAATTTCCCTTGTGTATGTTTTATTTCTACTTATTTAATAAAATAGTAAGGAGAAGTAATGACACCACGACCATTCTACCTGAAAATCTGTAGAAGATATTTTATAGCAGCGTGCTTTCTTCTAGACTTGCTCAGCATAAAACATTATATTTTTAAGCACCTTAAGGCTTTCAACAGCTCTACATCCTTTAGGAGGAAGAATAGGCACATTTAGCCTAATGCTATCGATTCACTTAAAGCAAGAGAGCAGTGAATCTTCACCTACTTTATGCCATATATCCCTGCATTATATTGCTACTCTTATGCCAAAGACATAATCCCTACGTCCCCCTGGCTCCTAGACAAAAGGCTCTACAAACACTTTTATCTACGTAGCAGCTGCTTCCCATTTGATATTGTGAACCTCTGGAGTTTATACATGCTGCCACACTTCTTTCCGCGGCATAACAAACAGAACTGAAGTGCCTCAAAAGGCTCTCAGAACGGAATTGGAGAACAAGGCATATGCAGCTGTCTGAAAACAAAGAGATGATGACAGCTTTGAAAGGGACAATTAATGATCTCCACTGCCACGTTAATATTAATCAGCCTACTTGCCTAAATAATTCTTAATTTAAAAATGATGCTCCATACCTCTTATATTATTTGTTCTCATGCTTCCTATAATGGGTAACATACATTCTTCTCTTTATTACAAGATATTCTTGGTTTTAAGTGATTTATTCTTGGTTTTAACATTTACAAAGATACCTTAGACATATACAAAATAACCACAAAGAAATGCAGTAGCAGCAGTTACAATAGGTGTGGCACTTTCTAGATTTTAATACTATAAGTTATCTCCTTTATTTCTCTAGAATTTTTTTTTTTTTTTTTTTTTTTTCAGAAATTCACTCAGTAGTACTCAGATCTCAGTCACAGTTTGGGCTGGTTGGGTCATGCCTCTCTGAGGTGTTACAGACACAAGCAAATTCCTCACTCCACCCCAATTTGGCTAACACCAGAGGTAACAAAAAGACCAAGTCTCTGAACTACTATGGATTTTTTTCTCAAGTACAGTTACATCACCAAAAAAATTTAGCTGGGTATTTCTTAATCCAGTTAGATTCAACTTTAACTTCACATATATTTCACATTTTAGACTCTAAACATTTCTCAGATATTTAATGTTTTTCATGTGAATGGATGAGGTTTCTCTTTTTTTTTTTTATTATACTTTAAGTTTTAGGGTACATGTGCACATTGTGCAGGTTAGTTACATATGTATACATGTGCCGTGCTGGTGCGCTGCACCCACTAACTCATCATCTAGCATTAGGTATATCTCCCAATGGTTTCTCTTAAAAATATTTTACTATTTTCTCTATTTTTACATTTCTGTGTCTGAATTTGTCTGTATCCCATTCCTCTTTTATAGCAAAATTCCTGTGGTTAACTCTGTTAAATCTAGGTATAGATTTTTGTCTACTTTTTTTTTGTCATCTAGACATTTAGTGAACTGATCATAGAACATATATATTTTTAGCAAATTGACCTAGAACAAGACTTTTGATGATATTACAAAGGACACAGATTATATTTTCAAGCAGATAAGAGGGGAAACAAATCATATTCCATTTACATTGCTATTTCTACAACTTCTAAAAATAAACCATTTATACATTTTAAAAAGTATTTTACTATAATACATATACCATAAAATACCCTATTTGAAAATGTAGAATTAAATATTTTTGTATATTTACAAGTTATGGAACATGACCACCATCCAATTCTTGAACAGTTTTCTCATTCTAGAAAGAAACCCTATACCTGTTAGTAGTCACTTTGTATACCTCCTCCCATTAACTCTGGGAAACCACTGATCTACTTTCTGTCTCTACCGATTTGCTATTCTGTACTTTCCAAATAAAGATAATCCTACATTTGGCCTTTTGTAACTGGCTTCTTCCTATTAGCATGTTTTATAAGGTTAATCCATTTTGTTAGCATGTATGAATTTTTTTATGGCTCAGTAATATACCATTGTATAAATATATCATGTTTTCATTCATTATTGGGTTGGTGGCCATTTAGGTGGCTTTTGCTTGCTATGAATGCTGCTGCTGTGAACATTTGTGTATGTCTTTTTGTTGAACATCTATTTTCAATTCATTTGGGTGTATACCTAGAAGTGGAATTTCTGGGTCATGTGATAACTCTATGTGCAATCATGCAACACATAATGCCATATTGGACAATGATGGACCTCATATACAACAGGGGATCCATAACAATGGAGCTGAAAAATTCCTATTGCCTACATTGTATCACAATGTATTACTCACATATTTGTGGTGATGCCGGTGCAAACAAGCCTAGTGCCAGGAGTATAAAAGTAGACCTGCATTTCTTCACAACATGGATACACTCTAAGAAATGTGTCCTTAAGCAATTTTGTTTTTTGCAAACGTCAGAGGGAACTTAACAAACCTGGCAGGTATGTCTACTACACACATAGATTATATTGTAGAGCCTATTGCTCCTAGGCTACCTGTATGGAATGCTACTATACTGAATACTATGGGCAATTGTAACATAATGGTAAGTATTTGTATATCTAAACATAGAAAAGTTACAGTAAAAATATAATTAAAAAGATAAAATATGGTATATCTAAATAGGGAAATTACCATAAATGGAGCTTACAGGATTGGAAATTGCTCTGGGTGATTCAATAAGTCAGAGTGAGTGAATATGAAGGCCTAGGACATTACTGTAACTACCTTGGACTTTATAAACACTGCATACATAGGCTATGCAAAATTTATAAAAATATTTTTCTTTCTCCAATAACAAGTAAACCTTAGCTTACTAAAACGTTTTCACTTTATACAATTTAATTTTTTTTAAAGTTTTGGACGCTTTTGTAATAACTCTTAGCTTAGAACACAAACACATTGAGCAGCTGTAAAAATTTGTTTCTTTTTATTCTTTTTCTGTAAGCATTTTTTTCTATTACAATTTTTTTGTCTGCTTTTTAAACTTTTTGTTAAAAACTAAGACACAAACACACATATTAGCTTAGGCTTGCACAGGGTCAGGATCATCAATATCATTGTCTTCCACCTTCACATCTTGTCCCACTGAAACATCTTCATGAAGGGGTAATAACGCTTGGAGCTGTCATCTCCTATGACAGCAATGTCTTCTTCCGGAATTCATCCTGAAGGGTCCGACCAGTCTGAGGCTGTTGTGTAATTTTTCTTTAACAACAAAAAAAAACTAATAATTATACTCTAAAATAATAATTAAAAAGCATAGTAAATACTAGGTGATAGGAATTTCTCTGTTCCATTATAATCTTATGGGACTACCATTGCATATGCAGTCCTTTGTTGAAAGAAACATGGTTATGTGGTACGTGATATACAGCACATACACTTATGTATGGTACATACAGTATTAATACTGGATGTTAATAAACAAGTATGTTACTAGTTTATGTATTATCTATACTTCATATCATCATTTTGGAGTGTACTCTTTCTAATTAAAACAAAAGTTAACTGCAAAACAGGCTCGGGCAGGTCCTTCAGGAGAAATTCCAGAAGAAGGCATTGTTATAATAGGAGATGACAGCTCCATACAAGTTATTGCCCCTGAAGACTTTCTGGCGGAACAAGATGTGGAGGTAGAAGACAGTGACATTGATGATCCTGACCCTGTATAGACCTAGGCTAATGTGTATGTTCATGTCTTAGTTTTTAACAAAAAAGTTTAAAAGTAAAAAATAAAGTAAAACAATTTTAAGATAGAACAAAGCTAATAGAATGAGGATATAAAGAAAAAATATTTTTGCACAGCTGTACAATGTTTCTTTTAAGCTAAATGTTAGTACAAAAGAATCAGAAGTTTAAAAAATTAAAAATTTATAAAGCAAAAATGTTATAGTATGTTAACTCACTGAAGAAAGAAAAATTTTGTCCAGGCGTGGTGGCTCATGCCTGTAATCCTAGCACTTTGGGAAGGATTGGAGGTGTGTGGATCAATTGAGGTCAGGAGTTTGAGACCAGCCTGGCTAACATGGTGAAACCCTGTCTCTACTAAAACTACAAAAAATTAGCCGACATTGTGGCATGCATCTGTTATCCCAGCTACTCTGGAGGCTGAGGCAGAAAAATTGCTTGAACCTGGGAGGCAGAGGTTGCAGTGAACCGAGATCACACCACTGCACTCCAGCCTGCGTGACAGAGTGAGACTCTATCAAAAAAAATATATATATTTTTATGAATTTAGTATAGCCTAAGTGTACCATGTGTATAGTCTATAGTAACATACAATAATGTCATAGACCTTCACATTCACTCACTGCTCACTAATTAAGAGCAACTTCCAATTTTTCAAGCTCTGTTCATGATATGTGCCCTATACAGGTGTGCAATTTTTATCTTTCATATTGTATTTTTATTGTCTTTTCTGTGTTTAGATATGCTTAGTTACACAAATGCATACAGTTGTGTTACAATTGCCTACAGAATTCAGTACAATAATATGATATACAGGTGTGTAGCCCTGAATAGTCTATACCATACAGCCTAGGTGTGTAGTAGGCTACACCTCCTAGGTTTGTGTAAGTAAGCTCTATGATGTTTGCATAGTTACAAAATTGCATAACAATGCGTTTCTCTGAAGTATCCCATCATTAAGCAACCCATAACTGTATAAGTCTTCGAGGAACTTCTAAACTATTTCCCACAGTGAATGTACCACTGTTTATTCTACTACCAATAAATTGTGGTTACAATTTTTCCACATTTTCTTCAACACTCATATTTTATTAAAAAATATAGCCATTCTAGTGGATGAAAAGTGGTGTCTCATTGTTCTGATTTCTATTTCCCTAATGACTAATGATGTTGACCATCTTTTTGCGTGCTTTTCGGTCATCTGTATATCTTCTTTGTATAAATTTATGATCAAGTACATGCCTCATTTTTTAAATTGGGTTGATATTTTGTTAAGATATAAGAGGCCTTTCTATAACCCAGCTATTAGATCCTTATGGGATACATCATTAGCAAATGTTTTCTCTAATTTTGAGGACTGTCTTTTCATTTTCTTGATAGTGTTCTTTAATGCACAAAAGTTTTTTACTTTGTTGAATTACAATTTACCTATATTTTATTTAGTTCTTTGTGGTTTTAGTGCCAAATCTAAGAAACTTTGGGTAATCCAAAGTCACAAAGATTTATTCCATGGCTATGTTTTTCTCTAAGATATTTATAGTTTAAGCTCCTTCACTTACGCCTTTGATTCATGGTGTGGTTTAAGTGTTTTAGTGCCCTCCAAAACTCAAGTTGAAACATAAGTCACACCTGCTACAGTGTTGGGTGGTGGGGGCCTAATGAGTGATGTATAGATCAAGAGGGATCTGCCCTCACGAATGGGTCAATGCCACTATAAAAGGGCTTGTGGGAGTAAATTCTGTCTCTTCCTTTTCTCTGCCATGAGAGGAACAGTATTTCTCCCCTCTGGAGGGTACAACATTCAAGGCACCATCTTGGAAGCAGAGACCAGGCCCTTACCAGACATCATATGCTAGTGCTTTGATTGTGGACTTCCCAGCCTCCAGAACTGTAAGGAAATAAATTTATATTATTTCTAAGTTATCCAGACTGTAGTATTTTGTTATAGCAGCACAGATAGACTAAGAAAAAATATTTTCAATTAGTTTTTGTATATGGTATAAAGTAGCACTTCAAATTTATTCTTTTACATTAGGCTATCCCAATGCCAACTGCTGAAAATACTATTCTCGCCCCATTGCTGCTTGTAATCCATATCAAAAATCAGTTGATCATAGATGGGCTTAACTTTATACCTTCGATTATATCACATTGACCTATATGTTAATTCCATTATTCCATGATGACACTGTCTTGGTTACCGTAGTTTTGTAGTGAGATTTAAAATTGGCAAGTCAGAGTCTTCCAATTTTGTTCTCCCTTCTCAAGTTAGTTTTGGCTATCCTTGGACACTATTTATGGGTCAAAATTTTTGGTTTCTTTGCACATCTCATAATTTTTGTTGGAAACTGGATATTTAAAATAAAGTAACGCAGCAACTCTAGAAATCAAACTCTACCTCGAGGTTGGATGCAGTGGCTCATGCCTGTAATGCCAGCAATTCGGGAGGCTGAGGCAGGTGGATCACCTGAAGTCAGGAGCTCAAGGCCAGCCTGGTCAACAGGGTGAAACACCGTTTCTATCAAACATACAAAAATTAGCCAGGCATGGTGGTGGGCACCCATAATCCAAGCTACTTGGGAGGCTGAGGCAGGAGGATCACTTGAACCCAGGAGGTGGAGTTTGCAGTGAGCGGAGATTGCGCCACTGCACTCCGGCCTGGGTGACAGAGCGAGACTCTGTCTCAAAAAAAAAAAAAAAAAAAGAAAGAAGAAAGAAAAGAATTCTATCCCCATCCCAAGGTTGGTTTGTGTTGCTGCTTGTAATTGCAATGTTTGTCAAATGTAGCCGCTAAAGTCTGTACCCAGCTACCTCAGTGTTCAGTTAATTGGACAGTTATTTCCTTAAGTGTCTAGAGCAGGTAAATCTCCAAGTCTCTGCCAGGGGACCCTGTGAGGATGTTTGAATATACTTTCTATATTCAACCAGGTAATTGGCTACTCCATTTTAGCCACTACTTTCTGCTTTAAAGAATCTCCAAATCAGCCTAAAGTAATACTTTGACACCTTCTCAGGCATTTCCTGAGCATGTGTACAGTCCGATACATGGATATGGCCTTCTAGATTCCCAAGAATGTTGGAGCTTTCCAAAGCCCCTTTGGATATCTCATCCTAAGGCTTTCCTTTTAAGCGTTTTGGTTAGTCTATTGTTTGCCCCTACTATTAATAGTATTTATTCACTGTCCCAGACAGCCTTGATGGAAAAACATTCTACAAAGGTCCCACAAAGAAAAGCTTTTAACACTGAGTGAATTTGAGCAGTGAGTGAATTTGAGTCAATTAATGGCAGTCTTTTCGTGTGAAGTTTACCAGTGAACCACCAGACAGGCCAAGAAAGAATGCTTTCTCATAATGAGGCTTTGAGAGAGCTCCAAATGTGCTCTGCTCCCTCCAGTACTGAAAAGATAGCCTGTTATTTTTCAAGACTCGTGAGGAGCTGAGGAACAGGGGATTGGACTAGATAAAACACCACAAAACTCTCTGTTTTTACCAAAATCCAGCCAGTTTTCTTGACCCAATGATACCCGCGGTGCTGTAAGCCTTTAATTAATTTCAAGAATTCTCTAAAAGTTGATTCCAACTATCTTTGTCAGGTTTTTGTAGTTAGGTTGTGAAGGGGTGAAGTTTTGAGTTCTGTATTCTGCCATTTTCACTGATGCTACCATCTATAACATTTTATTTATTAAAATGACTGTGATCTTTGAAGTCAAATATTCATCTCCCAGAGACCAACTTGGTCAAAGTTTGTCAGTGTGGAATATGTATAATTAAAAATGAATGTTTTGGGGCAGTTTTATTCAAAATAAATTTTAAAATCTAAGGATTTCTACTTGAATTGTCATCTAAAAAGATCATCTATATTCAGATTGAATTTGGATGATATATCAACAACTCTCAGTGATATGTTACACAAGATATTTATTTTGTAATAAATATTTCATCAAAGCCAGGAATGGGATTTTTTAAAGAGATACAATAGTTACATGATTTCCATAGGGGACTCATTATCATTTAAGGGTAATTTTGTCTGACATTTTCTCTGTCAAGTTATTATCTATGCCAGATGACTGAAATATTTTACATCCATATGGCCCTCTGATTTTTTTCAAGTTCTGATTTACTACATGCTGAGTAAATAATCTTTTATGTTAAAGCCAATCACACAGAAAGTATAAAAATTACATGCAGAACCAAGGGATTTTCATACTGAAAACTGACATAATATGTACCGAGAACGCTGTAGAAAACCCAATTCAACATTTTTGCCTCTTCCTTTAAACTTAGGTACTGTGCTCAGTGATGAATAAGTAAAGATGACTGACACAGTTGGTACTTTCTGGGAGCTTCTATGTGGAAAGGCATAAAAATAATGTCATTTAAATATAAGTAATTTATTATAGGCTTTCACTGAATCCTGGCTGATCTAAGATGAAGAAGTAAGTAAATTGAAATCAGGAAACACAACATAGGAAGAAGATATTTAAGCTAAATTTTGCAAAATGAGTAGAAAAGTGTCATCTAAAATAAGCCCAGGGTATTCCAGAAATAGAGAAGCTCACACATATATTAAATATTACAATTTTTTAATCCTACATCCATTTTTCATTTGTTCCTCCTCAAAATTCTGATTTTTTTTAGATATTCACCCCATTTCCACATTGTGTTATGGGAATCTGAACTCACACACATCTCCAGAAGTGGGCTGAATTGGTCTAAGGATAATCAAATGAAAATGTGACCCAGTTCTGATCAATAAAATGAAAACAAGGTTTAGTGAGTGAGTTTATTCTTCCCACCACCCGCCCCCACCCCCCCCCCCCCCACCAGGATGATCTTGAACTCCTGGGCTCAGGGGATCCTCTTGCTTCAGCCTTTCAAAGTTCTGGGATTACAGGCACAAGCGACTATACCCAGTCCTGTGTAGTGCATTTTCTAAAAATGCTTTTCATTTTCCAAGTGAATATAAAAGAAAAAATAATCACATTTGTTACTCCAGAAATTGTTACATTTAGATACAATGTTTGAAATTTACACAGCATCTTGCCACCCATCTAAAATTAAAGCTAATACTGAAATTAACCAAACTGAGAATGGAAAAATGCTAGTTCCTTGATGATAGCTTTGAGGGCTGAATCAACCAATGTTGAAGCAAACCTATCTCTGGACCACTTTTATATAATAAAGTAAGTGTTCCTATTGTTTAAGCCAATTTTAAGCATAATTTACATTAGCTGTGGCTAAAATAATCCTAAATAGGGCAATGAATAAAGACATGTTAGTCTTCACTTTGTTGGTCCTGAGGAAAGCAAGTAGAAAGGTAGAGTCCTTGAGGGGAAGTAGTTGAAGAGGGATCAGCATGCAAGAGGCTTTGTGCTTGATGCTTACAGAGTTGTGAGCTTATGTAAGCCATGTGTAATCTTCAAAAGTTTTAAGTTTCAGATTGAAATAAAAAATAGGCAGAGTAATTAATCTTAGGGGGAAGACAGAGTACAAAATAGAAATCACCACAATAATCTGTGCACAAGAAGAGAAAGACCAAACTTAGCCAGTAGGGGCAAAGAAAGAAGGAGGGGACATATTTCAGGGACATTTTAAAAGGAGAGTCAGTTAGACCTGGGGCCAGTTAAACTTCAGGTAAAAGACAAAAACAAATGATGCATAAGTTAAAGTAAAATTCAGAGACCAAGTTAGACTTAGAAAATGGCAGCTTCAAATAATTATAAGGTGTTAAACAATTTTTAAAAATATATCTTTAATGGTCCAAATCCTGAGTGGCTTAATTTGTATTTCTTAAGCATTATGAGCCCAAGTACTTACTGAATCCATAACCGTTGATTTGTGCAATGGCGGGACCTTATCACATGGGCTGCTAATCATCCCCCAGTTCTGGCATTTTAAAATATTTCATTGAGTTCTGGCTTGCAGTTTCTGATTGGAAATCCTTTCTGGCTCTTTCATTTTGCTCTAATATATATATATTTTAAAATTTTCTCTAGCTGTCTTCAATATTTTCACTTTATTCTTGGTTTTAGAAACTTGACTATAGTATCTCTAGGTGACTTTTTTTGTTTGTTTTTATTCCTATTGGATTTCTATTGGCCTATTGAATATGTGGTTTGTTTTCTTTTAAGAATTTTGGGGAATTTTGAGCCTTTACCTCTTCAAATATTTTTTTCTGCCGTGTGCTGCTGTATCTTATATTTCTAGGAGTTAAATTACACATCTGCTAGAACACACAACACTGAGATTTCTCCATGGCACCTCTTTTTTTTTTTTTTTTTTTACTATTTTTTTTTATTACTCTGTGTTTTGTCTTGGATACTCTCTAGTGACCTATCTTAAAGTTCACTGATTCTTTCTTCAGGCCCTAGTCTGCTCACAAACTTACAAGAGGAATTTTTCTTGTTTAATATTGTGTTTTCTTTTTTGGCATTTACATTTAAATATTTTTATGGTTTTCTTTTTTTCTGATAAAATTTCCATAGTTTATATGTATTATCTACTTTTTCTACTGGAACCTTTAGCATATTAATTATAAGTATTTTAAAGATGCTGCCTCATAGTTCCCAAATCTGGGTCTGTTCAGTCTGGCTCTATTGACTAGTTTTCTTTTAAAAATGGGTCATTTTTTTCCCTTTTTTTTTGTGTTCCCACAATTTTTTAATGCATGTGAAATAGCACGCACAGAAGAACAGAAGAGTAGGGACTGAGGTACCATAGCATATTTGACCAGAATTGTGCAAGCCTCTTCTCATGAATTCTCAACTCATGAATAGTTGACTTTAGTTAGGTTTTTTTGTTGCTATCTTTAACTTTGATGAAACAGTCTCCAAATTCTTCAGGTGACTGGTTGCAGTTACCTTGTGCTTAGTATGGTACCTGGAGAGCCAATGGATGTTTTTCTCAGTATCTTTGCTCCACACTAGGATTTCCACAGTCCCTGGATATCTGCATCTCAGAGAGGACCTCTGCTTAGGCTCTTACCTCTCCCAAAGCAGTAGACTGTTATTCCTTGTTATTCCATGCTAAAGTCGTCATGGGGTTACCTATGGGGATCTCTTGGTTCTACTGGTACAGCATCAGCCTCAGGTAGGATCTATATGATTGGAACCTGTGTGTAGAGCTTTATGAGTATTCTGACTCCTGCTCTCCCAAAGCAGTCAAACTTCCTCATATCTATGGCAGATATTCAAAAGAAGAGAGCTTTCTTCCCCTCCTGCAGAAAGAGCGGACACTTCCTTATTACTGGTATGAGGTCCTGAACCCAGAAGGATTTTGTACTCCCTCCTATGACCAGACAGGCAGCTTTTGTGTCTAACTCTTTCTAAGGATCAGTGGGCCTTTACCTAGTTCCTAGGGATGGGAAGAAGTGTCGTTACCTCCTGCCAGAAGTAAATAGATGTTGCTCCTACTCCTCTCCCGGAAGTGATGAAGGTGAGAGAATTTGCTGACTCCTTCCAATAAAGATTTTGATTTATGAGAGAAAGATTCAATGAAGTGGGTGGCGTTTCACACCTGTTGTCTAATGGCAGCCTTTGACCTCCTCCTCATTAGACAACCAGGAAGAGAGAGCCCTCTCATTTCTTACTGTATCTCCAGTCATTTCTATGAGTACCTGATGGAGGCTCATGGAAAAGCTGGTACTAATTTCCTGAGTTATACACAAATAATGTCAATAAAAGGTATCTGTCTATCTATTCTGTGGAGATCTAAATGATATGAGAGGACAGGAGAGGTAGGAGAGGTGGCTCACACCTGTAATCCCAGCACTTTGAGAGTCTGAAGCAGGAGGGTTGCTTGAGGCCAGGAGTTCGAGACCACCCTGGGCAACATAGTGAGACTGTATCTCTACAAAAATAAAAAGTAAAAAGTGAGCCAGGTATGTTGGTGTTGACCTGTAGTCCTAGGTACTTGGGAGACTGAGTTGGTAGGATTGATTAAGCCAAGGTCAAGGCTGCGGTGAGCTATGATAGCACCAAGCACTACTGCACTCCAGCCTGGGTGACAGAATGAGACCCTGTCTCAAAATAAGTAAACACATAAATTAATAACATGTGAATCCCTTAATTGAGGTCATTTTGTTTCAGAATATAAATAAGAGTTTAGCAGAATATTATGTGAAAAAAAAATGATGTAGGTTTAGATGTAGATGTATATAAATAGATAAATATAAATAGGTTAATGTATATAATAGGTATATACAGTTTTTAACAAGTTCATTTGTGTGCTAAATTAGGCAAAAGTTAGTAAATATACTATTTTATCAAGCTGATTAGATTTCACAGTGAGGAGTTGTAATCAATGTCAATACACAATAAGAACACCCTTTCTCTTTTTGAATTAATATGATCAAAAACTCAGTTGAAATTCAGCAATCCCTGTGTCGCCTGCTCCCAGTGATCCTTTCATGTCATATCAGATAATTTCTAGCATCATGCTAAGGACTGAAAGCAAAAAATGCACTATCTAGATCTTATATGAGTAATCGTTCAATTTTATTTTTTTTAAACCAAAGACTTGTAAAACTTTTTGACCAATATCTCTGGTCAAACTTTTCTATGTCCTAAAACTTCTCTCTCTCAGGAATTTAAAATATCCAGGTATAGACTGTCCAGAAAGTAGATACACTCTCAAATTTGTAAGATCACAGCACTATTTCCTGGCAATCTTTTGACAAAATATATTCAGATAATGGTACATGTGTTTCAACTCCAGTAAGTTTCACATTTCTCATCAGCCTAATTGATTAAATAAATTGCTTCTATGCTCCTACCACATATGTGGCATTTTTGCTAAACATTAGTAATAGAGCTTTGAGCAAGATAGTAAAGTTTATCTGCTTATGAATTCCAAGATCTAATGAGTAAGATAATCATTAAATAGATAATCATACAATTATTTAATTATGATAGTCATGAGTGTAACAAAAGATTAGTACAAAATAATTTTCAGAGCAAGCTGTGGTCATGTAATAGAAGGGTATATTAGTTGAAAGAGAGAAAGAGAAGATATCTCCTATTCCCTATGTTCTTTCAGAATTAGATAGCAGGAGGCATAGCATAGAGAGAGCTATATCTTCAGTCACTGAGGGAGACTCCTGTTAACCTATTTTTAATATTTTCCTAGTTGAAGAATTGTTTACGGAAGAATAGATGGAAGTGTTTTCCTGGACCCAGGAAGTATCATAAGTGTCATTAAAATTATCATTTATGGAAGTAAAAAATGATTTATTCTACTCTTGGAAATAAGTAGTAAAAAAACAAAACGCCATCTGGCATTCTTCCAGTTTGCCAACAAAGTAGTCAAATTAACTAAAATGAGTCTCTCAGTTAGTAATTTTGAATAAATCACTGCTCACAGAAGTCCAAATATAAGTGGATTATTTATAAAGCAGCTCAACTAAAGAACCGATTAAACATGTTAAAGGAAATGAATCAGAAAACAAAGCGTTGTTCTGTTTGTTTGTATGTGTGTTTTAATATTGAAGCTTTTTAGATACATTTCTCTCTCTCTCTCTCTCGCTCACTTTCTCTTTCTCCCTCTCTATATATATGTAAATATATATACACATATGAACCACACACACACAAATCCGTTGTGTTAGCTGTATGTGCTCTAAAAGGTAATTAACATAACCATTATTCTATCTTTTAGCGTTATTATCCAGGCTATCCAAAACACATGTCAGAGACAAATTAAGGCAAGCAGAGACCCTGAAAGGTATCTCAGTAAACTGCTTCTGCCTTGCTTCACACACTACTATAACATTTCTCTTTTGTTCTTTAGTAAAACTGCCCAACTTTTTAGGACAAAATATTTTACACTTTCAAGACTTCTCAATGTCTACTACAAGAAATCAAAGGAAAAATGATCAGCCATTTCAAATGGGTATAATGTGTAGCCATACACTACTTCTCTTGTGTACTTTTACCTTTACTTCTAAATTTCTCTTCCTGGAAATTACTTATCTGATTACTGGATAAGTGGTTTAACTCACCCTGGTTAACTTATCCAGAAGGTTTTATAGGGTCCTATAGAACTATATAATTGTGCCACTAGTATGTACTGTCTAGGAATGATAGATCAAAGTGAATACTAGGTCCAGACATTATTACAGAATTTTTATAAAACATCTTCAATCCTTCAAATTATGCTAGGCAACAGAGAGCAAGTGTCTTCATTGTAAAGATGACAAATAGAAATATTTGAGAAAGCTGAATAAATTACTTTTGGCCACACAGTGTAGAAAAAAGAAGAAAGCCACATGTCAAATACAAGACCTCAAAACAAAATCTCAAAGAATGAAAAAGGGTATTAATTGCATGAAACAGTAAGTGTGGGTTTCTATTTTTTAAAAAGCACTCAAATCTCTAATTAGTCCCATTTTTATACAACAGAACTTCTAAAATCTATCAAAAGTGATTTTTCCAGAAAGAACATAGACTATTAATTTTTTAAAATGCATTTGAAGTGAATAAGTGGTAGAGAATGTAATGTTAAGAATAAGAGGGAGGGCAAAAATTGGGGGAATATTTTGTTTGCTTGCTTAATTAGATTTAGAATGAAGAGAGTGGCAACTTTGAATGAGACAGGGAATGCACTAAGAAATAAGAGAGACTTGAGCTCTGGTCTGCAGCTCCCAGCAAGACCAATGCAGAAGGCAGGTGATTTTTGCATTTCCCACTGAGATACCTGATTCACCTCAGTGGGACTGGTTAGACGGTGGGTGCAGCCCATAGAGGGTGAGCAGAAGCAGGCTGGGGCATCACCTCACCTGGGAAGTACAAGAGGCTGGGGACCTCCTTCCCCTAGCCAAGGGAAGCTGTGAGGGACTGTGCTATCTGGCCCAGATACTACGCTTTTGCCATGGCTTTGGTACCTGCAGACCAGGAGATTCCCTTGTGTGCCTGTACCACTAGGGCCCTGGGTTTCAAGCACAAAACTGGGTGGCTGTTTGGGCAGACACTGGTCTAGCTGCAGGAGTTTTTTTTCATGCCCCATTAGCGCCTGGAGCCCCAGTGAGACAGCACTGTTCACTCCCCTGGAAAGGTGGCTGAAGCCAGGAACACAAGAGGTCTCGCTCAGTGAGTCCCACTCCCACAGAGCCCAGCAAGCTGAGAACCACTGGCTTGAAATTCTCGTGGCCAGCACAGCAGTCTGAAGTTGACCTGGGACACTCAAGCTTGGGGAGGGGCGTCCACCATCACTGAGGCTTGAGTAGGCTCTTTGCCCCTCCCAGTATTGAGGAAGCTGGGAAGTTTCAACCGGGTGACTCACCACACTGCAGCAAAGAGTCTGTGGCCAGACTGCCTCTCTAGATTCCTCCTGATTGGGCAGGGCATCTCTGAAAGAAAGGCAGCAGTCCAAGTCAGGGGCTTATAGATAAAACTCCCATCTCCCTGGGACAGAGCACCTGAGGGAAGGGCACAGCTTCAGCAGACTTAAACATTCCTGCCTGCTGGCTCTGAAGAGGGCAGCAGATCTCCCAGCACAATACTCGAGCTCTCCTAAGGGTTAGACTGCCTCCTCAAATGGGTCCCTGACCCCCATGCCTTCTGACTGGGACACACCTCCCAACAGGCGTCATCTGACACCTCATACAGGAGAGCTCCAGTTGGAATCAGGCAGGTGTGCCTCTGTGATGAAGCTTCCAGAGGAAGGAGCAGGCAGCCATCTTCGCTGTTCTGCAGCCTCCACTGGTGATACCCAGGCAAACAGCACCTGGAATGGACCTCCAGCAAATTCCAGCAGACCTGCAGAAGAGAGGCCTGACTCTTAAAAGGAAAACTAACAAACAGAAAGTAATAACGTCAACATCAAGAAAAAGGATGCCCACACCAATACCCCATCCAAAGGTCATCAACATCAAAGAACAAAGGTAAATAAATAAATGAAGGTGAGGAAAATCCACCTTCAAAAATCCACCTGCAAAGAGGCTGAAAATTCCAACAACCAAAATGCCTCTTCTCCTCCAAGTGATCACAACTCCTCTCCAGTAAGGGCACAAAACTGGACAGAAAATGAGTTTTACAAATTGACAGAATTAGGCTTGAGAAGGTGGGTAATAACAAACTCTCCCAAGCTAAAGGAGCATGTTCTAATTCAACGCAAGGAAGCTAAGAACCTTGATAAAAGGTTACAGGAACTTCTAACTAGAATAACCAGTTTAGAGAAGGACATAAATGACCTGATGGAGCTGAAAAACACAGCATGAGAACTTTGTGCAGCATACACAAGTATCAATAGCGAATCAATCAAGCAGAAGAAAGGATATCAGAAATTGAAGATTAACTTCATGAAAACAGTGGATCTCTCTGCAGACGCCCTACAAGCCAGAAAAGAGTGGGGGACAATATTCGACATTCTTAAAGAAAAGAATTTTCAACCCAGAATTTCATATCCAGCCAAACTAAGCTTCATAAGTGAGGAGAAATAAAATCCTTTCAAGACAAGCAAATGCTGAGGGATTTTGTCACCACAAGGCCTTCCTTATAAGAGCTCCTGAAGGAAGCACTAAATATGGAAAGCACTAAATATGGAAGCACTAAATACCGGCAAACTGGTACCATCCACTGCAAAAACATACCAACATATAAAGATCAACTAAACTATGAAGAAACAGCATCAACTAATGTGCTAAATAACCAGCTACCATCAGGATAACAGAATCAAACTCACACATAACAATATTAACCTCAAATGTAACTGGGCTAAATGCCCCAATTAAAAGATACAGACTGGCAAATTGGATAAAAAGTCAAGACCCATTAGTGTGCTGTATTCGGGAGACTCATCTCACGTGCAAAGACACACATAGGCTCAAAATAAAGGGATGGAGGAAGATTTATCAAGCAAATGGAAAGCAAAAAAATGCGGGAGCTGCAATCCTAGTCTCTGATAAAACAGACTTTAAATCAACAAAGATCAAAAGAGACAAAGAAGGGCATTACATAATAGTAAAGGGATCAATGCAACCAGAAGAGCTAACTATACTAAATATATATGCATCCAATACAGGAGCACCCAAATTCATAAAACAAGTTCTTAGAGAGCTACATAGAGACTTCGACTCCCACACAATAATAGTGGGAGATTTTAACACCTCACTGTCAATATTAGACAGATAAACGAGACAACAAATTAACAAGGATATTCAGGACTTGAACTCAGCTCTGGACCAAGAAGACCTAATAAACATCTGCAGAACTCTCCATCCCAAATCAACAGAATATGCATTCTTCTCAGCACCACATAGCACTTATTCTAAAATTGACCACATAATTGGAAGTAAAACACTCCTTAGCAAATGCAAAAGAATGGAAATCATAACAAACAGTATCTCAGATCACAGTGCAATCAAATTAGAACTGAGGATTAAGAAACTCACTCAAAACTGCACAACTACATGGAAACTGAACAACCTGGTCCTGATTGACTACTGGATAATCAAATTAAGGGAGAAATAAATAAGTTTTATGAAACCAATGAGAACAAAGACACAATGTACCAGAATCTCTGGGACACAGCTAAAGCAGTGTTAAGAGGGAAATTTATAGCACTAAATGCCCACATCAGAAAGCAGGAAAGATCTAAATTGACACCCTAACATCATAATTAAAAGAAATTGAGAAGACAAGAAATAACTGACATCAGAGCAGAACTGAAAGAGATAGAGACATGAAAAACCCTTCAAAAAAATCAATGAATCCAGGAGCTGGTTTTTTGAAAAGACTAACAAAATAGATAGACCACTAGCCAGACTAATAAAGAAGAAAAGAGAGAAGAATCAAATACAGACACTTCTCAAAAGAAGACATTTATGCAGCCAAAAAACACATGAAAAAATGCTCACCATCACTGGCCATCAGAGAAATGCAAATCAAAAACACAATGAGATACCATCTCACACCAGTTAGAATGGCAATCATTAAAAAGTCAGGAAACAGCAGGTGCTGGAGAGGATGTGGAGAAATAGGAACACTTTTAAACTGTTGGTGGGACTGTAAACTAGTGCAACCATTGTGGAAGACAGTGTGGTGATTCCTCAAGGATCTATAATTAGAAATACCATTTGACCCAGCCATCCCATTACTGTGTATATACCCAAAGGACTATAAATCACGCTGCTATAGACACATGCACACCTATATTTATTGCGGCACTATTCACAATAGCAAAGACTTAGAACCAACCCAAATGTCCTACAATGATAGACTGGATTAAGAAAATGTGGCACATATACACCATGGAATACTATGCAGCCATAAAAAATGATGAGTTCATGTCCTTTGTAGGGACATGGATGAAATTGGAAATCATCATTCTCAGCAAACTATTGCAAGGACAAAACACCAACCACCGCCATGTTCTCACTCACAGGTGGGAATTGAACAATGAGAACACATGGACACAGGAAGGGGAACATCACACTCTGGGGACTGTTGTGGGGTGGGGGGAGGGGGGAGGGATAGCATTAGGAGATATACCTAATGCTAAATGACGAGTTAATGGGTGCAGCACACCAGCATGGCACATGTATACATACATAACTAACCTGCACATTGTGTACATGTACCCTAAAACTTAAAGTATAATAATAATAAAATAAAAAAAATTATGAAGGGGATATCACCACTGATCCAGCAGAAATACAAACTACCATCAGAGAATACTATAAGCAGCTCTGTGCAAATAAACTAGAAAATCTAGAAGAAACTGATGAATTCCTGGACACATACACCCTCCCAAAACTAAACCAGGAAAAAGTTGACTCTGTGAGTAGACCAATAACAAGTTCTGAAATTGAGGCAGTAATTAATAGCCTACCAACAAAAAAAAGTCCAAGACTAGATGGAGTCACAGCTGAATTCGACCAGAGGTATGAAGAGGAGCTGATACCATTCCTTCTGAAACTATTTCAAACAATGGAAAAAGAGGGACTCCTCCCTAACTCATTTTATGAGGCCAACATCATCCTGATACAAAAACCTGGCAGAAACACAACAAAAAAAGAAAATTTCAGGCCAATATATCTGATGAACATCAATGCAAAAATCCTCAACAGAACACTGGCAACACGAATCCAGCAGCACATCAAAAAGCTTATCCACCATGGTCAAGTCAGCTTCATCCCTGGGATGCAAGTCTGGTTCAACATAAGCAAATCAGTAAACATAACCCATGACATAAGCAGAACCAATGACAAAAACAACATGATTATCTCAACAGATGCATAAAAGGCCTTCAGTAAAATTCAACACTGCTTCATACTTAAAACACTCAATAAACTAGGTATTGAGGGAACGTATCTCAAAATAATCAGAGCTATTTATGACAAACTCATAGCCAATATCATGCTGAAAGGGCAAAAGCTGGAAGTATTCCCTTGGAAACCATCAGAAGACCCTCTCTCACAACTCCTATTCAACACAGTATTGAAAGTTTTGGCCAGGGCAATCAGGCAAGAGAAAGAAATAAAGTGTATTCAAATAGGAAGAGAGGGAGTCAAATTGTCTCTGTTTGTAGATAACATAATTGTATATTTAGAAAACCCAATTGTCTCAGCCTAAAAACTCCTTAAGCTGATAAGAAACTTCAGCAAAGTCTCAGGATACAAAATCAATGTACAAAAACCACAAGCATTTCTATACAAATAATAGACAGAGAGCCAAATCATGAGCAAACTCCCATTCACAATTGCTACAAAGAAAATAAAATACCTAGGAACACAACTTACAAGGGATGTGAAGGACCTTTTCAAGGAGAACTACAAACCACTGCTCAAGAAAATAAGAGAGGACACAAACAAATAGAAAAATATTCCATGCTCATGGATAGGAAGAATCAATATCAAGAAAACGTCCATACTGCCCAAAGTAATTTATAGATTCAATGCTATTCCCATTAAGCTACCTTTGTCTTTCTTCACAGAATTGGAAAAAACTACTTTAAGTTTCATATGGACCCGAAAAAGGGCCTGTATAGAGAAGACAATCCTAAACAAAAAGAACAAACCTGGAGGCATCATGCTACCTGACTTCAAACTATACGGCAAGGCTACAGCAACCAAAACAGCATGGTACTGGTACCAAAACAGATATATAGACCAATGGAACAGAACAGAGGCCTCAGAAATAACACCATACATCCACAGCCATCTGATCTTCGACAAACCTGACAAAAACAAGCAATAGGGAAAGGATTTCCTATTTATTAAATGGTGCTGGAAAAACTGGCTAGTCATATGCAGAAAACTGAAACTGGACCCCTTTCTTACACCTTATAAAAAAATTAACTCAAGATGGATTAAAGACTTAAACAAAAAACATAAAAGCATAAAATACTTAGAAGAAAACCTAGGCAATACCAGTCAGGGTATACGCATGGGCAAAGACTCCGTGACAAAAACACCAAAAGCAATGGCAATACAAGCCAAAATTGACAAAAGGGATCTAATTAAACTAAAGAGCTTCTGCACAGCAAAAGAAACGATCATCATTTCTAAAGAATGGGAGAAAATTTTTGCAATCTATCCATCTGACAAAGGGCTAATATCCAGAATCTACAAGGAACTTAAACAAATTTACAAGAAAAAAAAGCCATCAAAAAGTGGGCAAAGGATATGAACAGACACTTATCAAAAGAAAACATTTATGCAGCCAACAAATATGTGAAAAAAAGCTCGTCATCAGCGGTCATTAGAGAAATGCAAATCAAACCCACATTGAGATACCATCTCACACCAGTTAAAATGGTGATCATTAAAAAGTCAGGAAATAACAGATGCTGCAGAGGATGTGGAGAAATAGGAATGATTTCATACGGTTGGTGGGAGTTTAAATTAGTTCAACCATTGTGGAAGACAGTGTGGTGATTCCTCAAGGATCTAGGACTAGAAATACTATTTGACCCAGCAATTTCATTAATGGGTACATATCCAAAGGATTATAAATGATTCTACTATAAAGAGACATGCACACATATGCTTATTGCAGCACTACTTACAATAGCAAAGACTTGGAACCAACCCAAATGCCCATCAATGACAGGCTGGATGAAGAAAATGTGGCACATATCCACCATGGAATACTATGCAGTCATAAAAAAGAATGAGTTCATGTCCTTTGCAGAGACATGGATGAAGCTGGAAACCATCATTCTCAGCAAACTAACACAGGAACAGAAAACCAAACACCACATATTCTCACTCATAAGTGGGAGTTGAACAAGAAGAACACATGGACACAAGGAGGGGAACATCACACACCGAGGCCTGTTTGGGGGGTGGGGGACAAGGGGAAGGAAAGCATTAGGACAAATACCTAAGGCATGCGGGGCTTAAAACCTCGATGGCGGGTTGATGGGTGCAGCAAACCACCATGGCACATGTATAACTATGTAACACACCTGCACATTCTGCACATGTATCCCAGAACTTCAAATATAATTAAAAAGTTTAAAAAAAAAGTTGCTTTGGAAATGAGAAAAGACAGTATGTACATTTAGGACAAATTGGGAATAGTTCTTAAAGAATGTGGAGAAAATAAAAAGATATTTTTTAGTAATTCATAAAACAAAATTTGTATCTTAGACAGAGAGAAAGGGCAATAATATGATATGTGGTAAGAAACTGATACCTAAGGAAGAGTGAGAGAGTTCATAGTGGAGTATGTAACATATGGCAGAAGCAATAGTGGCCAGGTTTGATGACACACTACAATACAGTCACACATACTTCTGAAGTTTTCAAGGGAGAAAAGGACAGAAATATGTAAATATAGAAAATGTTTCAATCCAAAAATTGATTCCTGTTCAGATAGAACCTGCAAATCTGCTAGTAATTATCCCAGTCTTATATAAACTAGTTATAAAACATCTGTAAACTGCTGTTAAATATTCATCTTAAAATTCATAACGAACCTCTAGGCACTTTATAAAAGGGTCATCATGGTATACAACAATACACAGAGCTGATGAATACTTACATGACAGGGAAAATAGCACTGGTGACGATTCTAAGTGCTTATATCCATAAAAATTTAGACAGAACTTTGTCAAATGTACTGCCATTTTAAGAGCAGTGTGCTACTGCAAATCCTCAAATTAAAATGCCAGACATTTAGCAGCAATTATCTAATGGATTTTCACTTCCATGGATTTATTCCAAATTTTTTATTTCTAAATGAAAAATGTGTAGCATGATTTCTCTCTGGGAGCATGTGTGAAGTGGAGGCCCCCGCTGTTTTGCTTCTTTGAGCAGAGCTCAGAGAAAAGCATTTCACAGGATGATACTGAAGAGAAGGTGGAAGTGTGCGTGACTATCACTTGTTGTCACCTGAGTTGGATTTTATGTTTTAGCTGTGCTGAATAATACATGAATGGAATATAATGCATGTTAATATTCCTATGAAAGGCCCTTACTCTGCAAATGTTCTAGGTGCATTTCAAGCTAAATTAACTGCCAACCCCCTCCTTTCTATTCTCAAGCAGAAAGCCTACAAATTGAAATTAGTATTATGTTGTATATAAACCACACATTCAAGTCCATGGATTTTTTTCCTTATTAATATTAGAAGCCTCCTATACTGACAAAATAACTTGATTTTCTATTTTTAAGAGAAATAGGTAATAGCAAAATTATAAACTCTTATTTGTCCTATATCTTAGCAAGAAAAAGATGAAGTGTTAAACTTAGGAACCGTGTTAGTTTGAGGGGGGAGGGATAGCATCAGGAGATATACCTAATGCTAGATGACGAGTTAGTGGGTGCAGCGCACCAGCATGGCACATGTATACATATGTAACTAACCTGCACAATGTGCACATGTACTCTAAAACTTAAAGTATAATAAAAAAAAATTAAAAAAAAAAAACAAACTTAGGAACCGTGTTAGTTTGAATTCCCCAGAAAACCAAGCTGGAAGCGAGAAAGAATGCACTAATGCTTTCCTTGGATGATGTAAACCCAGGCCAGAAAGAATGTGGAAAAGGGGAAGTGAGGCATTGGAAGATGTGAAGCCATGTGCAGGTACATGCTACCACCCTGGCCGTTGCTTTACAATAAGCCATGAACAACGGCATAGCAGGTCATTTGGCAGAGATATCCATTTGGCCTGAGAGTCATCCACGAGAGAGAGAGAAGTAATGCAATGTGTCTCTCTGAGCCCGTCATTCTTCTGTTTCATGTTTGAAATTTGCATCATTGGGAAGTAACTTCCTTCCACTTCCATGCAGCAGTATTGGGCCCTTTCAGCTCCTGTTCCAGACATCAGTCCTCATGCTGTGTAGTGTGTTGTTTCATCCAAATCCAGAAGTGAAAGGTAACAGAATCTCTGAGCATGTGCCTGGCTACCATGGCCACCTGGGGACCATCTAACAAGGACATCCAAACACTCTTAGAAGAATGACTGGTCAGCTCCAGATAGTGAAAGCTTTGGGGCCCAGAGGAGGCAACACTGACAAATTGCAGGGACCCATTAAAGGTTAGAATCTCCACCCCATTTCAAGGATAGACTCTCTTCTGCAAAATAATAGGCTGGAAGAGCAGAGACAAAGGACACTCTCCTGAAACAATGCTGCAGGGCACATGAAACAAGTAGCTGAGGTGGTGCCATAAGCCACAGGAAGTACGTAAGATTTTAGTCTAATATGAGGACCAGTGAATTACAAACACAAACATTCATTGGCAATAATGAAGACTTGTACTGGTGAGTGAACAAACATAAGTAAAAATGCTTTCTGAATCAGCAATGAAAATAATAAGTAATATGCTAACTCTTATTTGATTTTTTGGAGTGACTGGTTTGGAGTTGTTATGTTTGTTTTACCTCTTGTCGTACACAAGGTTGATTGAAATGTTTAATATAAGAAATTATGATCAAGTATAGAAAGTAACTGTTACCTCGTGGAAAATGATAAAGTAATTCAACTACAGCATAACTAGCTTCTACTTCATATGAGATAGTAAAAACTGGATAGTCACTAGAGAAAACCGCTGTTATGAAAATTCTTTCATTTTCATCATTCAACAAATCTGTGTTGAAATAAAAAATCTGCCAGATTAAATATTTCACAGAATCCTTTAAGAAGTATTGCCACCATGTTGAGATTTTACTTCCATGCAGAAAGTTAGTTTTGTCTTCTCTAGTTGTATATCTCTCCAGAGATAAAGTTAGGAATGGAAAATTTTGTAAAAGCCTCACTTGACTGGCTCTATATTAAGCTAATATATTTAGCACTTTCAAAATGTATGTCTGTTATTCTACTATAACATTTTAGAGGCAGAGAAAAGAACTCTCAGAAAGTAGACAATATATCATAAAAAGTTCTAACAGTTGAGCCTCGTTATTTGCAGATTCCACATTTGTGAATTCATCTACTCATTAAAATGTACTTTAAAAAAATCAATCTATGGGGCATGTTCACAGTCATTAATGGACATATACAGAATGGCCAAAAAATTAAATTGCCTGATGTTGTGTGTTTCTGGAGAGGGATGAATGAGACACTCTGCCTTCTTATTTTAGCTTTCATACTATAATCTATTTAGTGCCACATTTTTTACATTTTTTGTGGGTATTTTTTTGGTATTGTGCTGTTTAAAATGACCCTGAAGCATAGAGCTGAACTGCTGGTTAGTGTTATAAATGAAAGACTGTGATGTGCCTTATGGAGAAGCCATGTTAGATAAGATCCATCCAGCCATGACTTACAGTGCTGTTGACTCTGAGGTTGTTAATACATCAGTAATATATATTAAATAAGATATCTTTAAACAGAAACACACACAAAACAAGGTTATGTATTAACGAGTTGAGAAAAATATTGCAACCAGAGGTTCACAGGAACGAACCCTGACTTTCTTCTTTCTTTGTTCATTATTCACTAATTCAGTGTCCTTGATGACTTTACAGAAAAATCTTCCATGTATAATGATAATGAACTATATTTGGAAAAGAAAAACAATCAAGAACCACATTAAGGTTATTCTAAACTCTATTTGAATCGAAAGAGAAGACTTGATTTGGGGCAAGCTCTGACACTGACAAATGCAGAATAACAGGGAGCTAAACTTCTGTAAATTCTATTATTCTTTTGCTCCCTTCATTACAAAGAGTTCTTTTGCTAACCGACAGAAAATTCTAAGAATAATCATGGGGCATGGGGGTCCAACAAGTGGCGTCCTTAGATTCAAAAGTAATTGAGAGCTGAGCATAGTAGCTCATGCCTGTAATACCAGTGCTTTGGGAGGCCAAGGTTGGAGGATTGTTTGAGGCCAGGAGTGTGAGACCAGCCTGGGCAATGGAGTGAGATGCCACCTCCACAAAAAAAAAAAAAAAAAAAAAAAAAAAGCCAGTCCTGGTGGCACAAGCCTGTAGTCCAACCTACATGGGAGGCTGAGGCAGAAGGAGTGCTTGAGTCCAGGAGTTTGAGGTTGCTATGATTGCACCACTGCACTCCAGTCTGGGTAACAGAGCAAAACCCTTTCTCAAAAACAAACAAACAAACAACAACAACAACAAAAAGTAATTGAGATAAACATAGGCATCAAACGGAATTCTAAAAGTTAGCATTGTTACTGACAAAAGCTACATAGAAGGACACACACTAGATGCACAGCTAAATGGGCTTTCTGATACTAAACTCCATATTTAAATACAATCAGCCATCCAGGCACAGGCAACACTGACAAATTGCAGGGACCCATTAAAGGTTAGAATCTCCGCCCTATTTCAAGGATAGACTCTCTTCTGCAAAATAATAGGCTGGAAGAGCAGAGACAAAGGATGCTCTCCTGAAACAAAATGAGCAAAGAGTGAAAGTCAGAGGAAAACACTGAGATAAAAGTGCATTCATCAAACAGATAATTCACTCTCTCCCCTGGAGAAGAATGAATGCTGCAGTGTGCTAGGAGTGTTATTCTTCCATGTGGAAGCAGGAAATGAAGGAGAGGCGGGCTCTTATTACACTCTAATAGATAATATTCTAGAGCCATTTCATTGCACTGTAAAAACAAATCATTAAACAAAATTCTGATTGTACAGTGGTACATACAAGTCTACTGACCTCTATAGGAAAAGCTTGCAACCACCACAGAAAGAATGATCATTTAGAAATTTTAAAATTTAAGTGTCTTAAAATGCCAAGTCCTAAGTTCATCTTGATAAATCGGATTAATAGGCTAGCTTTCATTATCATAGGCTGAAGAATTTATCCATTTATAGAAATTAATATTATTATACTTTAAATCTCTCTGAGAATGCATGGTATACCATCAGTAACTGTCATCTAAATGGAATGAGGGCTTGTCTATTTAAACTGACTAGAAATACATTCTAGAAGGAAGTTATTCTTTGTTTCAATCACTAAATTTTATAAGGTCACAGCATGAAAAAAAGCTATAGCTGGGCACTTGTGGCTTTTAAACTCCAGTTATTATCCTTGTCCCCAGTCACAATCACTGTCCCCAGTAGTTTCAGGCTACATTTTAACTGATGTTCCATCTATGTATTTAATTAATTAATAGAATAAATCCTTTGCTGATTAGTAAGATAAGTGTCTTTGCATATGACTGTAATTGCACCCACCCCACTTACACACCTTTTCTTTCTTTGACTGCTTCAGCCATGTCCTGGTTTAAAACTTCCTAAACTGAACTATCAGTGAGTTGATCATGTGCATAAACTTTTATCAAATTAGATGTTCCACAGAAATTTTTAAGAGTTCTGTTTATTATCTCTCATATTAAATTAAATGTTAACTGTTTTGGTTAACAATCCAACATACTAGGAAACAGAGATAACTCTGTAAAAGTAACAGAAAACTGGATAGAAAAATGTTTTTAGTTACTAACTTACAATTTAAAGTATGATAAAGTAATTGCTGCATAATAATTAAACTCCTGCTTCTTTAACACTGTCCAAGGAATAAATATAAGACACTAAGATATAAACCTTCTCTTTGTTATAAGATAGAGTTAAGAAGACAGGACCACATTATAGTTCATGTTGCTCCTCTGAAAAATAAAAGGAAAACAATAGCCTAGACACAGACTAGGGCTACTCTATTGTATTGACATCAACCATGTTCACTTGATATTCATGAGAACTTAAGTTAATCCAGATCTTTAATATGGCACCTAGCATCACAGAGATTATAAGGCAATATCCTGGGCTCAGGTATTGGAGAGTGGAGAAATTAGTAGTTGATGTTATTTCCTTTTTGTTCAGATCATCTCAATATTAGATTTTTTTTTTTTTTTCTTAAGTGTCAGGTGTATTAAAACAAACAAAAAAACACCTCTCAATTAAAATTGAAATAGATGGAAAGGTCCAATGAGATTTTGATAATTTAGCCCAGAATACCATTTGTGATGCTCATTGCTTGTTTTTTTCTTTGTTTTATTATACTTTAAGTTCTAGTATACATGTGCACAACATGCAGATTTGTTACATATGTATACAGGTGCCATGTTGGTGTGCTGCACCCATTAACTCGTCATTTACATTAGTTATATCTCCTAATGCTATCCCTCCCCACTCCCACCACCCCACGACAGGCCCTGGTGTGTGATGTTCCCCACCCTGTGTCCAAATGTTCTCATTATTCAATTCCCACCTATGAGTGAGAACATGCGGTGTTTGGTTTTTTGCCCTTGCGATAGTTTGCTGAGAATGATAGTTTCCAGCTTCATCCATGTCCCTACAAAGGACATGAACTCATCATTTTTTATGACTGCATAGTATTCCATGGTGTATATGTGCCACATTTTCTTAATCCAGTCTATCATTGTTTGACATTTGGGTTGGTTCCAAGTCTTTGCTATTGTGAATAGTGCCACAATAAACATATGTGTGCATGTGTCGTTATAGTGGCATGATTTATAATCCTTTGGGTTTATACCCAGTAATGGGATGGCTGGGTCAAATGGTATTTCTAGTTCTAGATCCTTGAAGAGTTGCCACACTGTCTGCCACAATGGTTGAACTAGTGTACAGTCCCACCAACAGTGTAAAAGTGTTCCTATTTCTCCACATCCTCTCCAGCACCTGTTGTTTCCTGACTTTTTAATGATCGCCATTCTAACTGGTGTGAGATGGTGTCTCACTGTGGTTTTGATTTGCATTTCTCTGATGGCCAGTGATGGTGAGCATTTATTCATTTGTCTGTTGGCTGCATAAATGTCTTCTTTTGAGAAATGTCTGTTCATATCCTTCGCCCACTTTTTGATGGGGTTGTTTATTTCTTGTAAATTTGTTTGAGTTCTTTGTATATTCTGGATATTAGCCCTTTGTCAGATGAGTACATTGCAAAAATTTTCTCCCACTGTGTAGGTTGCCTGTTCACTCTGATGATCAGTTTACAGTACAGCTTAGAGCCACTTTCTTGAATGAAGGAAATGATTGTATTGATCAAGAAGAAATCTTCTCTTTTTTAAGCTCCGCATTCTTTTCGAGTTAGATAGGAACTTTGAGATTAATAGATTCTCTGAAGACTGTTAAAATTGACCCAAAAACTCAGTTTATTAAATACTATTAATAAAAGTGAGTTAATAGACTTCAACGTTTATAAATATTTAATGCATAAAAATCTACTAGTATATTATGAATTTTCTTGTAAGCTTTAATTGAAATACTACAATATAGACAGCATTCCCTCACTGCATTGTAGTGGCAACTTTGTCGTAAGACAAGTGATCTTTTAAGTGTGGGTTTATTTACTTCTGTGCTTTTCATTCAGTTCTACTGGTATATTTACTTATATTTGCACCATGCAGATTTGATCTGAATAGATAAACATTCTTATTTTGCACTACTTCTTCAAGAGAATCATCTTGACCCCCTGAATTTGTATATGAATTTTTAAAATAACTTTTTAATATGAGCAAATTATATATAACCTACAGGGATTTTGATCAAAACTGTTTAGCATTATATTTCAATTGTGGGCGATTTGGCATCATTACAATATTGGGTATTACTATTCATGAACTATTCATTACATAATTCATGAATATATTCCTCCACTTACGTGGTCTTGTAAATTTTATTTCAATAAAATTTGTAATTTTGCATCTGTTATCCAATTTATTCCTGACATTATTTTTTATGATATCATAAATTACATTTTAAAATGTCACTTTCTGTTTGTTGCAGTATAGATAATACTTTTGGATTTTTAATATCAATTTTGTATTCATGTCTTGCAAAATTTACTTATTGATCTATACACTCTCTGTAGCTATTTTTAGGTTTATTTAGGTATGTAATCATGTTTTCTACAAAGAATGACAAGTTTATTTAATTTTTTCTAATCTTAATATTTTGCCATAATGCAATGACTGGAACATCTAGTATAACTTTTAATAGAAATAGCAATAGTGACACTTCCTATCTCATTTACATCTCGGGAAAAAGCTTTAGTATGTCATTGTTATGTTGCAAGCTTGTTACCGAATTTTGTAGGTAGCTACCTTGGGAAAAACTATTCAGGGAAGCTATTCTGTCATTCCTTTCTCTCTCAATGCCCAGGAGGATGGATGATACAAGATAGGCACATTGTAATATGTTTACAGGCCTTCACAGGTTTCATATAATTTATGGTGAATTAATCCAATCATTTTTAAATTTTTGATTCATGGTTCCCTAGAGAATATAAGGGCCAAACCTCTGAGATTAAAAAAATAGACTTGTTTCATAATCTAAATGATCCCTGCTTTCAGGAGGGCCCATTAATATTACTTGGAAACTTCATATACTCTGGGCAAAACAATACTTGTGTCAGAGTGAAAAAAGGACTTCAGTTACTTTCCTGGCTGTCCCAAACCTCTTCCTGCTTTATCTGATCCTGTTTGTACTTTTAGGAGTTTGGTACTGGATAACATTTAGGATTCCTGTGAACATAATTTGACATCTTATTTTGCTTACTATGAAGACGGCCAGAAATAAAAGATTATGCTGTCATAAATGCACATATTTATCATAAGTTGCTTTTTCTGCCTCTTTTGAAATCATATGGTTTTCCTGTTTTACTCTGTGAATGAGGTGAGTACTATTGAATGGTCTTCAAATGTTAAACTAACATTAAGTTCCTTGATTTAATTATCTCAATTGTGATATGTATGTGTTTGAATGTTTTATTGCACTCTGATCAACTTTGCCTTTTAACTGAAGTATTTAATCTGTTAAAATTTAATATAATAACAGGTATATGTGGATATATATTTGGCATTAAGTTCACTGTCCCATTTATTTTCTATATCCCATATTTTCTATTCTTTTCTCTTTCATTATTTTAATTAAGTTACTATTATTTTTATGCTTATTTTAGCTTCTTAGTTTTACAATCTTTTATTATCCCTTTGGTGGTTGCTGTAGATATTTCATAGTACAATCTTTAACATATGATAATTAACTTAAATTGACAATTTTAACACATCTCAAACAATGCAAAAATGTTACAAAATGTTAACTCTATTTACACAAATTCTGCATTGTTATTGTCAGTATATATTTAAATTGCACGTGTATTTTAAACAGAAAAGACATTATATGGTTATTGTGTTAAATAGGCAATACTTATATTGAGAAAACGCCATTTTTACCCTTTATGTTTATCTTTATTATTTATTGCATTCCTGCTTTTCCTGCAAGTCTCATTATATTGATTAACACTCCCATTAATATTTAATACAGTCAGATTTTCTGGTTACATATTATCTTGGTTAGTCTTTGTGTGAAAGACACAAAGTGTCTTTGTTTAAGTGCCTTAAAGTTGTATTCCATTGTCTTCTGTCATTATGTTGAATAATCTGTCATTAGTTTTATTTTTATTCTTTGAAGGTCATGTGACAGTTTTTTTGTCTTGCTGCCTTATATGATTTGTACTTTTGTCTTTGTTTGACAGGTGATACATTTTGGACGCCTATGTTTGATTTATCCAGATGTGCCCTGCTTAGAGTTTACAGATTGTATTACATCTATAAATTGCCATGTTTTGCCAGTGTCTTTCAAGGTTTATTAAATATTACTTCTGTCAACTTCTTTCTTATTCCACTTCTAGGATCCGAAATAGTTGTGGAATATTCATGCTCTGTATGTGTCATATATTGCTTTCAGTTTTGTTTACTATCTTTTTTTTCTTGCTTCACTTCATCTAAATATTTTATTACTGACTCAACTTTTGTTTCTCTATTCTCTTCTGCCCCATCTAATCTACTTTGAAGAATCTTTTAAATATTATTAAGTTTATTATATATTTCACTATTCAAATTTTCATTTAATTTGTTCTTTAGTAGATTGTAGTTCCCTAGAAAATTTTTCTCTGTTCTCTTTTCTATAACATATTTTATCATAGTTTTATTAAGTGCTTGTGTGATAACTCCAATATCTTGATTCCTTACAGAGCTTTTCTACTTTCTTTCCTCCTCCCCCACCTCATGATTTTGTATCTTTTGGTCTTTTTACTGTTAAATCTAGTAATTATTTATTGAATCGACAATATTGTTTAATTTTCCTACACAATATTACAGAGAATCTTGATGATATTATCTTCCTTTAGTCGTATTCAATTTACTTCTATCAGACAGATAAATAATAGGCAGGTCATTTTGATCAAGTTGACCTTGGCTTTAGGCTTTTATTGGTTGACACTACTTCCAATTTGCACTATTCTTAATGTTTACTCTTACATAGTAGTTATTATTTGAACAAAGCCTTCTGTAGTCTTGTCCAAAAGCGCGGGATATTTAATAGGAGTCTTTTATTTGGGAGGGTCCTAAAATTCAATCTGTATATTCCATATATATATATAATATATATATATATATAATATATATAATATATATATATATAATATATATATATATATATTATATATATTTGAGCAGATCTTTGTCTATCTACCTGCTGCTTCCTATTTGTATTCTAAGAGTGTCTCCTTGCATATGTGGGAAACAACAAACATGCCAGGGAGTAGTATATACAGCATTTTAAGCCCATTTCTGTATGTTTCCTCCTCTTTGAGACCTCAGCTCCTGAAATTCTACACATCTTTTGCTGCCTGGAAATCCACCTACTAAAAATGATTCAGACATGAAGCAACATACTTCTGGATTGGCCTTTATTATTTGCACTGAGAATTATACTATTCCTTAGGGGAAAGAACATGTTAACATGGGAATCACTCAGGGAATTTCTCATCACTGTGGCAGAGAACCCCTCAAGTGCTGGCTCCCTTAGTCAACTCTTATGCTTTGAAAGAGTATAATTCATATATATACTCTTATATATACACACATATACATATATATACACACATATACATATACTACTGATATGATTTGGCTGTGTCTGCACCTAAATATCATCTTGAATTAAGGCTCCCATATTTCCCATGTGTTGTGGGAGGGACTCAGTAAGAGATCATCGAATCATTGGGCAGTTCCCCCTATACTGTTCTCATGGTACTGAATAAGTCTCTGAATAAGTCTCACGAGATCTCATGATTTTATAGGGGGTTTCCCCTTTCACTTGGCTCTCATTCTTTCTTGCCTGCCACCATGTAAGATGTGCCTTTCACCTTCTGTCATGATTGTGAAGCCTCCCCAGCCACATGGAACTGAGGAGCTGTGAGTCCATTAAGCCTCTTTTCTTTATAAATTACCCAGTCTCAGGTATGTCTTCATCAGCAGTGTGAAAATGAACTAATACATATACACACACACACATATACATACATATATATGTGTGTATGCATGTAGATATATATACATATATATATAAGATTTCTTTTCATATATATATATATATATTTCTTCTGCCATTAATTTTGTGGTGAAAGACCTGGTCTAATGCAAACTATTGTGTCATGTCTGGAATCAAAATTTCTTATTGTGATAGTATTTATTGTCAAATTTTTCTTTAACAACAATATAATCAATGACTTCATAACTGTTTAAATTAAATAATATAAAAACTCATTAACACAAAGGGAGTCTATGGAAAGTGAAAGTAAATTTTTATTTTTACTCTCTTTATACTATATAATTTCTAAAATACCTAAATTAAATTGGCATCTCTGATTATGGGGAGTGGTATAGAAATAAAAGAGGAGTGATTTTTATCAATCTAATGGTATTCTTACTTCAAAAAACAATTTGAAGGCATATGACATAGCCTGTTATCTTTTGAATTTAGGATGGAATGATACATTTACTTCTTAATTTCCCCTAAAATAGGCAGGCATACCTCATTTTATTGTGATTCTCTTCAATGTGCTTTGCAGATATCATATTTTTTACCAGTCGAAGACTTGTGACAACCCTGCATGAAGCAAGTCTATCAGAGTCATTTTTCAAACTTCATGTGCTCACTTCATGTTTCTGTGTCATTGTTTGATAATCTCAAAATAAGTCAAACTTCATTATTTATTGTATCTGTTCTGATTATCCTTAAGCAGTGATCATTGATTAAGCAGAACATATGATCAGTAATCATATGATAGTATTATTACTATCATAATTGTTTTGGGACACCATGAACCATGCACACTTAAGACAGTGAACTTAGACGATAAATGTTCTGTCTGTTCTGACTGTTCCATTGACCAGCAGTTTCCCCATCTCTCATATCCTTTGGCCTCCTTATTCGCTGATACACAGCAGTATTGAAATTAGGCCAATTAATAATGATATGATGTGTTCTAAGGGAAAGGAAGAGTCAAGTCTCTCACTTTAACTTAAAAGCTGGAAATGACTAGATTTAGTCAGGGAGACATGTCAAAAGCCAAGACAGACTGAAAGCTAGGCTACTTGAACCAAACAGTTAGTGAAGTTGTAAATGCAAAGGGTTCTTGAAGAAAATCGAAAATGCTATTCCAGTAAATACAAGAACAATAAGAAAGTGAAGCAGACATATTGTTGATGTGAAGAAAGGTTGAATGGTTTGGAAAGAAGATCAAATCAGCCACAATATTCCTTTAAGCCAAAGCCTAATCCAAAGCAAAACCCTCACTCTCTTCAATTTTATAAAGGCTGAGTAGTGTGAAAGCTATAGAAGAAAAAGTTAGAAGGTGTAAGAAGTTGGTTCGTGAGGTTTAAGGAAGGAAACCATCTTCATAACATAAAAGTGCAAAGTGAAGCAGCAAGTGCTAATGTAGAAGCTGCAGCAAGTTATCCAGAAGATCTAGCTAAAATCACTGATGGAAATGGCTACACTAAACAATAGATTTTTCAATGTACACAAAAGCAGCCTTCTATTGGAAGAAGATGCCATCTAGGACTTTCCTAGCTAGAGAGGAGAAGTCAGTGCTTGGCTTCAAAGCTTCAAAGGGCAAGCTGACTCTCTTGTTAGGAGCTAATGCAGCTGGTAACTTCAAGCTGAAGCCAATGCTTTTACCATACCAAAACTTCTACAGCTTTTAAGAATTATGCTAATTCTACTCTGCCTGTTCTCTATAATGAAACAACAAAGCCTGAATGACAGCACATCTGTTTACAGCATGGTTTAATAAATACTTTAAGGCCACTGTTGAGCTCTACTGCTCAGAAGAAGAGATTCTTTTCAAAATATCACTGCTCATTGAGAATGCACCTGGTCACTCAAGAGCTCTGATGGAGACATACAAGAAGATCAATGTGTATTAACACAACTCCATTATTTAACCTATAGATCAAGGAGAAATTTTGACTTTCAAGTTGTCTTATTTAAGAAATATGTTTCATTATATTATAGCTACCTTGAACAGTGATTCCTCTGATGAAACTGGACGAAGTAAATTGAAAACCTTCTGGAAATGATTTGCCATTCTAGATGCCATTAAGAACATTAGTGAATCATGGGAGGAAATCAAAATAGTAAAGTAAACAGAAGTTTGAAAGAAGTTGATTCCAAACCTTATGGATGACTTTGAGGAGATCAAGACTTCAGTGAGGAAGAATAATATTTTCAACAAATGGTACTGGGACAAGTAGATATCAACATGCAAAAAAATGAAGTTGGAATCTTACATCACAACATATACAAAAAATTAATTCAAAATGGATCACCAACCCAAATATAAGAAGTAAAACCATAAAACTCTTAAAACATATGGATACACTTTGATTACCTTGGATTTGGAGTAGATGCTTTGGTATGATACTGAAAGCATTAGCAACAAACAGAAAAACAGATAAAATGGACTTAAATTGAGATATTTTGTACATCAAAGGATATTACCAAGAAAGTGAAAAGACAACCTACAGAATGAGATAAATTACTTTTAAATTATATATCTGATAAGGGTCTTGTATCCAAAATATATAAAGAACTCCTAAAACTCAATGAGGCAATCTCCCCTGCCCCCCGCAAAAAAAAAAAAAAAAAAAAAAAAAAAACTGGACAAAGAACTTAAAGAACTTGAAATACACTTCTCAAAAAATGTATATCCAAATGATGAAGAAGCACATGAAAAAAATGCTCAACATCATTAGTTATTAGGGAAAGGCAAATTAAAACCACAGTGATGACTTTATACTCACTGTGATGGCTATAAATAAATACATAGATAACAAGTGTTGGTGAGGATGTATAAACCCTATTCACTGTTGGTGGGAATGTGAAATAGTGCAGCTGCTATGAGAAAATTTGATAATTCCTCAAAAGGTTAGAGGTAAAATTACTATAAGACTCTCTCTCTCTCTCTCTCTATATATATATATATACGACAATTCCATTCCTAGATATATACCTAAAAGAATTGAAAACAGGTGTTCAAATACTTGTACAAAAATTTCATAGCAGTACTATTTACAATAGCCAAAAGGTAGAAACAAGCCAAATGTCCATCAATGGACAAATGGATAAACACATTGAGAACTTTTGCATATGCATAAAATGAAATGTGTACATATTATGTGTATATGCACACAATGGAATATTACAGAGTTATACAAAGGAACTCAGCACTGATACATGCTACACTGTGCATGATCCTCTAAAACATACGATATAGGAAGCCTGATAAAAAGGTCACATATTGTGTGATTCCATTTGTATGAAATAAACACAATAGGTAAATTTTTGGAACTAAAAGAACACACACTGTTGGTTTCCAGGGTCTGATGGGAGGGTGAAATAGGAAATAACTACTTAATGAGTATGAGATTTTATTTAGGGGTAAAAAAGTTTTTTTTATTATTATACTTTAAGTTTTAGGGTACATGTGCACATTGTGCAGGGTTGTTACGTATGTATACATGTGCCATGTTGGTGTGCTGCACCCATTAACTCCTCATTTACATTAGGTATGTCTCCTAATGCTATCCCACACCCCTCCCCCCACCCCCCACCCCACAACAGGCCCCAGTGTGTGATGTTCCCCTTCCTGTGTCCATGTGTTCTCATTGTTCAATTCCCACCTATGAGTGAGAACATGCGGTGTTTGGTTTTTGTCCTTGTGATAGTTTGCTGAGAATGATGGTTTCCAGCTTCATCCATGTCCCTACAAAGGACATGAACTCATCATTTTTTATGGCTGCATAGTATTCCATGGTGTATATGTCCCACATTTTCTTAATCCAGTCTATCATTGTTGGACATTTGGGTTGGTTCCAAGTCTTTGCTATTGTGAATAGTGCCACAATAAACATACGTGTGCATGTGTCATTATAGTAGCATGATTTATAATCCTTTGGGTATATACCCAGTAATGGGATGGCTGGGTCAAATGGTATTTCTAGTTCTAGACCCTTGAGAAATCACCACACTGACTTCCACTATAGTTGAACTAGTTTACAGTCCCACCAACAGTGTAAAAGTGTTCCTATTTCTCCACATCCTCTCCAGCACCTGTTGTTTCCTGACTTTTTAATGATTGCCATTCTAACTGGTGTGAGATGGTATCTCATTGTGGTTTTGATTTGCATTTCTCTGATGTCCAGTGATGATGAGCATTTTTTCATGTGTCTTTTGGCTGCATAAATGCCTTCCTTACACCTTATACAAAAATTAACTCAAGATGGATTAAAGACTTAAATGTTAGACCTAAAACCATAAAAACCCTAGAAGAAAACCTAGGCAATACCATTCAGGACACAGGCATGGGCAAGTAATTCATGTCTAAAACACCGAAAGCAATGGCAACAGAAGCCAAAATTGACAAATGGGATCTAATTAAACTAAGGAGCTTCTGTACAGCAAAAGAAACTACCATCAGAGTGAACAGACAACCTACAGAATGGGAGAAAATTTTTTCAATCTACTCATCTGACAAAGGGCTAATATCCAGAATCTACAAAGAACTCAAACAAATTTACAAGAAAAAACCAAACAACCCCATCAACAAGTGGGCAAAGGATATGAACAGACACTTCTCAAAAGATATTTTGAAGCAGATAATTGTGGTGGTTGCATGATGTTGTGAATGTACTTAATGCCACCGAATTGTTCACTTTAAAATGGTTAATATTGTGTTATATAAATTTTATATTAAAAATCTTCATTTATGGAAATATATTTTGAGGGGTAATAATTAATATGTGATGAAAATCCAAAAAACTACAGTAATTCTATAACCATACAAATTTATATGTAAGAGAAAATTTAAAATGCATTTGGTTTGAGGAAAGATGCAAACAGCCTTAGGACTGTATGTAAGAAAAGATTTCTTGTGAGGAAAATAATAAGAGCAATATTAGCTTCCAACAGAAACTTTGATTGGTATTGTGAGAAGCATAGAAAAATATCAGATTTAATATCATTCTGAGCCATCTCAGTTCAACTTATTAGTACTTATAACTCATTACAAAAAGGACAGGCTTTCCCTTGACGCCCAGGTTAAAACACAACATTTTTAGAGGGAAAAGACATGTGTGTGTTGATTTATCTATAGGTAAAATATCTTAGTAACAAATAACAGTAGAAAAATAGGAAAATAAGCCATGATTGAAAGTATTCAATCAAAAACTTTTAAAACCTAATTTCCAGATTCTGTTTTCTACGCCCAATTTAAAACCCCCAGAAATTAATAATGTATGCTTCCCAAATTACATAGATTTTATGATTACCAAAATGATTTTTACACGTATACACTCACATAATCCCATAGACACACAACCAGAAAGCAACAACATTCATTCCTAGTGAAGAACTTTCAAAGCACTATATAAATGGACTATTTCACTACTTTTGTCTAAGCAAAATTATTAAGTCAAACTAGAATTTGGCATAGATGCAGATATAACAATCAATCCAGAAACAATATATAAGAAGACTTGGATTAACTCCCTAGAGAATTCAAGCAAGATAAATTACAGGCTTCAACAGAATGCATTAGAGATATGTCAGCCGTCTGTAGATGCTTTTAAAAGGAAAGGCTTGTTCACAATCAGAGATCTGTGTGATACTAAAAGGATGCCAAGCAACACCAGTATGTCCTGGAATTGCAGATACTACTTTTATCTCAAGGGTAGAAGCAGTTGGCTTCCTGTAAAATCAGTAGTTTTTATCAAAAACATTGTTTGAAAATTTTGGAATGAAAAACAGAACAGTAAACATATTAATGCTCACATATGACAAACCATATATCATCTACATTCTTAAAATGTTTCTGAGGAGCAAGAACCAGTAGAAGAACTAATGTAGAATATTGCAACACATTTTGTTTAGGAAAACACATGAACCAAATTTTCAATTGACAGTATAATTAAGATATTCTAACAAGGCAGATAAATTTACCTGGTAATAATCTACCATACTAGTGTCTATTTAATACCCTAAATATTTTTCAAAAAAATAAGGTGTTGCCATGACTTTTAAGATATAAAATTGAGATTTAAAACTGAATGAAAAGACCACTTGAAAATCAAATCTTCTGCTTCAAGTCCATATTTCTTTCAAATAGTCACTGAAGTAACTAAAGAAATGAAATATCAGGGAAAGGTCTGAAATAAAGTATCAGGGAAAAGTCATGTAAGCCAAGAAAGCTTTTTCACTTTCCAAACACTCAGAGTATTGTATTAGTTTTCCATTGCGTGTAGCAAATTACCACTAACTTAGGGGTAATTTAAAAAGCATCCATTTGCTGTTTCACAGTTTCTATAGTTAAATATTATCTTAATAGGATTCTCTGCTTTGGGTCTCACAGGCTGAAAATAAAGTGCCAGCCAGTCTGCGTTCTTTTCTAAAGTGTGCGGTTCTTTTCCAGCTTTATTAAAGTTGTTGACCGAATTCAGTTCCTGGAGGTTGTACGACTGAGGTACTCACTTTCTTTTGGACCATCAGCCAGGTGACACTCTCAGTTTCTAGATGCCAGCCTCCTGTCCTAGATACCAGACCTTCTCTGCCAGACATTCACAATGGGACTGCTTGTTTTCTTCTAAGTCAGCAGAAGAATGCCTCTCTAGTGCATCACCTTCTTTCAAAGGGTTTGCCTAATTAAGTCAGTCTCACTCACACAAATCTCACTTTGATTAACTCAGAGTCTACTGATTAGTACACTGTCATAGGTATGATATCCCATCATATATTCATAGTTCTGCCCACTCTATAGGAGAGATGATTTGATAGGGTGTGTACATCAGGGGATGGGAATTTTGGAAGCCATTTTAGAATTTTGCCTATCACAGGTATTATTTTAGAGTTCAGGTTAGATAACATTTAGAGAATGATTAGTCAGTCTTGGATCTACTGTACTTTAATTAATAAGTAGAAAGAACAAGTAGTGATACACATAAGATTTAATTTAGTATACAGTGAGCTACATATGAGAATTTTGGCTGTGGTGAGGGGAGTTACTAAGAAGAACACCATGTGTTAGAACTTGAATACAGAGAGTATTCTGCAGCATAATTCATAGTTTTTTCATGATACTGGGGCTCTATAAAGATGGACAGGGCTAATAAAGGCAGATTATTTTAAGAGCATTCTTTTTTTATTTGCTTAAGAACTGTCTACCATCACCTCTCCCATGATAAATCTAAGAACCCCAGAATTTTATGTCTTATCATCAATTTCCTTTAACTTGAGCAATGGATCGGACAGAGGAATGAATGAAAGGAATACCCCATCTTTGGTCCATATATTCATTGGTATAGTGTCCTGTGATTGAATGGGAGAATGCAATGATTGCTAATTCTGATTCACTCTAAACATCCCTTGTTAACATCACTATGTAAATGTTTCATGGCTTTAAATCTAGAAAGATTCATTTTCATTCTAAGCTAATTAAAGTTGTCTGGTCTTTGAACAAGTTAAGATCCAATTAGATATTTTATCTAAATAAATAAATAGAATATTGAATTACATTATATAAATGTATTCTTAGGGCATATCTTGAGACAGAACTAAGATTTCCAAGTATATCTTACTTAAATTAAAACCCTTCAATCATTTCCTTTGAAGATAAAATAATGCCTTTTTTTATCATCTTACCAATTCCCTTTTAGAAAGTTACTATTTAAATGGCTAATCATCACATTTAGTTTTACAAATAGTTGTGTATAAAAACTAAAATAATAGAAGGATAATAGGATAATCTTCTATTGTTCATATCATCATTAACAAATTATAGTTTGAAATTATTTAAAAACTCTACTTCAAATTTCTCAATTGCTATATGAAAATTTAACATTCAAATAATAAACTCTTCAAATTAAAGCCCTGAAATAGTATCAGTGTACATACATGGAAATTATCTACATGTATTTAAATTTTCTAAATAAGGTAATCTTAAGATACAATAATATATTTTACAATCAATAAGATACATGGAGAAACACTGATTTCATCTTATTCTGCAAGAATATTAATTTCCTAATACCGTTTGGACCTTGTCATGATAAATCTGTGAGAGTGGAGCATTCAAATCAGTGAAAAGAAGTCCAACTTTTCACTAGTCTCTTCCAGTTTGGCATTAGCATTCAAAAGCTCTTGTGAGCAAGAAAATAGTAGTAAGTGGAAGCACAAGAAATTGCACAATTCTACATCCTTAAGTTTTGGAATAAGTGTATATGTTGGGCCAAAATGCAAAATTTTGTCAGAGTTCCCCAATCTCAAACCTCTGTCTGTTCCCAAAGTTAATGCTGCTACTGTCATGGGAGGAATCAGGGTGTGATGGTTTGTGGGTCCTCAAACACTCTTGCATTTGCCAAAGGAGTTGCCTCATAAAAGATTTTCTCATGAAATAATTTTGCTTATCATAATTTGATTGTACTTTGTGAAATAACAACACCGTAATACAGAGATAAGGTCCCAGTCCACAGTTCCTGTAATCCTCAATGATTACCTGATAGACTTCAGAGATGTCATGGGAAAATCATCAGTAGTAATCAAATTGGAAAGATTATTCTTGACTTTATAGGAAGGATCCATTTTGTTTTCATTTCCTTTACTAAATAAGAATCCATAGGCTTAGACAAAGTCACCTCCTCTAAAGGATTAGATTTCCTTTTTGCTTCTCTATTGAACTAATTTTCAAAAGGCTATTTGATTTCTAAGTCACAGTTGCTCTGTAGTTCTTTACGTGTAATGATTTATCTGCTGCCATATGCCCCTCAGATAAATTTAAAAATTGTTCCCCATAAGAGGCAGAGCCTTATATTTAACAGATATAATTGAAAAGGAACCAGGGGCTCCTTGAGAGCTCTGACTGTGCCACTGCAAGAACTCCATTTCCTGAATAAAGTCAATAATAGAGCAGCATGTGAAATCTATTCAAAGCAATATAATTTTGCAGGGGAACAAGTAGATACCAGGTAATATTTGAAAAGTACTCTGTGATCTTAAGAAAAAGGGGTAAAAACTGTACAAAATGCTGTTCCTAAGTCCAGTTGTTTACCAACATGATTTTAGGACACTATCTGTTTATTGGTGACTCCATTATTGTAGGAAAATAGCTAATGCCCTGCTCATTTGAACTTCTTATTTTATTATACAGGAACAACATTATCCATCCTGACCAATCCGCAATTAAACCATGCTATTCTATGGGGCAATGATAACTACCACAGTATAAAACCAAGGTGTGCTCACAAGCACATTGCAATTACTTTAAAATACATGTATGTGCTTTTTGTGACTTGTTCATCTCAGCTATTCAAACAGGCAAGCATGTACTCTATGATGAGGAGAATGAGTTTATTTGCATGAAAATGTAATGTTTTGTAAGAAACAAAATAATGGGATTGTTTCTGCATATTTAGTTATTCATTTGAAGAAAAAAGCACCCTCGAGACAATTGCCTATACCCATGTATAAGCAATATATGGATAGCATAATTCTAAAGCTGCAGCTTGGAAAGCAATTATTTTTATGGATTCAGGCACATAAAAATATGTAGCACTTGGTTTGTTGAAGATCATGCCTTGTGTCACTTATTCTGTCACTTTGGTCAAGCTCTTCATATCCTTTTGTTTCTTCTACCCTCCTTTTCTCCTTTTATTCCTGCCTATTTCACTGTAAAGTATTATTATTGAAAAGGAAGATTGTACAGTGAAAAACAGTGTTGGTGAGAGCAAGAATAGAATTCTTTTTTCTTCCTTAGGCTGAATTGTGAATTCAGAGTGGCATATCAGATAAATTTATAAATATCTTGTCCTAGATCTAATAAAATTGCTTTGGAACTTTTTCCAACATCAATTAATGGTAAAGCGTACTAAGAACACTGTACTGCCCTTAGTACACATTCTTCAAGAAATACAAATAAAGTGAATTTTCAGGCTTTGTCATCTGTTGTGTTTTTTGCAGATGAGTTGGTAAATTATAAAGTTTCCTTTCTTTATTAACCTGTTTTTGCACAAACAACCTCAAAAAATAGTTTACTCAGAAGCTACATAGTCATAACATATCCACTGGTGCTTGGAAAATAAAAAATTTTCCAAAGATCTCATAATAGTCACCTCTGAAATTATACTTTATACTACTTTATTCTTTTAAAACTGATAGCTGCAAATTGAACAAACATATTTTATCATTAAAAGTTTATTTGCATTTTTATTGATAACTTTTTGTATGTTTATTTAATTCCTTAATAATGATTTTATGGATATTTATTGTCCCTAAATTGTCATGCATGTTTGTGTAGAAACAGAAAGTGAATGGCAGAAAACATATTGTAAATACTCTAAGTGACTTCTTGCATATGTAAACAGATAGCTGAATTCGTTTATGACCATCACAATGATTAATTACATTGTTTTTCAAAGCCTTTAGGTCTGTTTGTTCCACTTCTCATAGTTTTGTCACAGGATCCCTGGTGTGTTGCTTCTCTGGCTGGAAACCTCTGTGGCTGGTGGATCCTTTGCCCTAGTGTTGATTTGGCCTACCGGGCTTGTTCCGCCCACTCAGCCTGGCAGTCTGTGCTTGGCTCGCACTACCAGCCTGGATTCCATACCTGCCAAGGGCAAGCCAGGAGCAGAGCAGTGAGGGGTGTGTGAGTAAACAAGCATGGGTGTCGGCCACTGTGTACAGTCAGGCACACCAGCTGTGGTGGGGTAGGCAGCTCCCTACCAGGCTGTTGCTGGACTAGGCATACCACAAGTAGCTTTCACAGCTGGCACCAGGGAACATGGTGGTGCCCGGAAGCTTGGCAACTCCAGGAACTGCAGAACCCCAAAGAGGGTGTCACAACCCTGGCTCGGGGAGCTACTAGGCCTGGGCTCCCCAAATGGCCATGGCTCTTTTCTCCTTCTCCCTTCACTCTTTCTCATCATCTGCAATGTGGTGAGCTCTTTCAACCCTACCATTTGGTGGATCCCAAGTTCTTGTCCCACATCCAGGAAGAATGAGGTATGCAGGCAAGTCGAGGTGGAACAAGGCAAAGAGCTGCTTTATTGAGCAACAGAATAGCTCAGAGGAAACCCACAGTGCGTAGCTCCTCTCCACAGTCAGGTCATTCTGACGAGAGTCCAGCTATCAGTAGAGAGGAGACTCACAGTCGGTAGCTCCTCTACACAGGCAGGTTGTCCCGACAAGTGTTGAGCTCTCAGCAGAGAGGAGACCCACAGTGGGTAGATCCTCCCTGCAGGCAGGTCATCCCAACATCTGCTCAGCTCTCAGCAGAGAGCCACATGGCTAGCTCCTCTCTGCAGGCAGGACATACCAGTCTGCTCAGCTCTCAGCAGAGAGGAGACCCACAGTGAGTAGCTCTTCTTGCCAAGCAGGTCATCCCATCATCTGCTCAGCTCTCAGCAAAGAGGAGACCCAGGGTGGGTAGCTCCTCTCCACAAGCAGATCATCTTGTCATCTGCTCAGCTCTCAGCAGAGAGGAGAACCACAGCTGGCAGCTCCTCTTCAAAGGCAGGTTGACCCATCATCTGCCCAAGTCTGGATGAGTCCAGGGTTTTTATGGGCTTCAGAGAGGAGAAAGTGTGCCCTGATTTGTCCCTGGGTGGCCAGGGGCAGGCCCAGAAAAAGCCCCATAAGTTCTCACACAGTTCGTGGAACTGGTAGTCTGGCCCCCAGGCCTCAGGCTATCCCTGGCCTGAAGGTGGGGTTTTACTGGAGAACCACTCTTTTCTGCCAAGGAGCCTGTCTGCCCTCTGCTGCCATTAACTTGTCCTCCACAGTGCCCCGTTTGTGCTGAGAGGTGCCTGCAGGCCCATGCTGAGCCACTTTTAGCCTCCCCTCAGCCTCCCTTCAGGCTTGTCAGCACCCAAAATCCAGAGGGGGCCAAGGCGGGGGGGGCTGGTGTGTCAGTGCTGCCATAAGTGTGTGCACACCCACCCAGTTTGTGACAGTGGCTGGGCACAGCCACACTTTTGCTCCAAAATCAGAGTGGGTGCCAAGAGCCAGGAGAGGCTGGGCAGTGGGAGCAGGCACTTCCAAGCCTGCAGGGGAAGGTGTACTTCCTGGGCACCTGAGAGTGCAGAGATGCCTGGGTCTGCAGCCACTGCTGGGCAGCTGTGTTCTGGAGGGTTGGGGTCCCACCCATCCAACTTGGAAGAGGGCAGAGCTTCTGCCTGTTCACATCTCCCACCAACTCCATGGAGCAAGCAGCCCTGGCCACACCTCCCCCATTGCAGCCATTATCATGGCAGTGGCCACTCCAGATGGGCAGCCACTGCCATCAATTTGGTTTCTTTTTCACAAGCTTTATGTTAAATTATTAGAAGAAAAAATAAATTATTCTAGATTCAAAACTAACCAAGTTATAAATTATGTTTTGTCATCAGTTTTTTAGGACCTTTATATACATTTTTAATGTAAGTGTGCTTTTACATATCCATTTTATCAGTTATATTAAGTTTTTGTTGTTACATCTCTTTAGTACAGAAACATAAACAAAAATTCCCTTTTCTTTTAGTTACCAAGTAAAATCTCTGCCTATGCTGTTTTTCTAAAAATCTGTACTTAAGCTCAAGCTCTTATTTGTAATTAGCAAACCAATACTATTTACAAAACAACCAATATATGGATATTTCATGCAGTATGTAAAATATAATTGTAACATCTCATGTGAGCCTCAAAACAACCTTATGAGACAATTAACTAAAAATTATGACACCACTTTATGAATAAGAAAACTGAGGAAGATAAAATGTTGTTTCTATTAAGGCCACTTGACTGATCAATATCAGAAGAAGAACACAAAGTCAGGTGTTTAGATTCAAAATTCAGTATGCACTGATGTCTGATAAGAGTGGGAGATATAAACATGAATGAGATACATCCTGCCCTCCAAGAGCTCACAGTCTTGTGTCTGGAACACACATGTAAAATATATCATATCTACAGCCGTAGACTTATGCTCAGCATTCTGTGAATGGGAGCAGATAAGAAAAGCATTTAATTCTATTTGACCTGATCTGAATGGATTGCCAGAAGCTATAATCTTGAACTCAGTCTTAAAGACTGAATAGTTCGCCAGGTAAAGCTTATAGAAATGGTATTGGGGGATTCTTGCCAAGAGAGAACATATCATGCTGGGGGAAGAGCAGTGCACCCAATTTAAGAAAGGTAGAGGAGGCGTAAAACAGAAAGCATCAGTGAACAGACTAGTGGGTTAAGGTATTTGAGAAGCTTGAGTGATTGGATTTTTATCTGGTATGTTATAAATAACTTTTGAAGGGTTTTAAGAAGAGAAGTATGACATATGCATCTTTTAGATAGATTTCTGGCAACTGTGTGAATAGATTTCAGTAAAACGAGCTTAGAGACTGGAGGTCCAGCTAGTTGTGTGTAATTGCCCAGTTAGAGATGGCAAAGTCCAGAACCAGGACAATAGGAGTAGGACAAAATAGAAAAAACTAATTCTGAATAATATTTAATGGGTAAGAATTTATTAATTATTGGATTTGGACATGAGAGACATGGAGGGCTCAAAGTTAATAGGAGAGTGGCACCTTTTATCAACTGAATGAAGGAACACATGAAGAACCAGCTTTAAGGAAGACAGTGTGTTTTTGAGGGGCAGAATTAGTGATGTTTAATTCTCATGTATAAAGACCTTTATAATAGCAGGTGAAGAAATGGGGATGTAGATTTTGAAGTCAGACATTTGTAAGTATTAAAAATGAGAGTAAATTAAATTATGTCTTTCAAGAATTACACATCAAGCAAGAAGTACAATGAGCAGAGAAAGGAAATCTAAAGAACTCTAAGAGTTAGGAATCAGAGCAGGAAAAAATGATCAGATTTAAAGAAGGGAAATAAACAGCACGGTTTCATGGAAACCAAGTAGAGTTTCAAGAAGAAAGGGGTAGGCAATGGCTTTAATTGCAGAAAAAGTTTCAGTAACTGGAAGTGATATTTGGATTTGGCAATGGTTAGAATGTTTTTCTGATTAAAAAAACACATTCAGATGTTTGTTCTTCCTTTGAATCCTCTGGGAAAATACTGCCTTTCACTAGTGCCATAGAGTCATGATTGTTTTTCTTGCTTTAATAATTCTGCAATGAAGTGTAGAAAACAACAACGGAAAGATGAGGGTTCCCTAGCATCCTCCCTGTCCACTTTGACAGTTTCCACTGTCAGTTTGAGTCCTGGAGTGGAAGTAAACCACCTACTCTGACTGTGGAATTCTTAAACCAAACCGGGGAGTCAGATGCAGTCATATCCCAACACACATTGCTCCAGGACTTCTGTCTTATTGACTTGGTCCCTGTCAACAAAGCTCTCCTGGTGTTGATATTTCCTCCTAGGAAATGTTACCACTGTATCACCACCTATTTTTGTTTCTGGTGGTTTGTGTGGTGAATATACACCATTCTTTTTCATTGCCCACCTCCTGAAACCTCTCTTTCAAATGGGAAATTTCCTGCCATGGAATCCTGATAAGTTGACAATTTCAGCTACTTGTTCTATCAGTGTTCATATTACTTGCCTGTTGTATCTTAGATCCATTTCCTTTCTTGCCCTGCTCAGTTCTTTATCACAGGAAAATACAATGGACTTCTGGGGAGGTTGGGTCAATGGAAAGCACTGATGAATGTTCAGAAGTTGGGAAGAGTGGAGAGGCAAGGCATTTTTATGTCTCTCATTCCATCTGAGACAGCATCTCTGTTGCATTTCCTCCATGACTCTAACTCCAGGGACAATGTTTTCCCTCCAGGTCCTAACATTAGCTAGGCATTTTCCATTTGCAGCTTTAGTTACAACCAGATTTTCCTCTCTTTTGAGCTCTGGCTGCACCAGTTGTTTCTCTAGCATCAGAAATATCAGTAGCTTTCTCTTGCTGTTAATCTCTGAGGCTGTCTCACTGTTCTGTTTGGCTTAGCTCTTTCATCACCTGCATTACCAATCCACTATATTAGTAAGATCAAGTGGTTTCCTGGATCTACAAACTAAACTAGGCTCTGACTACCTTGCTTAGTCTCCTCTTTAGCTGACTGCAGGTTGCCTTAGGGACCCATCAATCGGATACATCTATTCTGGAAAGTGAAAAGGTTGCTGGTGCCATAATAAAGACAGAACTAGACCACAGAGAATCTTCTCTGGTAGTTACATGACTTACATTGGGGGTTCTGGTGCCACTTTGCTAATAATGGTATACAGTGCCACATCTGAGAGTTGCAAGAGGTACAACCTGCCATGCCCAGGACTTAGTGGTAGCAGCAGCAATTTAGAAGTATGATTTAGGGCATTGTTACGTCCTCACTGAGTTTTTCAGTCTTCTAGGGAACTCTATACACCATTTTTTCAATAAATTATTTGCCTAAGACAATATAAATTGCTTCTTTTGCTTGCTACTAAAAACACTGACTGATACATATTGAATCATAGGAGTTATATTGAAACCAATGCAGAAGAAGAAAAGGCAAGGGCAATAGTTGTAAGGAATAAGCCTGATTCTGACCAGCTCAGACTATTCCAATGCAATTCTACTTGACAACATCCTTGAATCCCAGATTTAGGGACAGCAATTTGGGTTGTTCTGGGTCAGAGGGTAGAGAAGGTATGGTGCAGGGATGTCTGTAAATTTCTCTAGACACCAACTTAGTTCTCTTTAGTGTGTAGTACTGTTGCCAAGATTTGTGCATCTATCTTCAGGGCTATTTCAATGGGGTCTTGGGAGATGGTTTGACACTATTCATCAGCTAAAATGTCACTACAGTGCCCAGTCTCTGTAACATCATTCTGTTATTTATTTTTTATTTTCCTGTCTCCCAGACGGGACAGTGATCTCCTTAACAACAAACACAGTGTCACGCTGCTCCACATTCTAGGACCTGGCACAGAACAGAAATGATAGTCAACAAATATTTACAGAATACGTGAATGGATTCTGGAGAGCCAGACTGAGAAACAAAATTTTTGTTCTGTTTTGTTTCTGAAAATGCAATCATGGGATTTAGAACACTGTGTTTGAGAAGAGTACACAATTTCATTTAGTTTAACTGTTCTCTAGCCTCCCCCAGACTTCCTCCCTGAAATCTCTCTATAAGATCCCTTCCATGATTATTCAATAAAATTTCACCTCTAGGAAAACTTCCTTGTAAATAGTTATTCCTTCTTCTGTGGTATAATATTACTTTGCACTTATGTGAATTATAAGAATTATTGTATAGCATGATAGTAATGTGTCTAATTGTCTGTATCCTCTTTTAAACTTGGACTGTTTAAATCCAGAGCCATGTACTATAACACCAATTCTTTGCATGATCTCTGACACATTTTAAGAGTAAGGTTCTTCATAGGCACCTTAAAGGGGGTTGATAATGGGATGGAGTCAATGAAACTAATTTCTGCAACGGCATGCAAAATTGCACATGGATACGAGCACTTTCTTTTTTTTTTAACTTTTATTTTAAGTTCAGGAGTACAAGTGCAAGTTTGTTACATAAGTAAACTCGTGTCATGGGGGTTCGTTGTACAGACGATTTCATCACCTAGGTGTTAAGCCTAGTACGCATTAGTTATTTTTCCTGATCCTCTCCCTCCTCCAACTCTCTGCCCCTTGAAAGGCCCCAGTGTCTGTTTTTCTCCTCTATGTGCCCGTGTTCTCATCATTTAGCTCCCACTTATAAGTGAGAACATGTGGTATTTGGTTTTCTGTTCCTGTGTTAGTTTGATAAGGGAAAGTCCATAGATGTTTGAAAATGCTTGTTGAATGTAATTTGATTGAACTACCTATTAAATATATTTCTGTTTTATATTTTAATTTTTATAATACAAACTGCAATATATTACAACAATATAATAACTGATATGATGTTATTGCCATGGACACTCTTTCCATAATAAAATATTAAAAACTGGGATAAGAGAAGAGAAGGAAATACTAGGCGACAATAATCTGTTCTCTCCCATTTGTTTTTTCTCCACTAGATAAGGAATTTCCCAACACTCTGTGCTGAGATGCTATCTATTATGAAATGGGAAGGACAGAAAAGCACCGAAGTAATAATTTTGGTTCGATTCTATTGAGGTATTAATGTCACTTCAATTGGATGCTCAATTTAAAAATTGCCGAATTTTTCTTGCCAGGCTTTTTCAGTTTGCAATCTTTTATTTGAACTCCCTGGGGTCAGATGAGTTTTCAAATTTTGGAATGTTCTACATATCAAAAGAATTATACAGTGCCTTTACTGCAAATCAGACAACACCCTAGCAGAATTAGGGTAGCACCTCAGAGTCCAACACATTAATAATTCGGCAGGAAATTGTAGGAATATTCAGAGTGAGAGGGATAAAGACTATAAATAAAGCAATGTCATTTCAGCTAAATTTTGCAGCCAAAAGAGTTCGATTACGTAGTTTCACTACCAAGAAAAGTTTAGTTTTCACAGTTCAGATATCCAATTTTGGATATCGAAATTGTAGACTTGTATTGGACTTTTACTACTGGACTTTTTGTTATGAAGTTTGCATTAGAACAATTGGTCTTAAACTGTATCAACTTCAAGCTTATTAGAAATTGAGCTAATGGAAAGCTCTTATTGGCAAATAAATAGTGGGAGAAGAGTAATGAGTAAATGAAATGTGGAGAAAGGAAACACTGACATCTTAAATATTATCTGCTACAGAGATGATTTAAAGTTTTAGAGATTATGTATGTTTCGTGACATACATAAAACACACACACATGCACACGCACACTGATAACCAACAGAAAACACAGAACATTAAAGGGTATATAAGCACGATTAAAATTACTTTGGATTCATACATGTGTTAGAGGTTCATTGAGAAACTATGGGGGGAAGTGGAATATGGAACAATGAGATTGCCATGGCCCCTACCCTCATCACGCTTAATCTTCACATATGGAGATTAGATGTACACTCATGAAGCGGTTAAAAATGAAATAAAGGAGCAAGACTTTCTGAGCACAGTGATATTTAGAAAACCTCTGTTTATAGTGTGGACTTAGTAGTAAAATTGTCTTTGGCAGGCAGTGAAAGTGCAGTTTATGGGTCAGATGTTCCAGTTAAGACCTTTCGTTTCCTTGTTTTCACAGGATGATCTACTCTAAATGATATTCACTTTAAAAATTGTTGGAACAGGCCAGGCGCAGTGGCTCAGGCCTGTAATCCCAGCACTTTGGGAGGCCAAGGCGGGCGGATCACCTGAGGTCAGGAGTTCAAGACCAGCCTGGCCAACATGGTGAAACCCTATCTCTACTAAAAATACAAAAAATTAGCCGGACATGGTGGCAGGCAACCGCAGTCTCAGCTACTCGGGAGGCTGAAGCAGGAGAATCGCTTGAACCTGGGAGGCAGAGGCTGCAGTGAGCCAAGATCGTGCCATTGCACTCCAGCCTGGGTGACAAAAGCAAAACTCTGTCTCCAAAAAGAAAAAAAAAAAAAAAAAGGAAAATAAGATCCATCAATATAAGCATCCTATTAAAAAGTAATTTCAAATGAGTAGAAATAAAATATGCTAAGACTGTAAAGTGAGAAAAAGATGGAGAATTCTTTCATGCTGTCATGAACATTTTTTAAGTTAAAATGTTTTTTCAATTAGAATTGACAATAGTAAGAAGACTTCTCAAGAGCATGTTCATCAAAACATGGGAAGACAGTTTACTTATTCGTGTGTTTCATTATGACAATGTGTTTATCAATTATCAGTTACAATTTCTAATATAATAAAACTTTGTTCAGCCACATATTTAAAATGCAGGCTTAACAAAATTATTCTTGGTAATAATGTTTTCATAAAACTATTTCAACATAACAAATTATGATCATCCCTTCAACAGCATTATTCCCCAAAACTCAAAGTAACAGCAGGTGCAAGGGTCGTAACCAAATTCTATTTGTTCCTTATAGAGCAGTAATTCATGGAACTGGGATTTGGGAGACCCTATGATCTACTGATCAGTGTATTCCATCTGCTGCCCCACCAATATCTACCCTTTTCTTCAGAATATGCCACCATATCATTTCTTCAGGAATTATCCAAAGAAACCAAAGAGACAGTATTTCTTTGAGGAAACAGCAACACTATCAGCTTCCTAGTGGGTGGCTTAAGGAGAGTGACAGATGCCAGCCAAGCTTCATTATCAGAGTAATGTAATTGTAACTGATGATTGTCACAGCTTTCAGATTTTCCCCTTGGAGTGTTTCTTTCCTCTGTTGATGTCTTTTCTCTAGATTTTCTCCAGAACCTTTTGCCTTCGCAACTCACTTTCTAATTCTTCTTATTTTTATAACTCTTGTTCTTCTACCTCCCTCCAAAGTCTAGAGCAAGTATATTAGAATGGGAAATTTAAGAACCACAGAGAGTTTGAAAATAAATAAATGAATACAAACTCTTTGGATTACAGGATATTTGATTTAGAAACATTATGTAATAATATGAAATATATTAATTACTATACTTACGTTGTCTATAGAGATTAAGATATGTATAAAATGTGTGAAAGACTCTATGTGAACTAGCATTCACCACAAGGAAAAATTAGTAAACACGTTTTAATCAGATTTTCTTTCCTGTCTAGATTAAAGGCTCAGATCAAACATCTATTATTGATTGAGCTAATAAGAATTTAACTGTCTATTAAAAGTAAATAGCCGTATTCCCAAATTTGAAATGAATTAATACAAAAGAAAAAAATATAAAGTGATTCTGACAAAAGGAAGAAAAATATGAATGACATTTATAAAAAAAAGTCAGTAGTGTAGTTACTTTGAAATCACTGCTGAATGAAGACTCCATCCCCATAAATTTGGGAAACAGAAATGTTTTGGACCCCTATGAATTCAATTAATAAAACATCAAATTGAAGTTCTAAAAACTGCCCAGTGGGAATGGTTTATATAGAATTCAATGCTGAAGTGTTTTTCTCAAATAATTTCTGCTCCCCTCAAAGCGCACACACACACACACACAGACAGACACACACACAAAATATGATGTACCACTATATCACGTTATAATAGCTAACACGTGCACAGACACACACACACATTCATGGACACACATAAAACATAATGTACCACTATATCATGTTATAATATATCAGGAGGTCATTCTCTGTGAGTTAACAAAAACAAATGTAGAATTGAACACATCATTTTTCTTTGGGTCATAAATAATTTATCTTTCAGAGTTACTGCAAACTTTCATGAAATTTGTATGGCAAGTATTCAAGTATTTAACAGATGACTCACTCATAAAAGATTTCAAAGACATGGGTAAACTATGTAGTATCTTACAAGGTAATTTGTACTAACAGAAAAAGAAAAAAAGAGTGGGGTAAAGAGATGAAAAGTTATGTTATTATAAAATGTATTTTGAGAAGTATAAAAAATACCAATCCTCATTAACAGAGAGATCTGTATCTGGTGTGATCAGGTTGAACTTTTCAAATAACACACCAAAGAATCATTTAAGAATTTCTATTATCAGGGTTGGTTTTCTCACGTAAACTCAGTTCTTCCCCTAAGAAAAGGTTCAACACTGGTGTATGTACATCACAAAAGTATTTTCTAATGATTCAGGATTTGCATGTAAATAGTTATAGTATTATAATACTTGGGAAAACAGGAAGGCAAATTTAGGAATACACTTAACAAAGTTCTACTTAAAATAAATCTCCTGAGAATTTCAACATTATCTCAGCTAATTACAGATAATATGCATTTAAACTTTGGCAGTGTCTGTAGACACTTGAGGGGGTATATTGAAGCAAGCATAAAAGTTGGTCTAATCCTAATTATTTTGATATTTCAGTTGTGACAAATGCTGTGTAGATTCCCGGCAAGAACATAAAGAAGAAATGATATGACATGAATAGGTAGATAAGTTGTCATGGGAAAGCACATTAGAAATTTAAAAAAAAAAAAAAGGATTGTAATCTTAACAAACGCTAACAAAAAACAGACAATTTAATAGTGAAGAGATAAGAGCAAATAAAAACCTCCAAGCAATTAGATCCATTATAAGTGATAGTTAATGATATAACAAGTGAGTGTCAAATAGGGATCACCACAGTAAAACAAAATTTTATCCATTCAGCCTGGGATTTTGAAGCCATGAAAAACGTAGACATTGTTTGTTGTTACTGCTGCTTGAAATGATGCCTGATAATATGTAAGATGAACTGAGGTCTTTCAGTTAGAATTTGCTGGAGCATATTTGATGGTGACGGACAAACTGATATCTTCTCTTTTGACCCTTCAACTGACCTTCAAGTCCATCCACTTGAACACGACTTTCCATCAAAAATCTCTTCCTCCTCCCCTGCCTTTCCATTTGCCTTTAACATCCTCTGTTTCAGCTTCTGGCACTATATTGTATTGGAACAAATCATCAGGACTCTACATCACTCCCTTGTTCTCACGTTTTGTCAAGGTCTTTCCTGTCTTGTCTACATACACTTCATCAAGCTTGTCCCACCTGCATCCCAGGGACCGCATGCAACCCAACACACATTTATAAATTTTCTTAAATATTTTAAGATTTTGTTGCCATTTTTATTAGCTCATCAGCTATCATTAGTGTTAGTGTATTTTATGTGTGTTCCAGGACCATTCTTCTTCTTCCAATGTGGCTCAGGGGAACCAAAAGACTGGACATCCTTCACTAGATGTTTGCAGGTTTCTGTAGGTTCATACTTTAGTAGTTAGCAAGGAATATTTAAGATTGAACATTTGAGAAAGCTGCAAACTTATTAAAAATAATGTTTATAAATGAAACTTACTCATTCTTCCTTCCTTCTACAACAGCATCTTAGTTTATCTCCGAGCTAGTCCAGCAGGCCACATGTTTTTCACTCACAGATGTTCCATAGCGTTTCCTAAAACCTTACATTTTCACTTACTTCTCTTATTACCCCCATTCTGGAACTAGCATATAAGAAGTTTTATTAATAACTGACATAGACAGAAATGGTAATTCCACGGCTGGATAAAAGGCCTCAGGTGAATTTTAGCATTATCCCTTTTACAAGATGGATTGACATTAAAGGTCATTACAGCAAAGCTCTTCCACCAATTCACTTCATAAAGAAGAATGGAATCCCAGCACTTTGGAGGCCGAGGCAGGCGGATCACTTGAGGTCAGGAGTCTGAGACCAGCCTGGGCAACATGTTGAAAGCCCACCTCTACTAAAAGAAATACAAACATCAAACAAACAAACAAACATTAGCCAGGCATGGTGGTAGATGCCTGTGGTCCCAGCTACTTGGGAGGCTGAGGCAAAAGAATCACTAGAACCTCGGAGGTGGAGGTTGCAGTAAGCCAACATCATGCCACAGCACTCCAGCTTGGGTGACAGAGCGAGACTCCAGCAAAAAAATAAATAAATAAAAATAAAAAAAGATGATGAAGAAGAATTTCTCCCTAGTATATTTTAGTTAATCTATGGAACTACTGTTTTCCTAATTGTCATCACAAAGACGATTAGACAAACTTGAATCTAGTTAATGTTTTCACAGTATGGAAAGCAACAAATATTAAAAAGTTGGGAGCAACAATGACAAAAATTAGGCAGTTAACTAACAAACTTCAACTGAGAAAAATAGCCTTTATTATTCTAAAAGGCAAATACATTTTATATTATTAGTGCTTTATTAAAACATTTATACTTTAAATAATCAGATATTTCAATAAAGTTTAAGTGTCACTGCTTTCATTGATAATGAGAATCTAATCACCTTAAACATTCTCTTAATTTTTGCATTTGGTTACTCATTTTAGGTTACTAAGTTAAAGCTACTCTTTCACATAAAATTGCTTAAGAGACAGGTTTTATTAATATATGGGATAAGACTCATGTTCTTCATACGTCTAAACAGCATGCAAAAAGAAGAACATGATAAAGTACACTTAAAACATAAAAAGACTGGAAATTATAGTGACTTGTAAATCATAGTATAAAAGGAAATCTTTTTATTATTATTATTATTATACTTTAAGTTTTAGGGTACATGTGCACAATGTGCAGGTTAGTTACATATGTATACATGTGCCATGCAATTTTTGCCCTATATTCAATTTTATTCTATACAGTATCTCTAGCACGATAGCTAATTTGAATTTTTTTCTTAACTCAAGACATGGAAGCCTTGAGTTAAGAAAAAAATTAGCTATCGTGCTAGAGATACTGTATAGAATAAAATTGAATATAGGGCAAATATTTTATTCATTGTACGCTAACTAAGATGTAAAAAGCTGAAATAATAGCATATATACATGCTTCAAGGACAAATATTAACAAATGTATGTTCATATAGCAGGTAGGAGAAAATCTATAGCAGTAAATCAGTCTAGGGTTTTTTTTTTCCTTTTTCTTTTGTCTGTTATATGGCTTCAATAAAATTAGAACTCTGAGCATTTTTCCAGGGTACATATTTTATAACAATTTCTAAGTGAAGTGCAGCTGGCAAGCTCCAAAGCCACAGCCACCTTTGATCACACAAATCTATAGTCTTTATTCTTCCCACACATGAGTAGAAGCTTGCTCTTTACTGGACCAATATAAAAATGTATTAATACTTTATAATGTAATTAATATACCATTTTATTTTTATATATCCATCTCATTACCTTTGCCTTTGAATTTCCTATTCCTAAGAACAGTGCATTTAATTTAGTCACACTCAACTCTTAATTAGTTGGTTCTAATTGGCTTTAAGTTCTAATTTATAAAAGATCACAAAGTCTCTATTAAATGAATATGTTTATAACATTATGACATCTCATGCAGAATAAATTTACAATTATATTTTCTTTTAAATTTCTGAAAGGAAACAGCTTCAGTGATAAGAACGAAAAGGCCAATGAAGAACAAGTAGTGAGGCTTCAGTAATGAATGTGAGAATAAGTAACTACCAGAATCCCTGATGATTGGGCCTCAGCATTTAAAACTGTCTCTGGACATTATATTACTACTAAGAAAACATTTATTTTTAAGATACATTTCCTGGTATCAATGCATGTTTGATTTGAAGTGTTCATATTTTAAAATTTAGTGTAATGGATTGCAAAGGTGTTTACAGAGTAACTTTTTAGGAGAATAAGAAAAATAATTTTTTTTCAGATAACATGTTTGTTACCATGTTGCTTTGTATAGTAAATAATCTTGTACTATTTGGATTAGGGTATGAAATGAATAGAAATTCAAAATGTCATTCTCAATCAATATCTTATTTATCTTTAGACTCTTTCTTGCCCAAGATATAGCATAGTTTCTTGGTCATGGTAGTTATTTCCAAATATTTTAAAATTACAGTCTGTTTAGGGAGAGGAGAAGTTCATTTATTATAAATGGTCAGAAGTGGAGAGTTTTAATTGATAGCCTGTGTATCTGTGTGACTGGAATCATCTAAAAATATATCGATGAAAAAAAGTTTTCTGGTGGGCTTTTGACTTACTGAGAGACAGCTTTTCTATACTCTGCTCTGTGACTCAAGGATTGAGAATCTCAAACAATATTCCTCAGACCATCTGAAAAGAGCAACTATTACAAGGAGATTGAAAGGTGGGAAGAGGGATTCCTACTCTTTTTCCTACTTCTGTCAGCATTACACTTGCAGGAGGTTGGCTCTGGCCACCACCTTTCTTTTAGCATCCATAGTACCAATAACAGTTACAGAGCTTCCTGTTAAAAATCTGGGCACTACATGGAGTACCATGTGTCTGAGCCCCTAGAATCAATGTAACATCACTGTTTCCTTTATACTCAAAGTTCTAGGTAGTTATTGTAGTTTTCTGTAGTTATTTCTGTAGTTATTTTCCCAGGTTTACACCACTGATCCTTTATTGCTCTTTCTACCTTCCAAATCCCAAGTATACAATCCCATCTATTAAATTCTCACTACTTGAAATATCTCATATGGTTCCTGTTTTTTAGATTGTAGCTTAACGATAGACCTATGTTAGGACCTAATATTTACTTGACTGCTTTAACCAAAAGCTTATAAAAGTGGTTACTTTTTTGTTTTTATTTTCTTTTTGGTATCTCAGAGAAATATCTAAGTAATAGGTGAGCCTGGATGACTGTCTGGGAGTTAGTGTTCCATTAGCTGAACTGAGAATCAAAGCATCTTTATATCAGGGTCAGCAAACACTTTTTCTGTAAAGGTCAAGATACTAAGCATTTTATGCTTTGTAGGCAAAGAGGATATTATGCAAGTACTTTTATTACAAGAGAGAAAATAAATATCTACAAATTTTGTATTAATGATAATCAAAATTTCTGTACACTCTAATTTGAATTTCTTGCAGTTTTCACAAGTCACAAAATGTTGGTCTTTTTATTTCTTACCAATATTTAAAAATGGGAGAATCATTCTTAGCTTGCAGGTCAAACACAGTGGTGGGCAAGATTTGGCTACAAAATGTAGTTTGCTTACCATGTTCCTATTTTTGCTTCACCATGGCCCAGAATGTTGATATCTTCCCGGGATTTAAGATGGCTCAACAAAACTGTTTATATTCCAGCCAGTATTAAAACAGAAAACTTCCTTTTAGGAACATTAATTAAACGTTTTGCCTATTTTTGAACTTTATACAAATGGAAATCTATGTATTATTTTATGTTTTGTTTCTTTAGCTCAGTATTATGTATGAAAGGTTTATCTATTTTGTTTTAGGTATTAACAGCTCTACATCATTAATTTTCCTTTCTATGCAACATTCAATTATATGAATATACCACTAATTATTTATCCAATATAGCATTGATAGTATTTGGGTTGTTGGCAGTATAAGAGTATTTCAAATAGTATTTCCTTTTAAGATTGAGTAATTTCTATTATTTTATCTTTAGGTTCACTGATTCTCTCCTTTGTCATCGCCATTCTTCCATTAAATCTATCCAGTGAATTTTTTAAAAATTGCAAAAATCATATATTGTTTTAGGCCTAACATTTAAGTCTTTTAATCCATCTTGAATTAATTTTTGTATAAGGTGTAAGGAAGGGATCCAGTTTCAGCTTTCTACATATAGCTAGCCAGTTTTCCCAGCACCATTTGTTAAATAGGGAATCCTTTCCCCATTTCTTGTTTTTGTCAGGTTTGTCAAAGATCAGATAGTTGTAGATGTGTGGTATTATTTCTGAGGGCTGTTCTGTTTCATTGGTCAATATCTCTGCTTTGGTACCAGTACCATGCTGTTTTGGTTACTGTAGCCTTGTAGTATAGTTTGAAGTCAGGTAGCGTGATGCCTCCAGCTTTGTTCTTTTGGCTTAGGATTGACTTCGCACTGCAGGCTATTTTTTGGTTCCATACGAACTTTAAAGTAGTTTTTTTCCAATTCTGTGAAGAAAGTCATTGGTACATGCACACATATGTTTATTGCAGCACTATTCACAATAGCAAAGACTTGGAACCAACCCAAATGTCCATCAATGATAGACTGGATTAAGAAAATGTGGCACATATACACCATGGAATACTATGCAGCCATAACGAATGATGAGTTCATGTCCTTTGTAGGGACATGGATGAAGCTGGAAACCACCATTCTCAGCAAACTATCGCAAGGACAAAAAACCAAACACCGCATGTTCTCACTCATAGGTGGGAATTGAATAATGAGAACACCTGGACACAGGAAGGGGAACATCACACACCGGGGCCTGTTGTGGGGTGGGGGGAAGGGGGACGGATAGCATTAGGAGATATACCTAATGTAAATGACGAGTTAATGGGTGCAACACACCAACATGGCACATGTATACATATGTAACAAACCTGCATGTCGTGCACATGTACCCTAGAAATTAAGGTATAATAAAATATATATATATATAAAATCATATATTTCACCTCTAAAGTATCCACTCACTTTTTTGTTATATTTTTCTCAGTTGATTTTTTAATTTTTATTCATTGCAAGCATATTTTTTACCATATTAAACATAGTCAACATAAGTTCTTTTCTGATAATTCCACCATCTGGAACATCTGAAGGCTGATCTCATTTACTTTTCTTCTCCTTTGAGAATAGTCACATTTTCTTTTTTATTCTTATGTTAAGTAATTTTGAATTGTATCTTGGATATTGTAAGGATTTGTGATGGAGAATCTTGATTTTGTTATATTCCTCTGAAAAATGTTTATGTAACTTTTAGTAAATAATTTGATTAGGCTTAAACTGCAACCTTTGTCTCACCTGAAATGGATAGCAACCCGATTCTTAAAATGAGAATTTTTTTTTACCTTGTTACCAAGATGCCTATGTGTGTTGTTTATAGATAAGGTACAGACACTTATTGATTGTACACAGAACACAGGGTTTTCTTTCTAGGTTATCTCCATTCCAGGAATCTCTTCTCATTTTCCAGAACAACTGATAATTTTTTTATTAGAGCTTCAGCTTTACCTTTCTGTGCTATGAACATAGTCCACCCTCAGGCCAAATCCACAAAAATAGGGAGCATATATACTAGTTCCTTTCTTAAAGCTTCAACTTCCCTCCAAAATCCACCTACTTTTCTTCACTTCCTGGAGCCCTCAGGTAGTTGTTTTTTGCATTGGTCCAGAGTCTATTCATATTATATTTGGGATGATCAGTATTTTAAAGGTTTACTCTGCCAAGATGGTAGCAGAACTCCACTAATTCTAATGCTGTTTTTAGTGCAATCTTCTGCCTAACCCATCAATTGATTCTAAAATTTGATAATGATCTCCTTCATTTCTCAATCTTTTGTTATCGTTGTTGTTGTTGTTTACAGTTGGTCAGGTAATTTTTTACAAGTTCTTATTTCTTGTTTATAGTTTCTAAATCCATATTTTGCTGCTTCCAACAATGTGAAAATAATTATTTTATATTATGCATTAAATAATTCCAGTATTAACAGTTCTTAGAAATATAAATACAGCACTGGGCACGGTGGCTCATGCCTGTAATCCCAGCTCTTTGGAGGCCAAGGTAGGTGGATCACTTGATGTCAGGAGTTCGAGACCAGCCTGGCCAGCATGGTAAAACTCCTTCTCTACTAAAAACACAAAACATTAGCTGGGTGTGGTAGCAGGCACCTGTAGTCTCAGCTACTCGGAAGGCTGAGGCACCAGAATCATTTGAACCCAGGAGGTAGAGGTTGCAGTGAGCCAAGATCATGCCACTGCACTCCAGCATAGGTGACAGAGCGAGACTCTATCTCAAAATAAATAAATAAATAAAAAAGAAAGAAAGAAATATAAATACACTGTTCAATGTCAGTCATGGGGCTTTCTTCCTTGTGTGTTTTATGTTTTATTATATGTTTATATTAGGCTTTTTAAAGGGATATTATTTGAATTTTCATCTGTCATATTTCTTCTAGTTTTGTACACCCAGGGCCTCTTCAATTTTTCTGTGTGGGATTTTCTGAACCTTAAAATTTGAGAAAATTTAAATTATAATTAATGTGAGGAAGGTCTATGGTTGCAAAATCTCAGCTTTGTGTGTTTGTTCGTTTGTTTTCCCATTCTGAATCTTCCTGAAATAAACAAGTTATCTTGTCATATTCATTGGCTTTCAGGCTACATTTTCTATCGCCCCCTTCATTGACATTGTAGCCTTTTGGGGCTTTTGTTTTATATAATTCTCAATTCCAATTTGTCACTTTGTAAGAGGCCTAGTTATTGTATTAATTTCACAATAGTGCCTTTAAAACTGAAGTCTGGTTTCTAGCCAAAGCAAATGTCCAAATAGCAACTATGGTTTCCATATTTGCTTACTCCTTTGATTATATTTCTAAATTTGCGTAAGCTCAACAATTCATTTAAAGACTTTGCTTCAATTTTTTTATACCTAGGTGTTTCATAATATCTAGTCTACCTAGGTTTTTCAGAATATCTAGTCTACTGTGTTGGTAGAAGCAGAACTTCATACTTAAAGAACCTATAATCTTTAGGCTACAATAGCAATTAAGTATTTTATTTATCCCCTATAAATTAACATAAAATAATATGAAACTATTAAAATTGACCTTATTGCAAACTCTCACTAACTCAATGATTTATTCATATTGAATAGATTGCCTTTTCTATTTTCCTTACATTTCCAGTTCCTTTCACCACATAATCTTTACTTTTTTTCTGAAGCCATTGTTTATTCTTCCAATTTTTCCTGGCTCAAATATCTGTATTTATATAGAATCCCATTTCTTTACCTTCTCTCTGCAAGAGTCATTCAGCCACTTGAGCTCTACTTTCATCCTTTCTGTCTTTATAACTATGTTTTAAAAATTATTTTCATTACGCTTTTGAACACTTAATTTTCTATGTCATGTCACTGTGCAAGACAATCTTCGTGCTTCTATATCTTTTCTTGAACTTACTCTCCTTCAAGCAACTATATTCCCTTTCTTTACTATCAAATATCTTGGGAATATAGTATTCCCTTTATTGTCTCCCATTTCATTTGAAATTATACTGACACAATTTCACCAACGATTTTCTCCTTCTGTGTCCTATGGCCTTTTTCTTATCTCCTTAACCTGGCTTCAAAAAACACTAGACTTATGTTACATTAACTTTACATTATTAACTTTTTTATTTTTCCAAATATCCTTCTTACTAATCTGGTTTTTCATTTTTGTCATTTTGTTTCTAAAATGTAGGCATCCCTCAAGGTTTCAGATTTTGTTGTCAACTCCCTATCCCCATAACTCTCTATACTACATTACTTATTGATGTCTTCTCATCCTAAGGTCCAAAATGTTACCTGCATTAAATTAATTACTAAATTTAAATCTCTAAGTCCCTCCTTCTCTGACAGTCATTTAAGCAATAACTGCTTACGGTATTCTTTATTCACTCCTCTTTTAATTTTGTTATCTAAGCAGTTGCTTCGCTAAGAAAATTATACTTCCACTAAAAGCCTTCTTCCTGCTGTCATCGCTCTAATTCACATCACCTATCAAGTCTCTTTTTTTAAAAGTCATGAAAATATTAACTATTTTTTTATAATTTCAAGTTTTATTTTAGATTCAGGGAATACTAATGCAGGTTTGTTACATGGGTATATTACATGAAACTGAGGTTTGGAATATGAATAATCCAGTCACCCAGTTGGTGAGCATAGTACCCAATAGGTAGTTTTACAGCCCTTTCCCCACTCCCACTCTCCCCCTTCCAGTAGTCCCCAGTGTTTATTGCTCCCATCTTTATGTCCATGTGAACCCAATGTTTAGCTTCCACTTATAAGTGTGAACATGTGATATCTGGTTTTCTGTTACTGAGTTAATTCATTTAGAATAATGGCCTCCAGCTGCATCCATGCTGCTACAAAAGACATAATTTCATTCCTTTTATGGCTATTTAGTATTGCATGGTGTACGTGTAACACACTTTCGATATCAAATCCATCATTGATGGGCACCTATGTTGATTTCATGTCTGTGCTACTGTAATTAGTGCTGCAATAAACACACGAGTGCACGTGTGCCTTTTTGGTGGAATGATTTATTTTCCTTCAGGTATATACCCAGTAATGAGATTGCTCGGTCAAATGGTGGTTCTGTTTTTAGTTCCTTGAGAAATTTCCAAAACTGCATACCACAGTGACTGAACTGATTTATATTCCCATCAACAGGATATGAACATTCCCTTTTCTCTGCAGCCTCACCAGCCTCTGTTATTTTTTTTTTGTCTTTTTTTATAACAGCCATTCTGGCTGAAGTGAGATGGAATCTCATTGTGGTTTTAATTTGCATATCTCTGATAATTACTGATGTTGAACATTTTTTCATGTTTGTTGGCTGCTTGTATGTCTTTCAAAAAGTGTCTGTTCATGTCCTTTGCCCACTTTTTAATGGAATTACTTATTGTTTTACTATTTGAGTTGTTTAAGTTCCTTATAGATTCTGGATATTAGACCTTTGTTGGATGCAGTTTTTGAATATTTTCTCCCACTGTGTAGGTTGTTTACTCTGTTGATAGCTTCTTTTGCTGTGCAGAAGCTCTTTGGTTTAATTAGGTCCCAATTGTCTATTTTCCTTTCTGTTGCAATTGCTTTTGAGGGCTTACTCATAACTTCCTTGCTAAGGCCTATGTCCAGAATGGCGTTTCCTAAGTTTTCTTCCAAGGTTTTTATAGTTTGAGGTCTTACACTCAGATCTTTAATTCACCTTGAGTTACTTTTTGTATACAGTGAGAGGTAGGGGCCCAGTTTCATTCTTCACATATAGCTAGCCAGCTATCCCAGCACCATCTATTAAACAGGGAGTCCTTTAGCCATTGTTTATTTTTGTCAACTCTGTTGAAGATCAGGTGGCTGTAAGTGTGTGACTTTACTTCTGGGTTCTCTATTCTGTTCCATTGGTCTATGTGTCTGTTTTTGTGCCAGTACTCTGCTGTTTTGGTTACTACAGCCTTACAGTAAAGTCTGAAGTTGCATCATATGATGCCCTCAGCTTTGTTCGTTTTGCTTAGGATTGCTTTGGCTATTTGGGATCTTTTCTGGTCTCACATGAATTTTAGAATAATGTTTTCAAATTCTTTAAAAAATTATGTTGGTAGTGTGATAGCTATATATTTGAATATGTACGTTGCATTGGGCAGTATGACATTTTAATATTAATTGTTTCAATCCATGAGCATGGAATATTTTTCCATTTGTTTGTGTCATCTATGATTTCAGCAGTGTTGTGTAGTTTTTCTTGTAAAGGTGTTTTACCTCCTTTGTTATATGTATCCTGGGCAGTGTGTGTGTATGTATTGTAAATGGAATTGCATTCTTGATTTTGCCCTTAGCTTGAATATTCTTGCTGTGTAGAAATGCTACTAGTTTTTTGTATGATGAATTTGTATCCTGAAACATTGCTGAAGTCATTAATCAATCTTAGGAGCCTTTTGGTGGTGTCTTTGGAGTTTTCTAGGTAAAAAATCATATCATCAGACAAGCAAGATCATTAATTTGAGTTCTTGTTTTCCTATTTGGATGAGTTTTATTTCTTTCTTTTGCCTGATTGTGTTGGCTAGGACTTCCTATTTAGTTTACTAGTCTATTTGACCCTCTTCCCTTAATTTACTCTGCATATTCAAGTTGTTAATTTTTCAAGAATATAGCTCTGATTATTTCACCACTGTCTTGCTCAAAAACTTTATTTTATTGTTCCCAGAGTAGAAAAACTGATTGGAATCAGAGAATTCAATAATTTAAGATGCATTTACCTTCACAAAGGGTTCCCACTGATTTGCTTGAGGCCCTCTTGGTTCTAATCAAACTGCATTCAACATTTCATTCTAATATTTTAGTTAAGATGCTGAATACAAGGAACAGAAACCTGTGCAAGCTAATTAAAATAAAGGAAAGTCTGTTGAAAAGACACAAGATCTTTAAATAGAACTAAATAATTACATCCTATGAAACCTGGAGATGAGTCTTGGGAACCTATCAAAGATTGAAGCAATTTCTCAAAGCTTTTTTTGCTTCTCAGTAGCAAATGCATCAAATATAGCTTCCACTGTCCCGATTTCAGGTGATATTTCTAGGATCTCTACCATCCTACTGCTGGAACTTTGTTTCTTAGTTCTAAGATTTAAAAGGCAGACTCTGATTGGCAGCTGGGCAACTAATAGAATGATTCCAGGTAGGCTGTATGTCCAAAGAAGGAGTCACAAGCTGGCCGAGCAATCAAAACTTGTCAATTTGAGAACATATACTATGTCTCCTGCTTTGGGGCCATTGTTTACATTGCGCCTTCTACCTGTAATTGTACCCATTTCTTATTCCTCTTCTTTCCAAATACTTAAACTATTCATTCTTTAAGCCCCCACACAAATGCAATATCCACCCTGAAGTTTTTCCTGATTGTTCAACTGAAAGTAATCTCTCCCTCCTGCCATGGCTCTTTCTCTGCATCTCTGCTACATCAAGTCTTATCTCCCAAGTTAAGCTAAAAGCAGAAGCTAGAGTATCCCCTACAATGCTCAGGTCAGTACGTGTAACACAATACAGCTTGGTAAGTGTTTGCTAAATGGCAAATAGCATTCAGAAGGAAAATTAAAAGCAAAAGTACTTCTAAACCTTAAGCTGAAATGTTTTTTTTTTTTTTTCAGAAAGTATGCCATGTATTGCCATAAGTATTCCCACAAAAAGGAAAAATGATGGACATTAATCTCAGTTACACGAGAGATAGAGAGAGAGAGATGACATTTATGCCCCAGGTGGGAAACTCGCATGATAAATTTACTTTTACTTTTAAGAAGAAAAACAAGAACAAATTTAAAAATCCAATCATTTAATAAGAATTTACTGTAGAACTTAGAGGACTATTTCCATATGTTAAAACCTCACTTGTAGTAATAACATTCTTTGTTTCCTAGCAACAAAACTATTTTCTGTTAACCACGCAATTACCCTCCCCTAAACAGGACAACTGTTGAACTCTGCTGGATTGCTAATCAGTCTATTACCTTCTGCAGAGAAAGGCAATATGAACTCCAGGCCACAAGATAAGATATACAAGTATATTGCAATTTCTTAGTTTCTGCTAGTCTTTCGAGCTCTAAATTGCACAAATTTATTGTTCAGATTATCTAAGGCAAAAGTCTGTTTGCTAGGTAGGGACTGTGATCTATCATTAAGCAAAGGCTATGGAGCTACTGAAGTATGTCTGCACCAAACTGCTAAAATTCATTAAAACATTAGCATAATAACCTTTACTATACTTGAAAGTGGGAACAGAAAATTTATGTTTACTTCAAGACAGTTGCTCTGTTCCTCCATAGTGTACAGTTGATACGTATGCTAGAGTTTGTTGGAATAGTCTGTTAGCTTTTGGGATGAACAGTTCAACATGACTTGGTCTCTGCGACATTCATTTAGCTCATTTTGGCATTCTTTCTTGAAATCTTACTCCTCATCTAGGGCCCTGTCTGGTTTATTAGAGTAGCTTATATTTCTCACATATTTTGCATAAAACTTTTGAACTGTAAACAATGAATTGTATTTGTAATCTCTATACTTAAGGACTTTAACTGTGAGGCATCTCCTACATGATTCTTAGATAAAGAAAGATAAGTAGTCTTCAGTGTTTCATTCATTTATTTCTAGTAACCTCTCTATTCCTAGAGATTCCCAATAAATTGCATATTATTGTCTCTCACAATAATTTTGCTGGACATTTATGTTTCCGTGTCCAAACTGGAGTCTTCTTTAGTAGAATTATATCAGGCGTTTGTGTTTTGCCTAGCCAACATTTCACCAGGGGATCCTTTTAATTGGATTTGTCCTAGGCTTGGTGAATGAAATTCCAATGAAAGTTTTTCTTTGACTTTTTTTCCTAAGCAAGTGTTTTGATTATAGTTAATGATGTCACCAAGGGGTGACATTAGCCCCATAAATAAACCCCCACCAGTCTCTCCAAAGTTCCCTTTTCCAAAATAAGCATGTATTATAAGTACAAATGACAAGTTTGCTATGCAAACACAGCTTCTGAAAACATCCCCTAGTGCTACCCTTTTCCCAACTTAATTATTATCATTATGTCCCTTATACATATGCATTATCTTCTAATACAGCTTTCTATGGGCTGTTTTCTTTGTAGAACAGGAAGAAGTAGCATTTTATCTGAGTTCATGCCTATCTTTAGCGCCTACCAGTGAAACACACATAAACCATATACTCAATAGCTGTGTGTTGAACAAAACTATTTTTGGAGAGGTTCAAGTTTACCTTTTGGCTGACAAATTTTGTGTATGAAGTGATATGTGTGTGTGTGTGTGTGTGTGTGTGTGTGTGTGTGTGTGTTGTCAATCTGACCATTGGAGTAAATGTAACTCAGCATAACAATTTAAAAACTTTTCATTTAAAATAATGATAAAATCTATTATTTTCCCTAAGTTTAGTTTACATAGATCTTGGTCAGATGTAGCATCTTTTGCATTTTTAATATGCAACGGTACCAGTGAATATTTAAGAGAGATAAAAAGTTATTTTATGCTTCAGGATTAATTATATTACTGTGTGGCTGGTGACTTCATATTCTTAGTCCTTTAATTTTTCCTGTTGGGTAATGATATAAACCTAAATGAAAGCAAAATAGAACTTTGAGATCTTAGAAATTTACAAATTCTCTTGTGTTTGGCTGACCCATTTGTTTTATGTATAATGTTTCTGGGTTTGCTGCCTATAATGACCTCTACTTGCTCCTTCTTTTATGAGGAATAATTTAGCCCTCCCATATGTATACCTTAAGGCCCTGTTTAAAGAACACCTACTTTAAAAGCCTTTCTTATTTCTTTCTCTTCACCTTCACTTGTCTTACACTGACCAAACTGTGATAGCAAAGACAGATATTGTAGTGGAGTTGCTTTAGATATCTGTCTCATTAAACCAGAAGCTTGTTAGCATGAATGACTTAGTTTTATTTTCTTTGTATTCTTAAAGACTCAACTAATATCTAGACAACAGAAAGAACTCAATAACTGTGTGTTGTAGGTATATCACTTGATGTAAGTGTATTTTCAAAGGCTGAGTTAATAATATATGTCTATACATAAAAAATATGCATACCTGATAGCAATGATCTTTTTAAATGCCACTTTAGAAATACTATGACAGTAAGTGTCAATGGTGGATTGCTAGCTCAGGAATGATTTCTGATTTATGAATAAAACTATTCATCCTTGTCATTGCAAGGTAATTAATGTAAATTTCATTTGCATATTCTTGGCTTTTTTTTTAATTATTTAATCTTGTAATCACTCCTAGTAATACTCTGAAAAGGTGACCTTAGGAGGCGATTAACATATTTGTTTAAAATAATGGAATAATTGCTTGTTTAATAGCGTAGTGTTTCAACAAGTAAACAATTGATTAACCTAGAAAGAATGCTTCTCAAGCTGAAAAAATTAGTGTACAATGCTAATATATGTCATCTTTTAAAAGAACAAATAATAAATTTATTAAAATATTAAAGGAATCTAAGATTTGGTAGAAATGGACAGACTTGGCCGGGCGTGGTGGCTCATGCCTGTAATCCTAGCACTTTGGGAGGCCGAGGCAGGTGGATTGCTTGAGCTCACGAGTTCCAGACCAGTTTGGGCAACACGTGAAACCCCGTCTCTACTAAAATACAAAAGAAATTAGCCGGGCGTGGTGGCGTGTGCTTGCAGTCCAAGCTACTCGGGAGGCTGAGGCAAGAGAATGGCGTCAACCCGGGAGGCGGAGCTTGCAGTGAGCCGAGATTGCGCCACTGCACTCCAGCCTGGGTGACAGAGAGAGACTCCGTCTCAAAAAATAAAAAATAAAAAAAGAAGGAAAAAAGAAATGGACAGACTTCTAATAGTTGACTCCAATAAAGCATTGCTTTACCATCTTTTGTTTTCTTAGATTTTTTCCTTTGTTTTATTCCTTGATTTGTGTATCTCTTCTGTCTGAAAATTCTCACTTATACCTTAAGCTCAGCCCTGTGCTTTGTACCAATGTCTTTTACTACAGTACTTCCTGTTTCCACAGATTCTACAATCACTCTTCCATCCTTTCTCTCTTTGTTATTTCTTCGCATTCTAGTTCTTACAAAGTTGTTATTTTCACTTCCTATGATGCTTTTCATTTTTCTGGCATCCTCCATGTCACTTATCACATGTTTTTCTACTTTCTGCTGTCACATACTCTTCATTGCAACTGGCAATCTTTTTCCTCTATTTTGTGCCACTGTCCAATTCTTCTGAGCCTATTCTTTCTCATACTCAAGAAGCCTGGTTCTTTTTAAAGAAGGAGAATTCCGGCCGGGCGCGGTGGCTCAGGCCTGTAATCCCAGCACTCTGGAAGGCCGAGGCGGGCAGATCACAAGGTCAGGAGTTGGAGTCCAGCCAGGCCAACATGGTGAAACCCCATCTCTACTAAAAATACAAAGAAAAAAATCAGCCGGGCATGGTGGCGCGCGCCTGTAATCCCAGTTACTCCAGAGGCTGAGAATCCCTTGAACCCGGGAGGTGGAGGTTGCAGTGAGCCGAGATTGCACCATTGCACTCCAGCCTGGGAGACAAACCGAGTCTCCGTTGGGGTGGGGGTACAGGATGGTAAGAAGGAGAGTTCCAATTCAGTTTATCACTCTAACTCAGATTCTCTCTCTTTGAGAGGCCACATAGAATTTCACCTGTTAATGCCATAAGAAGAGATCTCTTTGCATAGGGATCTTTCATATATTTCACAGACTGGAGTTTTTTCCTCCATTTCTAATAAAAACTCGGTTAATAACGTTAAGAAAATTAATCTAGAATGGTATATATTCTATCTTCAATTACTCCCCATCCTATCTCAATTATTTTTATTTTAATTCACAGAATATAATAATCCTAAGAAGTTGTATAATGGTTTTCTATTTATTTCAATGAAATTACGCTAGTCAACACTAAATTATTTAAAATATGCTGAACCTTTTTTATTCACAACTTATCGGCCTTTATGAAAATTAAAAATGTGGGCACTACAAACACTGGTAGTCAGGTATCCTCTTGAGTGCCCAAAGTGAAACCACTTAATACTTCTCAAAGAGCTATAAAATGACAATACTTTTTCTAAGAAATAGCTTATTTTAATAGAATATTTTCTCTTTGCCAAAGCATTATTCTAAAAAAATTTAATGTATTAACTGAGTAGGTCCTCCGTACAATGCTATCAGGTATAGATTATATTTAATCCTGTTTTTCACAGATGAGAAAATTGAAACATAGAGAGCCTGAGTAACAACCAACCCAAAGTCATCCTAGATCCAGGCAGCTTGCAGTCAGGAACTACACGTAGGAGATGCCTAGAAGCATGCCTAGCCACCAACATAGTCTGTAGAGGTTGGCAGATATTCTTTGTTCAATGAATACTTATTAAAATGAGTAGACGCAGTAAGTGAATGAAGTTGAGAATATAGGCAACTGTAAAGAGGTAGGATTCGTTGGTTTAGCTTTCCTCAGTAGCTTAGGCATGCTTTGTGAGAATTTGTTTATAGAAATAATATAGGAAGCATCATATATAACTTAAATCATCTTTTCTTAATGAATTAAAAATAGAATCATCATTCAGCCCAGCTATCCCATTACTCAGTATATACACAAAGGAAAATAAATCATTCTACCAAAAAGACATCTGTACTCACTTGTTGACTTCAGCACTATTCACAACAGCAAAGACATGGAGTCAACTTAGGTGCCAATAGCAGTGGATTGAATTAAAAAAATATAGTACATATACATATGGAATACTACACAGCCACAAAAAAATTACATCATGTCCTTTGCAGCAACATGGATGCAGCTGCAGGCCACTATCCTGAGTAAATTACCACAGAAACAGAAAACCAAATACCACATGTTCTCACTTATAAGTGGGACCTAACCACTGGGTACAGACATAAAGATGGGAACAATAGACACTGGAGACTACAAAAGTGGGGAGGAAGGAAGGGGGCAAGGGTTGGACAACTACCTATCGGGTACTATGTTCATTATTTGGGTGACAATTTCAACTGAAGCCCAAACCTCAGCATGATGCAATATATTCATGTAACAAACCTGCATGTCCTCTGAATCTAAACCTTTTACAAAATTGATTAATTAAATCATCCAATGTAAGTAGTATGTAAGTTTGAGTCATATACCAATTTCATGAAAATGTTATCAATAAAATTGCAATCTTACATTGATTATAAAGTTAAATGTTAATTACATACACATGTGTTTATGCTAAAAGAGGTTTTCTACCTTAGTATTTGTTAGAGTAAAATTATTTGAGAAAAATAAATGACATAGATTTCTGATTTTAATTATGCATTGTTACTTCTTTTGGACTTCATCCAATCCAGTGGATATCCAATGCTAGTTCTTTGCACACATTACATAATTTTATCCCCCAAACCACCCTTTGTATTATTATTGTCATTAGGAGAAATGTTCACAACATTAAATATCATGCATAGCTAGAGCATGGACTATTCAGAATGCAAGCCAGCCATGAAGGGGCTGGGTTCTGAAGGGCACTTGCTGAGTCTAATCCTGCCTTTTTCATTGCTAGGTAGGGGAAATTCTGGGCAGGGCATTCTAGAGGAGCACTCAGGTGACCAGGTTTTTGGGGTGGGGCACTTAGAGGATTCAGAGCAATAATTATTTACCAACTGCTATCCCTTATGAAATAATTTTAATGTGTTTGTGCAATTAGCTGTCATTAGTTGCACAGCTGTTAAATAATCTTCTCTAAATTTCCATTAATTTTAATGGGAAAAAATTATGATGCATTTCACTCTGACCTAAGACACTCAAATAATTTTCAAAGACAGAAAAAAAATGAACAATCAAAAACAAGCCAATATCACGTAAGCTTATCACGTTGACCAAAGGAAGAAGAGAAGTGTCAATAGCAGGTGGAGGTAGGTGGATAAAAGTACTAAAGACTCATACTGGGGAAGGAAATAAATAAAGGAAAATCCAAATGACTGACTTTCAAACATTTTGGGAGGTACATGATTATTGTGCACTCAAACTGCACTTAAAAATGGTTATAACACAAAGGGAAAATACCTGTAGCACACACGTAAAGATACTAAACCTGAGATCCCTTGGAAATTCATGAAACTAGGGCATGCTCACAACAGATTGAAATGTCATAAAAGTACCTACTTCTTCATACCTCTCACCTGGTATAAGAATACAAAGCAAGCATACTAACACAGTTTATAACTGAAAATTGTTTTGTATGATAATCTCTGACCAAAAGCTGATGTCTTGAATAAATTGGTAAACTTCTGTCTCTTTGCCTGAAACTGAAGTGTTAACATTTTTCTTCATAGAGAGTATTCATTTAGTAAATTGTGGGACAGAAAAATGATTATGCTGAGATAAAGTAGTTGATATGGTTTGACTCTGTGTCCCCACCCAAATCTCACCTTGAATTGTAATAATCCCCCGGTTTCAAGGGTAGGTAGAGATAATTGAATCATGGGGGCGGTTTCCCCCATGGTGCTCTCGAGATAGTGAGTGAGTTCTCACTACATTTGATAGTTTTATAAGGGAGTTCCCCCTTCGCTCTTGCTAGGCACTCATTCTCTCTCACCCTGTGAAGAGTTATCTTCCAACATGATCGTGAGTTTCCTGAGGCCTCCCCAGCCATGCAGAACTGTGAGTCAGTTAAACCTCTTTTTTAAATAAATTACCCAGTCTTGGGTATTTCCTTATAGCAATGTGAGTACAGATTAACACAGTAGTCATCTGAAAAGTGGTACAACTTTTTAAGTGTCATTATGCCTTTTAAATATTTGAGGATTTAGCAACCAATAGAGCCATATGGGGCATACAGCTGAGTATTAGACTTGGTCATTCCTATTTCCCATTGAGGCAAATAAGAACAGTGAGAGGTTAATTAACCAAACCTCAGTAATAAAACTAGTAAGATACAGAGTCAGAACTTCAACCCAATTCTGTCTGATTTCAAAGCCTGTGCTCTAAATAGTTTTGCTATGCATAGAGTTTTCCTGTTTATGTCTGTTGCCAATATTTGAGTGATAAAAAATAATTATAGAGTTTTCTATTTAATAAATGGGTAAGCAAGTTATCAGATTTGCAAAGCTCTGTTTTATGTGCAGGTAAAGTTAGTAGATAGTGTCTGGTGACCAGAAGAATACTAAGATGACCCTTGTGACAATATTTCTCCTGCCAATACTCTCTTGCTAGCAATTAAAACTCTACTATGTAATAGTCTTCTACCAGTTCATAAACTTGACTTGGTTTAGAAATTGTCCACAATGTAATATACTCTGGGATAAATAGTAAAGGAAGTTTCTATCATACATAAACGTCACATTTGAATTAACTAACCAGTTTCTTTCCAATGTAATGCCATTGGGAGAATGTTGAAGTATGAGTCAGAAGACCTGAGTTTTTGTTCTACCTTGGTCATTTACTAACTGATTGGTATTGGTTATGTCACTTAACCTTTCCAAACCATATTTCTTTATGTAATGCAGGTAACAACGCCTTTACTACAGAACATTCCATGTGATCATGCAGGTGACAGTATTCTTAAAGCTATATGCCCCATCAACAGGTAACCTTTCAATTTTGTCATGTGAGAGTGCCATAGAATCATATTCTACAGAGGAAAGCTTTAATTTAAATACTGAAATAAGGAGAGGCAGGAAAGGTCCTTAGGTACTTAGTATCAGAGAAGGGAGCTAAAAAATTGTGAAAAAGAGCTAAAAGGAAGGGAGAAATAAAGCAAACTTTACTTATTTTACCATTTTGTTTATAGATGGCCATAAGATTTAGTGTACAAGAAAACAGAAGTAAAGCTGACTAACTAAATGAAAAATAAAATGTAAGTTCTTTTTCACAGGCTGTCTAGAGTCCATTCTTTTGTGGTTCTTATCTTGGAAATGTGGATTTATTTAAAGTGGAAATCATTCTTGCATACTGTTTACAAAAATAAATCATTTCTAAGACTAAGTTAGTTGCCAGATAGAACAAATAAAGAGGGAAAAGAAAGGAGGAAGGAAGAAGCAAAGAGGGAGGGCAGGGAGGAAACAAATTTAAATATGAATATGAAAAATGCAACTTCTTGTAGAGATTTCCTGCCGTGGACATTGGCTTTAAACTTCCCCTGCCACATTATTCCTCTTGTGTTATGGGATTTTATTTGCCAGCACACATCCTGAATGTTGAGCCATTTAGAAATCATCCATTCATAGCTTGGAAAGCAAATAAGGTCAGAACATTTTCAGAGTACAAATAAATTATGACTACCACCTTCCTGACCATCGTCATCTCTGCTGAACTGCTGAATGAATTTAAACTAATCTCTGTCAGTTTTAACCCATAGCAGATATGACCCTGAGACTTTTCTTCAATAAAAGTCAGTCGCAGCAAAATAACTTTGCTTCATTAGTAAACAGCCATAACTTCAGCAATATCTAGCTGTTAGTTAATAAGCAATGACTCTTCCTGGAGGTACCCGGAGCACAAATCATAAAAAATTGCAACCATTGCCATTTAGTTTCATTTCAACATATAACTAAAGTTAATGCTAGTTTCAGAAAAACATATAACTTACTAATATGTCTATCACTGTGCTATATTTACTATAGTCAGTGCTTTTACTTTTAATATCATAAATATCTTTTAAACTTGAGAAACAATGACAATATTTCTAAACATTACAAAATGTTAAAAATACTTGCAATGTAAACTCATGATTCTAGTGAAAAATAAGAGAATATTTTATTCACTGTTGTACATCCCATATGTTATTGTAAAGTAACTTATCCGTCAACCATAACTTTAAATGTGTTCGAGTATTTATATCTGTGAACTCTACCACTACTTTTTTCTTCTCTAATTTCATTGAAAAAAGCTTACAGATATAGATGTAACACTATTTTTAATCTTCCTTTCAATTTTGGCCATAAGATAAACTGAAGAACTGAGAACTCTTACTATGTCTAAGAAACAGCTGAGTGAGGTTGCTTTCATCTGTAATCCCAGCACTTTGGGAGGATGAGGTGGAAGGATTGCTTTAGGCCAGGAGTTCAAGACCAACCTGGGTGACAGAGTGAGACTCTATCTCAAAAAATAAAAAGAAAAGAAAAAAAAAAAAGAAAGAAAAGAAGATAAACGAAATAGTATAGGTTGTGGTAATCATTATACAATGTATGAATACATCAAATCATCACATTGTATACTTTGAATATATACAATTTTTATTTGACGATTATACTTCAATAAAGCTGGAAAAAGTAAAGTACATCTTTTATAGGCAAAAAAGAGAGACTTAGAAAGTCAGTAACATCCTATGTACTTTTTATTCCTTTGGAAAGGCAGAGGAGATATGTAAGGGAGAAAGAGAGATGTTTCAGTGTCCAAAGATGCCCTGAAGATATTGTATTAGTGATGAAAATATGAAGACATTTGATTACAAAGGCTAACCACCTGTTTAGTCTATCCTTAAAAAAGTGTCCTTACATGACCCCCAAAGCTAGAAAATGCTAATGAAGGCCTAGATTCCGGGGTATCCATTGTGTTCATACTTGACCTTTCTTCTCTCACCAATAGACCTATCAAAGCAAGCATTAATAATACATGTAATGTGATCCTTCTATCAGTATTCAGTCTTTATTTACCCACTGGAATCATTTTCTTTCTAGCAGAGTGGAACAAAACCTCGTTGACAACACAGTGACAAAATCATAACCTCCCTTGAAATAAATGTGGGCGTATTCCATAACTTACTATGAAATTGTTTTTTTCATACAAAACATATCCCTGAATTTTTATTAATTTCAAAGTAGAAATATGAGTCTACAAATATATAATTCATGTTTACTTGCCTTTCAATTATATATATGTTTATGTAAGTTTGTATGTATTATGAATGCTTACCATGCGCCAGGCTTTCTATTCAGTGCTGAGCACCTAGCAATGAAAATCAAAGTCAAAATTCCTTTCTCATAGGAAACCAAAATCAACAACAAAACAAATAATAGAATCTCATGTAATGATTAATACTATAAAACATTTCCATCACAATGAACATATTCAAATTATTAAACCTGGCTAATCACATATGTATAAATACATTTTTCTTGAATTAGGGTAAATAAATTTTATATTTAATTAAAAAACAAAAAACAAAAAATATATTTATAGTATAAAAACATTATTAAATTATTAAACCACATGGGTCATTCTTTTATGATTTTGAGTGCTTTTTTTTTTTTGAGGTGGAGTGTCGCTGTGTCACCAGGCTGAAGCAATCTTGGCTCACTGCAATCTCTGCCTCTCGGGTTCAAGAGATTCTTCTGCCTCAGCCCCCCGAGTAGCTGGGACTATAGGCACACACTGCCACGCTCAGCTAACTTTTGTATTTTTAGTATAGATGGGGTTTCACCATGTTGGCCATATTTTTATAAAAAGTTCAAATTAATATACGTAACATGTATAAATACTATCCTTCAGATAAAATACTAAATGGTTTTATTTAAAGTGTTCCCAAAATAATTTAAAATGGATTAAAATTATTATTGCAAGTCAAGCTTTTTGAGTGTGTATGTTTTGCTAATATTTGAGCAATAGGAGGGTTATCAATTTCAGTGTAAGATCTACTCAAATTTATTTTATGTTATACATGTGCCTGTACCAAAGTGGCATCTGGTATACTTCATTTTCTAGCAAGTATCATGCTTTAGGTAAAAATATACATTGATTATTGGTAAGATTTGTAACACAAAATGCCAATCATGGGAAAGTCAGCCCTTGTTGTAGTACCAGCCAGACGAAATGTTTCTGATATTTTTACATAAGTGCCTTTTGGCGCTACTCAAATCATACCCAAGTGGTGACTTCCTATTTTGCTTCCCCCCAGGATATGCTGGATATATCTCTCAGAAGAGATCGTTCACTATTAAAATAAATTGCTTTCAGCTGTGAATATTTAATTGGCAATAATAAGCAGCAAAGATGGTGTAAAATATCTGTTACTAGTTAACCATGATACAAGTAGGTTGGAATCGAGACCACGTTGTCCCTAAATTATTCTACTCTTACTTGGTGGGATAATTTAAAGAAACGTCTGACTGAATAAAAACCAAAAGTCCTGCTTCAGCTGTACAATTTAACAGGAAAATACAGAAACATTAAGCAGAAGATCCTGTTATATTCATTTGGGCTATGATGTGTAATTCAGGAAACACACTCTTAATAGGCTCTTCCAGAATACAGAGGCCTCCCATTATAGCTGGCCAGGTGAAGCTTTCTGAAGGAATGAGTGACAGATGTAGTGCATCTGCATTGACCCCTGTAGGATCAAGGGATCCATCCAGGTTGATGAGGTCTTGGTAAGGTGTTGGTAAGGTGTCATGTGCAGCACCACAGGCAAAATACAGTATAAGATACTTTTCAAGAGACTCAAAAGGGTAATGAGTGTCCAGGTGCTGAGACAAACATCCCACAGATGAGAACTGTACCCAACTGACAACGCAAATTTTACACACACTACATTAGGACAGCAGAGGGGTAACTTGCATTAGGAAAGGATTTTTCACTTCAAGTATCTTTTTAAAAAAGAATCTCCCAGGCCAAATGCAGTGGGTCACGCCTGTAATTCCAGCACTTTGGGAGACTGAGGCGGGTGGATTGCTTGGGCCCAGGAGTTTGAGACCAGCCTGGGCAACATGACAAAACCTTGTCTCCCCATCAAATACAAAGATTAGCTGGGTGTGGTAGTGAGTGCCTGTAGTCCCAGCTACTGAGGAGGCTGAGGTGGGAGAATCACTTGGGCCCAGGAGGCTGAGGCTGCAGTGAGCCAAGATCACGCCATTGCACTCCAGCCTGGGTGACAGAGCAAAACCTTGTCTCAAAAAAAAAAAAAAAAAAAAAGAGCTCCCCTAGTATACTTTGTTCAGTAACTTTATTAACAAAAAAAAAACTATATATATTTAAAGCATATCAGTTGATAAGTTTCAATATATGTATGAAATATTACAATCATGATAATAAATATATTCGTTACCCTCAAAAGATTGCTCACACTCCTTTCTAATTCATTCCACTCAGATTTACCCCTGTCCCCAGACAACCACTAGTTTCTTTCACCATAGATTAGATTGCATTTCCTAAAATTTTACATAAATGGAATCATCTAGTATGTGTATCTGTGACTAGCTTCCTTCACTCAGCATAATATTTCAAGATTAATTCATGTTTCCACATACATCAATACTCTTTTTTAATGCTGAATACTATTCATGGTATGATATGTTAGTTTGCTTTTTCATTCATCTGTTGATGGCAATATGGTTTGTTTTCTGTTTTGGACTATTAGAAATAATGTCAATATGAATGTCCATATACAAAATTCTGTATAAATATATGCCTTCATATACCACATATTTGCAAGTCACATGCAAAATAACGTGTTTTTAGAATATACAAGAAGTTCTCAAAATTCAGTAATATGAAAACAAATGGTAATATCAATAAAAGTGAACCAAAAATCTGAACAAATACTTCACTAAATAAAATATATAGATGGCAAATAAGTACATGAAAACAATACTTAAAATCATTAGGAAAATACAAATTAAAACCACAGTGCTATTAGTCCCTTATCAGACAGATGGTTTGCAAATATTTTCTTCAATTCCAGGGATTTCCCCCTTTTCAATCTGTTCATTGTTTCCTTTGCTATGCAGAAGTTTTTTGTTTGATGTAGTCCCGCTTCTCAGTTTCTTATTTTGTTGCCTGTACTTTGGGTGTCAAATCCAATAAATCATTGCCAAGACCAGTGTCAGGAAGATTTTTCCCTGTTTTCTGAAAGAAGTTTTATAGCTTCACATATTTGCTTTTAAGTTTTTAATCCATTTTTAGTTGATTTTTGTGTATGCTGTAAAATAAGGGTCAAATTTCATTTTTTTGCATGTGAATATCTAGATTTCTCAACATGATTTGTTGATGAAAACGTACTTTCCCATTGTGGGTTTTTGATACCCTTGTTAGAAATCAGTCGACTCTACATGTGTGGGCATAATTCTGGCTTCTCTATTTGGCGTATGTGTCTGTATTATTTTCACATTTGAACTTTCATTTTAGATACAGGGTGTACCTGTGCAGATTTGCTACATGGGAATATTGCATGATGTTGAGGTTTGGAATACAGATCCCCTCAACCTGGTAGTGAACATAATACCCAATAGGCAGTTTTTTTAACCCACCCTCCTCCCTCCACCATCTAGTAGTCTGCAGTGTCTACTGTTCCCATATTTATGTCCACATGTGCTCAATGTTTAGCTCTCACTTATAAGTGTGAATATGCAATATTTAGCTTTCTGTCTCTGCATTAATTTGTTTAGGATTATGGCCTCCAGCTCCTTCCATGTTGCTGCAAAGAATATGATTTCACTCCTTTTTATGGGTGTGTAGTATTCTATAGGGTATATGTACCACTTTTCTTTATCTAATCTACCACTGATGGGCATCTGGGTTGATTCCATGTTTTTGCTGTTATGAATATGTGTCTATATTTATGCTGGCACAACACTGCCTTAATTATTGTAGCTTTATAATAAGTTTTGAAATCAGGAAGTGTGATTCCTCCAGCTTTGTTCTTTCTCAAATCACTTTGACTATTTATGGTGTCTCATGGTTCCATATGAATTTTATATTATTTTTTCTATTTCTATAAAAAATGCCATTGGGATTTTGATAGAGAGTGCATTGAATCTGTAGATTATTTTGGTAGTATGGACATTTTAACAATATGGATTCTTCCAATTCATGAATATGAGCTGATTTTCCATTTATTAGGGTCTGCTTTAATTTCTTTCATATTTATTTTATAGTTTTCAGTGGACATGTCCTTCACCTCTTTGGTTAAGTTTATTCCTAAGTATTTTATTTTTGATTCTATTATAAATAAGATTATTTTCTTGATTCTCTTTTCAGATAGTCCCTTGTTAGTAGACAGAAATTCAACTATTTTTGTATGTTGATTGTGTACCCTGAAAATTTACTGAATTTGTCTTTTAGTTCTAACAGGTATGTGTGGAGGGTTTAGGGTTTTCTACAAATAAAATCATGTCATTTATAAACAGATAATTTTAGGCCAGGCACGGTGGCTCATGCCTGTAATCCCAGCACTTTGGGAGGCTGAGACAGGTGGATCACGAGGTCAGGAGATTGAGACCATCCTGGCTAACACGGTGAAACCCCGTCTCTACTAAAAATACAAAAAATTAGCTGGGCGTGGTAGCGGGTGCCTGTAGTCCCAGCTACTCGGGAGGCTGAGGCATAAGAATCTCTTGAACCTGGGAGGTGGAGCTTGCAATGAGCTGAGATCTTGCCACTGTACTCCAGCCTGGGCAACAGAGTCAGATTCAGTCTCAATAAATAAATAAATAAATAATAAATAATAAATAAATAAATAAATAAAAACAGATACTTCTTTTAATTCTTCCTTTCTGGTTTAGATGCCTTCCAAATCTTTTTCTTGCCTAATTGCTCTGGCTAGGACTTTCAGTTTTATGTTGAATAGAAGAGAGGATATTCTTGTCTTGTTCCCAATATTAGAGAATAAACTTTGTCCTTCACCACTGAGTATGATGTTAGCTGTGAGCGTGATATATATGGCCTTCATTGTGTTGAGATGCATTTCTTCTTTACCTTCATTTGTTGAGCCCTTTTTTCATGAAAGGGTGTTGACTTTTGTCAAAATCTCCTACGTTTCAATAGCAAAGAAACAAATAACTTAATAAAAATATGAACAAACAACCTGAATAGACATTTATCCAAAGAAAACATACAAATGGCTAAGATGTATATGAAAGGTGATCAACACCATTAATCATCTGAGAAAAGCAAATCAATATCACAATTAGATATCACCTTACACCTGTTAGGATGGTTACTATGAAAAAAAAATAAAAGATAACCACCATTGGCAAGGGTATGGAGAAAGGGAACCCTTCTACATTGTTGTTAGTAATGTAAAACTATACAGCCACTATTGTTAACGGTATAGAGTTTTTCAAAAAATTAAAAATAGAGCTACCATATAATCCAGCAATCCCACTTCTAGATGTATAAATCCAGAAGAATTTAAGTTAGAATCTTGTAGAATTTTCTGTGGTTTTATGTTCATTGCAGCATTAATCACAATAATCAAGATACGGAAACAGCCTAAATGCCCATTGACAGATGAGTAAATAAACAAAGTGTGATATATAAATAGGTACAAAGGAATATTATTCAGTCTTAAAAAGAAGAAAATTGTATCATTTGCAACAACAGGGATGAACACAGAAGATGTTATGCTAAGTGAAATAAGCCAGTCACAGAAGGGCAAACAATTCCAATTATATGAGCTATCTAAAATCATCAAAGTCATAAAGGCAAAGAATGAAATGATGTTTGCCAAGGGCTAGGGAAAACTGTTGCTCAATAGATGTAAAGTTTCACTTACGCAAGATGAGTAAGTTCTAGAGATCCGCTGTACAGCACTGTACCTATAGTTGACACTATGGTGTTGTGTGCTTTAAAATGTTAAGACTGTAATCTATGTTAAGACCATAGATCTTAAAACCCATGTTAAGTATTCTTACTATAAACACACACTACACAGACTACACACACACACACACACACACACACGAAATAAGAACAGAAGGAATTTTTTGAGGTAATGGTTATGTTTAATGTTCTGTGATGATGGTATCATGGAGTTATGCATATATTCAAACTCATCAAAATGTATGCATTAAATATAGGCCACATTTTCTGTATCAATTACCTCAATTAAGCTTAAAAAATAAAATTTTTAAAGACAACAAAAAAGAACCCACGGTGAGATACCTCTGCATACTTGTTTGAAAGGGCTAGAATTTAAAAAGCCTGGCCATACCAAGTGTTGGCAAGATCTGGAAGAAATAGAAACTTTATACACTGCTGTTGATAATATAAAAACCACTCCTTTGGAAAACAGTTTAACGCTTTCTTAAAAAGTGATATAATCATTTAACATGCGATTCAGCTATTCAATTCTTTAATATAATCCAATTTTATTTAAAATTATATATTTTAAGCTTCAGCATTCTGTAATTTACTTGATTCTCACTGTGCTAGAAATTAAAACCCATTCTTTTTCTGAACAGAACATTTACATTTTTGTGTGTTTTTTACTGAACTAGTGTGATAACTTCAAAGCCTTTTATCCCACATCACAACCAAGGTAAAGTTGAGAAAAAGAGAGTAATTATTAATAAACTACTCCATTTTTGCCATTATTTCAGTCAATTTGGTGAGTTAAGCATCAGAATTGTGAGAAAGGGGATCCACCATTATATTTTTTGAGAAAATAGAAAGCAGCTGTTCTCTTTTCTGTTTGGAAATCCTCCAAAAACATCTTCTAATGGATTCGGCTGTGAAATGAAGTCTACCTCTGTTCTTTTCTTTTTATTGAAACTCAATGCCATCAAATCAATGTCACAGAGAGCTCTAAGGGGCACTTGAACACTGCAATTTTGAACAAAATATGTCTTGAGAACTTTTAAGGAGGTCAGCAAAACCTAAAAATCACTAAAGACATGTATTCATCAAAACTTTTTTGCTATGTTCCAGTAGCCTACTTCGGTGTGTTCTTACAAAAGATTGCTAATTAGGGTCAGATATTTAGCTCTGCATAAAGGGAACCCTCCTGCCCTCACCATTCCCACAAACATAAGAGAGAATATCATGAAGTTGAGGCATTAGATATGTAGCCAGATGTTTTTTGAAGGGTAAAACTAAAACTAAGTTTGAAGAGAAAAGAAATCTTTTAAGGTCACATGGGCTTTAGTTGCCTGTCATTTCATTTTAAAATGACTAAGACTGTGTTATCTTAATTTGGGTGACATGGAATCAATATTTATTATGCATCTATTACTCTCCAGTCGATTCTAGGAACACAGAGATGAGTCAAACATTGTTCTCCCTCTATGGACCTAACACACTAATCATGGGATATGGAAGATAGACAAATCAGTGAATATGCAATCACAAGTCACCGTGCAGTTACACCAGACATTTGGTTTCATTTATATATTTTTTTCTTACCTAGCATCTAAGAACCTTTTCTACGTTTGAAAATCTGCTCTTGGATAAGCCTGTTTGGAAAGTAACTTCCCCAGTCAAATGGAAGTACTCAGGACTTGAATCTAGGATGCTGGATTCATTCCAGGAGTAGAAGATATACTGTCTACAACAGCCACCACTATCCAGCAGGACATGAGTACCCAGGAATGAATAACATCAACATTCTGGCTAGGCTGCTTCTGTGGTGTGACCAAGACTGAGGTCATCTGGTCATCTACCTTCTTATGGTTCCTCTCTATTTTCTGAGTTTGCTTCTCCAGACTTTGTATCAATTTTGGAAGCCACTCAAAACATTTTTTAAATGTTAATAGAGAATAATTAACAGTGATGACTATAAATTAGGTGGACAGGGAAGGCATATCTAATGTGACAACATGTAAGATGAGACTTGAAGAGAAGCTGACAGCCATGTGAAGAGCAAGGGTGCCTGCAGGATGAGTGATGTGCTAAGGGTCTAAGACAAGAAACATTGATTGTGGCATAATAAGGGAGAGGGGTTGGCAAATGGGTACTAACATACTGTTAGACAGAAAAAATAAATTGTAATGTTTGATAGAACACTAGGGTGATTATACTTAGCAACACTATGTTGTATGTTATATATTTCTAAGTGGATAGAAGAGAGGATTTGAAACATTACCAACAAACAGAAATAATAAATACTCAAGGTGATGAATACCTCAAATACTTTGACTTATACATTCTATGTATGTAACAAATACCCACATGTACCCCATAATTATGTAAAATATTATGTATCAGTGAAGGGGAAATTTTTTTAAAGAACTTTTTGAGGCTGATACTACAATGGGAAAGTAATGAGCAAGACAGAGAGGCAGAGATTTGTACAATTAAAGATTTAAGGGGAGGCCAGATCATGCAGGACTTTGTAGGACATAAGGATATTAAATGTTATTCCAAGGATAATAGGAAACTTTTAAAATAATTTCAGCAGTAGAGTAATATAATCAAATCTACATAAAAAAACACTGTGTCTTATATGTGGGGAATGGTTTGGAAAGACAAGAGAAGAATCAGGGGATAAGGTAGGAGGTAATTTCAAAAACTTTAGGTGAAAGATGATGTCAGCCTAGATTAGGAATGATAGTGATGGATACCAAAACCTTTGCAAAGGGAAGATTTGCATCATATCTTGAAATATTTCTAATTCAAGTATCAGTGCATTCGATGGTAGAATGAGGGAGGAGAAGGCTATGAAGGAAAGAGAGAAATCAAGGATAATCTAGAGATATCCCAGTGAAGAAAACAAAAAGAAAACATATGAACCTTGGAAATAGCCAAAACTGGAGGCATCTATATTTGGGAATCACCAGCTAGAGAGGCTATTAAAGTGATGGAAGCAGATAAGGAAAAAACTGTGAGATAAGTAACTTGATTTTTATTTTTTTTTTTTTCTAAAAGAACCTGGGATCAAGCCCTGAGGAACTTCAATATTTAGAATCTGGATGAGAGCAGGTAGTGCAAGAAACTGAAAGTCGTTCAAAGAGATACAGTGAAACCAGGAGAATATTGTTTCACATAATCCAAAAGAACTTGATTCATTGAGGAGGAGAGAGAAGTCACCTGAATCCAGTTCTGCTGATAAATCGAAGATTAGAAAAGAAAGTGTCCATTGAATTTAGGAATGGGATAATTGCTGACATTGAAAAGAGCAGTTCCAGCAGAAAACACGTTCTGGAAGTCTTATTAAAGAGGTTATAGACAAATTAGATTTTAAAGTGAGTGAAGTGAATCTAAATGTGTCAACTTTTTTTTTAAATAGATAAATTAAACTTTAATAAATTAGCGACTTTTGGTTATCAAAAGACACCACCAACAGACGGAAAGTAGCAAACCACCTGATGGGAGAAGATATTTACAATACATATAATCTCAAAGTATCCCTACCCAGAATAGATATAAAAGTCCTACTAATCAAGACAAAAATATATATATCACAATAGAAAAGTTGACAAAAGTCATTAACAGGTACTTTACAAAAGAAGGTTTTCAAATAATCATTAAATATGTGAAAAATTACTTCATTAGTCATTAGGTAAATTAAAATTAGAACCACTAAATATCATAGAATGGCTAAAATTAAAAACAGACTGACAATACCAAGTGTTGATGAGGCAATGGAGCAACTAGAACTCTCATGCACAGCATACAGGATTAAAACTGGTATCCCTTGGCTGGGCATGGTGGCTCACACCTGCAATCCCAGCACCTTGGGAGGCCAAGACAGGCAGATTGCCTGAGCTCAGGAGTTCGAGACCAGCCTGGGCAACCAAAAAATAAATAAATACAAGAAAAAAAAAATAAATGTGTCAACTTGAATAAAACTCAGAAACCCAATGATGAGTCAAAAAAGATAACAGTATGATAAGATATTGATATCAGTTTAACAAAGGTAAGATGACACTTTATTTATGAATATTACATATATATGGTAAAGGTTTAAACACATGGACAGGAAGGACTCACTCCCAATTTTACTATAACAATTAATCCTGGGGAGGAAGAGAGGGATATGACAGAGGAATAGAGTTTCTTCAATTTTATTTATAGTGTTTTATTTTTTAAAATCTTGTGAAAATATGGCAAAAATGATCTGAGTGACAGATTGTATAGCTTTATGGATTACTGTATATTTAAATTTTGTGAAGAAAAAATAAAATTAGAGAAGTTTGAGTAAGAAGGAAAGCAAAGAAAGAAGATAAATTCTAGAGTTAGCAAGATACTAATTATTTTACCAAGTTAGTGCCATTCCCTGATAATGTTCCACACTTCCCACATTTCTTCTTTGGATAATCTTTTTCTAAAATTGCATCACATAGATACACACACACACACACACACACACACACACACACACACACAATCTCTATCCTAAAATACATATAAATAGGCCAGGCACAGTGGCTGACACCTGTTACCCCAGCACTTTGGTAGGTCAAGGCAGGTGGATTGCTTGAGCCCAGAAGTTGGAGAATAGCCTAGACAACATGACGAAACTCCGTCTCTATAGAAAATGTAAAAATTAGCCAGGCATGGAGGCACATGCCTATAGTCCCAGTTACTCAGGAGGCTGAGGAGGGAGGATTGCTTGAGTCCAGGAGGTGGAAGCTGCAGTGAGCTGAGATGGTGCCACTGCACTCCAGCCTGGGTGACAGAGTGAGACCCTGTCTCACAAAATAAAATAAAATAAAATAAAATAAAATAAAATAAAATAAAATAAAATAAAATTTTGATACTCCCTTCAAAGCCAACTTAAACATCAACTTCTCTATCAAGCCTTCCCTTAATCTCTAAAAATAAAAAAGATTCATTTTCTGTCAATACTGTAACCACTTCATCTCTCAGACTTTATATTTATCAAATATTACTTTTGTTTACTACAGCAATATTTATTCTCATCCCCAGCCAGAATGGAAGATACGGTAAGAACCTACTAGAAGGTACTCAGTGAATTTTGTTTTGAACAGAAACCTTTATTCCAGCACATATTACTTCACTGTTTCAATTTTTAAGGAAATTCTTGCCTTACTTGTAATAAATGTGTCATATGTAAATATAAACTTATAAAGATAGAATATGCTAATACAATATGTAAATATAAACTTATAAAGATACAATACAATACAAGAATATGTCTGATGTGTGAATAAATTTAAAATACAAGGCACTGAAGTTAATGCTTTATAAAGATAATCTCATTTAGTCTTCAAAACAATCATTACACCTAAGCTCATCTCCTATCTTCACTTTATAATTGAGGGAACTGAGGCTTACGGAGGATTACCAAGCATAAGTAATTACAAAGTTTCCACAACTAGTTAGTGGAGTTTGACCTCATATTCCTGGCCTTCTAACTCTTTCTCACTCTCTCTTTCTCACCCTTTCTCTCTTACACACACACACACACACACACACACACAGGGCTCCATATCTCTTGGTCCCTTTAAATGTAGATTGGAGCTGATTTAAAAGAGAAAACTATCACAATAGCTGATCAAATGACTGATTCACTAAAGAGAGGGATTAAAATTACTTTACATCTGTTTAGTACTTTAATATCCTTTCAGATTTCTCCCATGTCCATCATTTACTTGATCCTCACAAGTAGTTATTAAATTTATTTACATGTAATACATAGAAATGAGTCTCTAACAAAGATCCATACAAATCCTTCAAATATTGCTCAGCTATTTCTAATTAACTCAACATAGAACTGTTTTTATTACTTTGCCATAATAGATTTCATCCAAATTTATTATATAGTGTATTTTCCCTTTTTGGACTTTTGGACTGTTCTGTAGAGTCCATTGCATATTCATAGGTTTATATATTTTGCTACTGGAAACAGAGTCTATGTGTGTGTGTGTATATATATATATATATATTTTTTTTTTTTTTTTTTTTTTTTGAGATGGAGTTTCACTCGTTGCCCAGGCTGGAGTGCAATGGCGCTATTTTGGTTCACTGCAACCTCCGCCGCCTGAGTTCAAGCAATTCATTTGCCTCAGCCTCCTGAGTAGCTGGGATTACAGGTATTCCACCACCACGCCCGGCTAATTTTTGTATTTTTTTTTTTCAGTAGAGCCAGGGTTTCACCATGTTGGCCAGGCTGGTCTCAAAGTCCAAGCCTCAGGTGATCCACCTGCCTCAGCCTCCCAAAGTGTTGGGATTACAGGTGTGAGCCACCACACCTGGCCTAGAGTCTACATTTTGAAAGTATTAGTTCTTCATTCCTCACTGTTTTTTTTTGAAATAAAATCAAATAATTTTTCCATAACTATAATTTAGACATTTCCTCCATGATCTTAGATAATTGGCTTTAAAAGCCTTTCAAAGTCTTTTAAAGTAGCACAGTTGGATGCTACATGTCATGGTGTCATCTCTTCTCTATATTCTTGATTTAGTTTGAGACTATCCCTCTCAACCTGAAACTCATTTTACCCTTACCCACAGCTCAGAGTGTAAGGCATCACATATGAACCTTTGTTTTATTCAAGTCCCTCTAAAATCACCTGCCTAGCAGGGATATTTTCAAGATTAAATAAAATAGCCCATATAAAAATATTACAGCAGTGACAGACACACAGTAGTTACTCAGTAAATAGTAGCTATTAATTTATTATTGTTGCCTTATAAATATATTTTAATAACTCCATCTTCAAAACTGGTATTTTCTCATTTACCTAGAAGCATGCTTTATATTTTCCTAAGCAATAATTTTCTGCCTTCCCACAATTTTCAATTCCTTAGGATTAACTATCCTTATAATGTTCTTTTCATGGCTTGGTTTTTTGTTTTAAAATGTTCCATTTGCAAAACACTTTCTTATATTACAGTAATACCTGGTAGAAATTGAACCTGAGTAGTCATTATCTTAAATTATTTTCTGCTTTAATATTAAAAAATAAAACATCATACCTAAAAACAATTCTATATCAATCATGCCAAGCTCTCTTTCTTCTTGTGAAGTGTGCTATCTTCCAAATTGTAATTATATTCCATAATACATACAGGAATACAAGATGTCCTGTAGTATAAGGATTAAATCAGATGATGTACAGGAAATGTTCAGAATCATGCCTGGGACATAATTGCTCATTAAAAGTTAGTGTCTTACTGTGGTATCAGTGCATCTGTATTAGTCCATTTCACACTGCTACAAAGACATACCCAACACTGGGTAATGTATAAAGAAAAAGAGCTTTAATTGACTCATAGTTCTGCATGGCTGGGGAGGCCTCAGGAAACTTACAATTATGGCTGAAGGGGAAGCAAGGCACATCTTACATGGCGACAGGAGACAAAGAGCAAATGGAAGTGCCACACTTTTAAATTGTCAGATCTCATGAGAAATCACAAGAACAGAGTCGAGGAAACCACCCCCATAATCCAAATACATGCCACCAGATTCCTGCCTCAACACTTGAGGATTACAATTCCAGATGAGATTTGGGTGAGGACACAGAGCCAAACCATATCGTTCACTAAAGAACTGCATCTTCTGTGGCAATACCTTATCATGCCTCCAGCCTTAATAAGGAAAGTTCTAGGAAAATCTGTAATCCCTGCTTGCAGATGCAAATGAACCCCACTCCCAGATTCTAATATCCTTTCCTATCACTTTTATTAAATATCACTGACATACTTCATCTAATAGGCCCTTCATTCTTGTGCTGAACATTTCACCTTTCCCCATCGTGCTACTGAAGAAGGCAGCGAAAGGTTGGTGCTGGCAGACTTCGGGATTTACGTGGAGATTCAAAGGGCGGCCAGGACCCTGTGGGCCCACAGGTGGCTCCTCTCCACAGCTTCATGCTATCTCTCAACTCCCAAGCTGCAACATGTTTTGTTAAATTGGCTCTTCACTCTGACTAATATCCCCATTCTCTCATTAAATCTCTACCTGTGTCTGGAAAAACAAACAGAAAAAAGTCTAATTTTTGTGTTTTTAAAGAGTTCCATAAGGAACTGAATTTTCTAAAATTGCTTGTTTGTTGCCGTTGTGACCTAGCTGTTTCTCCTTCAACCTTCCCACCATCTTGTTTTAGTCCTATACATTCAGATATAAATCTGTGGCGTTTGTCCTTGCTTTCTAGTACATCTCTAATCACTTTGCCCTGGTCTCTACAGAAAGATTTTATGGGTAGTTCATTTTTTCTCACTTTTTTTCTTTACTTTTTTTTCTGTAACATATGCTTTTCATTAATTTCTTTGTAGCTGTAAAAAACAATTTTCTTATCTAAAATTTTTTATTTAATTTCTTTCCTTGAGACTTTTCTCTATGTTTTCATCTGTGCTGCTCTTCTGAGCTCTTCACAAGTGGACAAAGAGAAACATTCTGATTCTGTCGGACCAGAAGTTTGCTATCTTACAGAAACCTATGCAAAATGTATACACTTTTGTGAAGTACATTTACCTACTATCAGTAAGCAAAAACTGTGACGTCTTTCTTTCTCCTTCAATTTCCATTTTTAAAAATATATATTCAGTTCCTATGGACCCACCTTCCTAATTTTAGATAATATTTGATTGCTATCACATATTCAAATATATGTCTTTTGATTTGAAGGAGTTATGTAATGCTTATTCTAATGGACATTATTTATAACTGTAATAGTATATTTCTTTTATTGGAAAATTTTCCATGTGATAGCCACTGCACAAAACGCTTTACCAGCAACTTCTTGTTAAACACTAACATACATTATTAATGCTCACTAATAGACAGCTTTCTGCACCTTCTTGGAACCTCTACTTCCAGCCACCCCTTGCACTTACGTAAAACTAGGTGATCAGTTGTGGCTAGCAAGCCAAAGGGTTTATGAGTGGAAGCTCCATGCTCACTTCTGCTCCACCCAGCGAGGATGCCAAGATGCTGGAGTCCCCATTAGCTGAAGTTGCTCTGTAATTGCATGGTACAGAGCATTCAACCAACTCACAGTGCCTGTGCAGCATGCATGGAAAGTACCACGTAGTTGTGTAGTGCCATTGAGATATGGAAGACTAATTCAGCATATTCTTACTAGAACAGCCCCATGGTGAATAGTGAATATTAATCTACTGCTTCTTAGATGAAACTGAGACTTAGAAAGTTAATTCTCTGAGGCTCAGTTTGCTTACATGCAAAATAGGAGGTATACAATATTACAGAGACAAAATAGTAGATGCAATTAACTAAAACCACTTCATCCACAAAAATAGCAGTTTATTGATGCTGTCGCTGTTCTTACTCATCATCCTGATTTTTTAAGATATTTTCTTAAAATAAGAAGAGTCTCTTTCCTTGGCCTGATCAGTGAGTCTAAAACCAATTTCTTATTGAAATCCTTGTCCATTTTGACACGTGGGCACTCACAAACACACATATATTCATACACACTCATATACATGTTCTCTTTACTGGAAACGTTAACACTGTATGTATATTTGTATGCCCCACCATCACTAAGTTAAAAAAGTTAAAACTTCCTATGTATCATTGAATATTCTTTTCCATCCTAATGTGATTATATTTTTCTATTTGCATTTTTATTCTTTAATTAATTTCACCTTCTTTTCCCACTTGCTTTAGCTTGTCCTTCCTTTACTCAATTTGTCAAAATGAGTCCTGTGATCCTTTGCTAGTCACCATTATCTTTAATAGTATCTGCTGAATTTATAATTCTGCTCTATATCTATCCCTTGCCTTATTTTTATTTTACAAACTTGAATACTTTCTGTTAATTTTTATTGTATTTTTTCCTAACTAAAAGAAAAGCCCAAGGAGGGTGGAGATCTTACTCACTGCCGCATCCTCAATACTGAGAAAGGTGTCTTACATCCCAGAGGGGCTCAATGAATATTTGTTGAGCAAATAAATAAATGAATTTAAAACTATAAATTCTAATTATAGTGAAATTAAATTATAACGATGTCCAAATGTTTGAGTATGAAACGCGTATTTTTCCCCAATTGCTTTTTATTTGCTCTCAAAAACTTTATTTGATCATTTAAAAATATATATTTAAGTTTTTGTTCCTTCCTCAAGATTTAAATGAGACTATTAGTTCTTAATACTTAGGTATTTAAATATTTTACTATTATTTCATTTTTATTTATAATTATGAAATGCTAATTGTAAAATGTATACTTTTAAAAGTTTGTTTTGTTTTGTAACCAGACACATAATGTACTTTTTTGAAAACTTCCATGAAGACAAGAAATAGGTTTACATTCTTTCTATAGGATGCAGATCTCTCACACCCTCTCAATATATATTCTTACGTGTGTCCAAAACACAATCTATATGATCTCTATGTAATCGTTTGTTTATTGATAGATAATCATAATATTCCTTATTTTTTATCTAGATCTTAACAATTCTGAAAAAGTTTTTTCAGTATCTCTCAGTACATTAGCAACACTATGTTTATTTCACAATTTCACATTATTTATATAAATAAATTTAGCTGTTTTTTTTTTTTTTGAGGCAGGGTCTCACTCTGATGCCCAGTCTGGAGTGAAGTGGCATGAACACGGCTCACAGCAGCCTTGACTTTCCAGGCTCAAGTGATCCTCACACCCCATCCTCCTGTGTAGCTGAGACCACAGGTGTGTGCCACCATGCCCCACTAATTTTTTTATTTTATGTTTAGTATTGATGGCATCCCACTATGTTGCTCAGGTTGGTCTCAAACTCCTGGGCTCAAGCATACCTCCAACCTTGGCCTTCCCAAGGGCTAGGATTACAGGCATGAGCCACCATGCCTGGCCTACCTGTTCTATTTTTTTAAAATACACAAATATATGAGAATGATATCTAGTTTTTTTCTTTTGTCACTGCATAATGTCCTTTAAAACTATTCAGTTTTTTAATGTCTTTTTCCTTAAAAATATAACTTGCATGTAATTATTTTTACTTTTGTTTTCCTTTTGATTTTTGAATTTTCCTATTTCTCATGTTTTTATTTTCATACTTTGCTAATTACTTTCTTCTAAATGTCTTCATTTTCAATGAATATTTTCTAGCCATTCTCAGTCTCTATGTTTTAGCAGACACATTTAGATTATTCACATTTAGCATAGCAAATGTTATATTTAATTTTATTTCTTGATCTCACTTATGTTTCTTATTTATCTGATTGGGTTTTTGTTTACTCCTTTTTTATAGAGTTATTACACAATTTGATAGAGTTATTACACAGCCTCCTCTTGTTAATCTGGAGACTTATGACTCTCCAGATTAGTTATACTCTCATTCTGAGGACAGTCAAGAACACATATCTCTACTCTTATTTGAAAATAAAATGTTAACTATTTCTCCCCAATTCAGGAAGAGACTTGGGGTGTCAATACTTCCCCGACCCCAACCCAATGACAGAAAAGAAATTGGCAGGCTCTTACATCTGCCCTTTTTCTCAGACCAAAACCTTGGATTCACTGAAATGGCTTAGAACTTTTCATTGCAGACTCTTACTAGATTTTCTTTGCACTATGGCTCCTTGACTTTCAGAATCTTCATTTAACCTATTAATGTTTCCTCTCTACTTTGTCTTTCATGCTCCTGAGGCCTCTGATGTGATTCATGTATTCGTTTGCTTGGAATCCTTGCTCAAATATTTTCTTCATATGGTTTATGTTGGCCTTATATTCTCTGAGGGTTTTTTTTTTTTCAATTTTTAGAAAAATGTTGTTACTTTTAATTTTTGCATGTACATAGTAGGTGTACATATTTATGGGTTGAGATCGTTTGATACAGGCCTGTAATGCATAATGACCACTTCAAAGTAAATGGGGTATCCATCACCTCAAGCATTTATCCTTCATGTTACAAACAATCCAATTATACTATTTTAGTTATTTTTAAGTGTGCAATTAAATTATTATTGACTATAGATACCCTTTTTTTCTATCAAATACTAGGTCTTATTCTATTTTTTTTTGTACCCGTTAACCTTTTCCACTCTCCCCCAAATTCCCATGTTGCCCTTCCCAGCCTCTGATAACCCTCCTTCTACTCTTTATCTTCATGAGTTCAATGGTCTTAATTTTTAGGACCCACAAGTGAATGAGAATGTGAAGTTTGTATTTCCATACCTGGCTTATTTCACTTAACATAATGATCTCCAGTTCCATCCATATTATTGCATAGGATAGGATCTCATTCTTTTTTTATGGCTGAATAGTATTCTATTATGTATATGTTCCACATTTTCTTTATCCATTCATTTTGTGATGGACATTAAGATTGCTTCCAAATCTTTGCTGTTGTTAATAATGCTGCAAAAAACATGGCCGTACACGTATCTCTTTGATATACTGATTTCCTTTGAGTATATACCCAGCAGTGTCATTGTCACATCATATAGTAACTCTATTTTTACTTTTTCGAGGAAGATTCAAACTGTTCTCCATAGTGGTTGTACTAGTTTATATTCCTGCCAACGGTGTACAGGGTTCCCTGCTCTCCACATCCTTTCCAGCATTTGTTACTGCTTGGTGTTTGGATAAAAGCCATTTAAACCGGGGTGACATGATATCTCATTGTAGTTTTGATTTGCATTTCTCTGATGATCAACGATGTTGAGCACCTTTTCATATACCTGTTTGCCATTTCTATATCTTCTTCTGAGAAACATCTATTTATATTATTTACCCATTTTAAATAAGATTATTAGATTATTTCTTACAAAGTTCTTTGAGCTCCTTATATATTCTGGTTATTAATCCCTTGTCAGATGGACAGTTTGCAAATGTTTTCTCCCATTTGTGAGTTGTTGTACCACTTTATTGATTGTATCCTTTGCTGTGCAGAAACTTTTTTTTTTTTTTTTTTTGAGATGGAGTCTCTCTCTGTCGCCCAGGCTGGAGTGCAGTGGCACCATCTGGGCTTACTGCAAGCTCCGCCTCCCAGGTTCACGCCATTCTGCTGCCTCAGCCTTCCGAGTAGCTGGGAATACAGGCACCTGCCACCACGCCCCGCTAATTTTTTGTATTTTTAGTAGCGACGGCGTTTCACCGTGTTAGCCAGGATGGTCTCGATCTCCTGACCTCGTGATCCACCCACCGCAGCCTCCCAAAGTGCTGGGATTACAGGCATGCGCCACCATGCCTGGCCACTGTGCAGGAACTTTTTAACTTTATGTGATCTCATTTGTTCATCTTTGCCTTGGTTGCGTATGCTTGTGGGGTATTTATTTACTAAAGAAATCTTTTCCAATCCAATGTCCTGGAGAGTTTCTCCAAGGTTTTCTGCTAGTAGTTTCATAGTTTGAGGTCTTAGATTTAAGTCTTTAATCCATTTTAACTTGATTTTTGTATGTGGCCAGAGATGGGGGTCTAGTTTCATTTTGCTGTGAATTTGGCTTGCTAGTATTTTGTTGAGAATTTTTCCATCAATAACAATCAGGGATTTTTGCCTGGAGTTTTCTTTTTTTTAATGTGTCATTCTCTGGCTTTGGTATCGAGATAACACTGGATTTGTAGAATGCATTTGGAAGTATTCCTTCCTCCTCTATTTTTTGGAATAGTTTGAGTAGTATTTGATATTAGTTTTTCTTCAAATGTTTCATAGAATTTAGCAGTGAAGCCATTGGGTTCCAGGCTTTTCTTTCTTGGAGGCTTTTAATTATGGCTTCAATTTTGGTGCTTGTTTTTAGTCTATCCAGGTTTTGGAGTTCTTCACGGTTCAATAATGGTAGGTTTTACGTGTCTATGAATTCATTCATTTCTTCTAGATTTTCCAATTTATGGGCATATAGTTGCTCATAAAAGCCAGTACTGATCATGTGAATTTCTGTGGTATCAGTTTTGATGTCTCCTTTTTCATATCTGATTTTATTGATTTGGGTCTTCTCTTTTTTTTTTCTTAGTCTGGCTAAATGTTGTCAATTTTGTCTATCTTTTCTAAAAACCAACTTTCATTTTGTGGATCTTTTGTATTGTTTTCTTTTCAGTTTCATCTAATTTTGCTCTAATATTTATTATTTCCTTTCTTCTACTAATTTTGGGTTTGGTTTGCTCTTGTTTTCTAGTTCTTTAAGAGGCATCCTTAAGTTATTTATTTCAAAATTTTCTTCTTCTTTGATGTAGCCCCTTATACCTATAAACTTCCCTCTTAGTACTGCATTCACTGTATCTCATAGGTTTTGATATGTTGTGTTTCCATTATTATTTGTTTCAAGAAATTTTTCAATTTACTTCTTAATTTCTCCATTCACTCACTATTCATTCAGGAGCATATTGTTTAACTTCAATGTATTTGTATAGTTTCCAAAATTCCTCTTCTTATTAATTTGTAGTTTTATTCCATTGTGGTCAGAGAAGGCGCTTGATATTACATCAATTTTGGGGACCTTTTAAGGCTTGTTTTTTGCTTTAACATATGGTCTATGCTTGAGAATGATCCATGTGCTAAGGAGAAGAATATGTATTCTGAAGCTATCGGAAAAAATGTTCTGTAACTATCTATTAGGTGCATTTGGTCTACAGCGCAGATTAAGTCTGATGTTTCTTTGTTCATTTTCTCTCTGGAAGATCTGTCCAATGGTGAAAATGAAGTGCTGAAGTCTCTAGCTACTATTGTACTGTAGTCTATCTCTCTCTTTAATAATATTTGCTTTATATATCAGTGTGCTCCAGTGTTGGATGCATAAATATATTTAAAATTATTATATCTTCTTGCTGAATTGATTCCTTTATCATTATATAGTGATCTTCTTTGTCTCTAATTATAGTTTTTGTCTTGAAATCTATTTTGTTTGATATAAGTATAGTGAATCCTGCTTTTTTTTTTTTTTTAGTTCCCACTACCATGATATATCTTTTTCCATGCCATTATTTTCAGTCTATGTGTGTCTTTATACATGAAGTATGCTTCTTGTAGGCAACAGATCATTAGGTGTGGTTTTTTAATCCATTCAGCTACTCTTTTTATTGAAGATTTTAGTCAATTTGCATTTCATGTTATTATTGATAAGTAAGTACTTATTCCTGTTATTTTGTTTATCGTTTTCTGGTAGGTTTGTGGTCTTCTCTTCCTGCTTTCCTTTTTCCTGTCTTTTGTTTTTTGTTTTTTTAGTGATGGTAATTTTCTCTGGTGGTATAATTTCTTGCTTTTTATATTTTGTGTATCCATTGTACATTTTTTGATTTGAGGTTACCATGAGACTTGCAAATGCTATCTTTTAGCCCACTATTTTAAACTCATGATGATTTGACACTGATTGCATAAACAAAGAAACAAGAAAAAAGTAATAGAAACTCAACACTTTAGCTTTGTCCCCTTTTTAACATTTTATCATTTCTGTTTATATCTTGTTCTGTGTATGTCTTGAAAAGCTGTATCTATTATCATCAGTTAATCTTTTAGTGTTTCTACTTATAATAAAAGTAGTTTACACACCACAATTACAGTGTTATAATGTTCTGTGTTTTTCTGTGTACTTACTATTACCAGTGAGTTTTGTATCTTCAGCTGATTTATTGCTCATTAATGTCCTCTTCTTTGTGACTGAAGAACTTCCTTTAAAGCATTTCTCGTAGGACAGATCTGGTTGAGGAAATTTCTTAGCTTTTGTTTCTCTGGAAAGTCTTTATTTCTCCTTCATGTTTAAATGATATTTTCACTGGATATACTCTTCTAGGGTAAAAGTTTTTTCCTTCAGTACTTTAAACATGTCATGCCACTCTCACCTAGCCTGTAAGATTTCCACTGCAAAGTCTGCTGCCAGACGTACTATAGCTCTATTGTATGATATTGGTTGCTTTTCTCTTGCCACTTTTAGAAGCATTTATTTTTCATTGATCTTTGAAAGTTTGATAATTAAATGCTTTGATGTAGTCTTTTGTGGGTTAAATCTGTTTGGTGTTCTATAACCTTTTCTACTTGAATATCAATATATTTCCTCAGGTTTGGGAAGTCCTCTGTGATTATCCCTTTGAATGAGATTTCTCCCCTTATCTTTTTCTCTATTTCCACTTTAAACCAATTGCTCTTAGATTTGTCCTTTTGAGGCGATTTCCTAGATCTCGTAGGTGTGCTTCATTCTTTTCTATTTCTTTGTGTTCTCTGACTGTATTTTCAAATAGTTTGTCTTCAAGCTCACTAATTCTTTCTGCTTGATAAATTCTGAATTAAGAGACTCTCATCCATTCTTACATATGTCAATTGCATTTTTAAATGCCAGAATTTCTGCTTGATTCTTCATTATTTCAATCTCCTTGTTAAATTTATCTAACAGAATTCTGAATTTCTTCTCTGTGTTATCTTGAGTTTGCTCAACACAGCTATTTTGAATTCTTGTCTAAAAGCACACATATTTCTGTTTCTCCAGGATTGTTTCCTGATTCCTTATTTATTTCATTTAGAGAGGTCATATTTTCCTGGATGGTCTTGATGTTTGTGGATGTTTGTCAGTGCCTGGGCATTAAAGAGCAGGTATTTATTTTAGTCCTTACAACCTGGGCTGGTTTGTACCCATCCTTAATGAGAAGACTTTCTAGGTATTTGAAGGAACTTGAGTTTTGTGATCTAAGTTGTATCTTCTTAAGGGGGTACCCCAAGCCTAGTAATGCTGTGGTTCTTGCAGACTAAAAGATATACTGCTTTAGTGGTCTTAGATAAGATCCAGAATAAGTCCTTGGATTACCAGGCAGAGATTTCAGTTCTCTTACTTTTCCCCAATGAATGGAGTTTCTCTCTTTGCAGTGATCCAAGCACCCCTGTGGCCACCAGCACTGGAACTGCACTGCCTTAGACATGAAACATAGCACTGGGTCTCACTTAAGGCCCACTGTAATAACTTTGTGGCTACCACCTATGTTCACTCAAGGTCCTAGCGCTCTACAATCAGAAGGTGGCAAAGCCAGCCATGCTTGTGTTCTTCCCTTCAGGATGGTGCATTTCCCTAGGCCCTGGGTCCAGAAGTGCGGTCTGGGAGCCAGAGACTAGAGTCAAAACACATAAAAATCTACTTGGTACTCCATACTACTGTGGCTAACCTGGCACTCCAACCAAAAGACAAAATCCTTCCCACTCTTTCCTCCCCTTTCCACAGAGGAGACTCACCCCATTTTACTCCTACCACAGACCCATGGGGAGTGCTGCACAGCTACTGCCACTGTTCACTTAAGACCCAAGGGCTCTTCAGTCAGCTTGTGGTGAATGCTGTCAGGCCTGAGACTCACCCTTCAGTGCAGTAGGCTCCCCTCAGGCCCAAGGCAGGTTCAGAAATGCCATCCAAGAGCTAAAGCCTCGAATCAGGGAACCTAAGAGCTCACTTGGTGCTCTACCTCTCTATGGCTGAGGTGCAAAACAAAGTCCCCTTTACTTTCCCCTCTGCTTTTCTCAAGTGGAAGGGGTCTTGCTTTGTAGCCACCACAACTAGGAATGTGATGAGTCTCACCTAAAGCCAGCAAGTCTCAGAGTCTCACCCAAAATCCTTAATGTAGTATCTGGGTATCACTGCTGTTTATTCGGAGCCCAAGGATGCTTTAGTCAGAAGGTGATGCATCCTGACAGGAATGGGTCCTTTTATTCAAGGCAGTGAGTTCCCTTCTGGCCCAGGGTGTGTCTAGAAATGTCATTTAAGAGCTAGAGCCTGGAATGGTTAGCGTCATGACTGCCCAGTGACCAGTCCTACTGTGGCTGAACTGGTATCCAAGCTGCGAGACAAGCCCTATTTATTCTTCCCTCTTCTCTCAAGGAGAAGGCAGGAGGCATTTTCCTTGCTGTGAGCTATGTTTCCTGGGGTTGGAGAGCAGTGGCACAAGCACTGCCTTCCCTACTCAGCCAATGTCTCACTAGGTTGTTGTGTCCCCCAAGTCCAGTAGCTCTAAGCTCATCACAGCACTGGGACTTGCCTAGGAGTTGCAGCCCTTGTGGCCTAGACTACCTTTCAAGTTTATTTAGAACCCCAAAGCACGTAGGCCTCTGTGGCAAGCCTTGGAGAATCTCAAGCTCTGACCAGTAGGATGGGCAATTCCCTGCTGGCTAAGGCTGATATAAGCACTCCCTCTATGGGTGGATGTCAGCTGAGTTCGGCCTGATTTTGCTTTCCACAGTGGCAGGACAGCACTGAGTTTCTACACAAAGTCTCACAATCTCTTCACTTTCCCTCCCGCAAGTGCACGGACTGTCTCCATACCAGGCAACCCCTGAGGGGACAGGGGAGGGGTGACATCTGCAATTTAAGACTGTCTTTCCTACCCTCTTCAGTGAATCATTCAGCAATATGAAGTTAAAACTGCCTACTGTCATGCTCACCCGATTCTTTGGTCCTTATGAAGGTGCTTTTTATGTGTAGAGACTTGTTAAATTTGGTGTTGCTGTAGGGGTTATGTTGAGTGGAGACTTCTGTTTGGCCATCTTGCTCCAACCCTCTCAGTTCTTACATCTTCTTACCCTGATAGGTGAATGTTATCTCATCCATGTGCGGGACGGATGCTTGCGTTGCAGTGCTTTTCTTTCAGTAGTTAGCAGATGTTTTTACACTGTGCTTTTCTCTTCTAGCATTAAAGAGAAGAAATCCCATGAAAGTTTACATTTTTTTCTTTGTGTGTAACTTTTTGTTTGAGAACTCATAAAAATTTTCTCTTTTTTTTTTGAATCAGAAACTTCAGGACGATTTGCCTAAATGTGTCTTTTTCCATCAGTCCTTCCTGGAACTTAGTAAACCCTTTCAATTAACAAACTAAAATAATTCTGCAAACCAGAGAAAACTGCCTTTTTCATTTCTTCAATTATTATAGTACTCCATTTATTGATTATTCTTCTTCTAAATTTCTATTATCTAACACTTTCTTAAGTCTCTAATCTTTTTCTTTATAATTTCAGTGACTTTGTATTTTTGCTCTGAAATCTTGGCTGTTTCTTCCGTTAGATCTTACAGGCCATTATACTGATCCTGAATAGTAATTATTCTATCCTCATCTTTCAAGATAATTTATAAATGTATTGTCATGGAAAATTCCAAAGTTGTACATAAATTAAAAGAATCCTAATAACACACCCTTTTCCATGTACCATTCATTACCTGTCTTCAGCAACTACCAGCAAATGGCCAATTTGATGTCATTTTTGTGTCAACCTACTACCTTCTAAGCCAATTGGATTATCTTCCAAAACATCCCAGACCTTATATCCTGTCACACATAAGTATTTCAGAATCTAAGGTAGTCTTATCTAAGGTAGTCTTTTATGCCATCTTATGCCTTTATGTGTCCAATTATTTTCTGTTAAAGTTCCTCATTTCTCCTCCATATTTTCCATTTTAACAAAAGCCAACTCTTCTGTGGGCTTTTTTTTCTTTGTATACACATGGTTCCAGTCACCCTGAGGTCAAGCTGCTGCAATGCTTTACCTTGTAGATATTGGGTATATTTAGTATTCCTCTTATCTGCAAGCTAAGGAGACAAAAATAACAAAACTTCTTAATCTGCTTCCTTTCCTTTTTCTCCTTGTTTGACTTCCTACTCTCTGCCTCTGGAAGCTGGCAAACTGACAGCTCATAAATCGTCATTCTCTGAAACCAGGAAGAAGCCTCTTTTCTCTTTCTTCAGCTGCAAATCAGTGGTCTGCATGTCTCAGAGTAAAGATGGGTTAAAGCCAACTGTTTCTCTACTGTGTAAATCCTTGGGGTCTAAGGAGACTAGCAGGTCTTCCTCCCATGACCACTTATGCAAGATAGAGCTACCCTAACTCTTATGGGTCAGTGAATCTACACAGGCCCCAAGACCCACAGAGTTCTGAAGTTTGCCTCAGAGCTTCATTCCCAGATTTAGTTAGGCCTAGAAGAGAACTGAGTCCTGAGCTCTAGTCCTATCCCTTATCAAAACCAAAAAGCCAATTGTTCCCACATATCTGCCATTCCCCACCTGCCTGCTAGCATTGATAGCTGTGCTGGTGGACAGATCAAAATTCATATTGGAGGGAGATAAGGGTATGCATTTGCACCACCCTTTCTCCAGAATTCCTCTTGTCCTTTATTCATGGTAGTATTTCTCAAATTGCATGAAATCCTTTGGGAGTTTGAAACATAATAAATACCTTGTGCCTATGAATCTGAACTTAAACATATATGTCTTTTTGGCCCATCAGAATATAACAATAATAATATGTGTTTTATACTGGACAACATGGAAATGTCATTTTTTCCCTAGATACAAAGTTATCAAGTCTTCACTCTATGCCACTTTTCTAAGATAGAAACTTTATAAGAAACAGGATAGGCTGGGAGTGGTGGCTCATGCCTGTAATCCCAGCACTTTGGGAGGTGGAGGTAGGTAGATCATCTGAGGTCAGGAGTTTGAGACTAGCCTGGCCAACATGGTGAAACCCTGTGTCTACTTAAAACACAAAAATCAGCCAGGCGTACTGGAGCACACCTGTAATCCCAGCTACTCAGGAGGCTGAGACAAGAGAATTGCTTGAACCTGGGAGGCAGAGATTGCCATGAGCCAAGATCGGGCCAAGATCCAGCCTGGACAACAATAGCAAAACTCTTGTCAAAAAAAAAAAAAAAAAAAAGAAAGAAAGAAAGAAAGAAAAAGAAAAGAGACAGGTTAAAGTATAAAATAAACCTCAGTTTCTGGCCTGGCCTCTGATTCTAAGAATGCTCACAATGTCTAAAAGGAGGCTTTTCTATGACTGATCACCTGCATATGGACCCCACGGGAAGATGACTTAGTCCAACACTGGAAAGACTTGAGTATTTGAAAACTATAGTATCATGAAATTCTGCAATTTTAGCATTTGGAAGGGTCTTAAAGATCATCTAATCTCTCTCTCGCTCTCTCTCCCACACACACAAACTTCTACACAACTTCTATTTTCTCCTCTAGACTAACAGAATTAGAATAATGTGATTTTTATGAAAGTGACTTATCCAAATTACCCAAAGGTCATCAATATGTGTTTTATAATGGACAACATGGAAATGTCATTTTCCCTAGATATAAACTTATCCAACTTGGTTTTCTGTTATGCTTGGTTAAAAATACATAATAAAATAACATTACATGTGTTTATATACACAAAGAAGTCCATCAAAAATATGTCTGGCAAAAATAAGTGTAATATATAAGGGAGGTAAATGTATGCTATAAGGAAAAAAAAACCCATAAAACTCATGTAGGCATTTTTTTAGTGTAAAAGAAAATAAATGGATGACACTATCTACTTGATAATATTTGAAACTGAAGTACCTAAATAAGCCGTAGAAAATCTGTATCTACTCACTTGAATTGCTATAATGCAATTTCTCAGAGGATTTATATTAGAATCAGATTGACCTTTATACCAATCAGAATATAATAGGTATGGGGAAACTACATTGAACCACACATTTCATTTTTGACTTTGCCAAAAATATGAAATCCATATTGTTTTTAAATAATAGAATTAAATGCATGTGAAATCACAACAAAATCTTAAAGAAAAAAAATTTTATCCTTAGCAAGACATATGTATTAAACTGAATGAACTACAAGGCACAGAAAGAACCATCCATTAAGTCAGGAAGATACAGTGGGTTCTTTCGGAAACAGAATTATGGCTGGGGAATCTGTGTGTGTGTGATAGGCATCTAACATTAGCCATTATTCTGTCATATCTACTTCATCAGTGAGTAAGAAATCTCATAATGTTGAATGAAATTGATCGCTGTTGTTCCTAGGATTCTGTATCAAAACTCTGATATGATATTCTTGCCAAACTACAAATCATCTCTTCAATGCCTCTTTCACAATGCAGTGTGGTGTATCTTCCAGGTTCTTTCAATGAACCAATCTGATGAATGCAAAATTGTAATCTGAAAATATAAAAACTATCTATACTAAGGTATACAGTTTTTAGAAGTAATAAAATATTTTATATCAAGTATATTACTTTTATGTGTTTGATAGGTAAGGGTTAAATATGGATATTAGTTTGTCAAATAATAATAAAATAAAATAGGTTCTCTCGTGTTAAATGCATTTTTAGGTTTCTAAGGACCCTTTAATATTAATGAAACATCGTCATCAAAAGATACATATTAATAGTTGAAATCATTTAATTTTTTTCTAATATTGCAAATAGACACTATGTCCCTTAAAAAACACATAAAACTTGGCTGGAAAAATATTGAAAACCAAAAAAAAATGCATGCCATTCCTACACATCCTATGAGGCACAGTTATTTTATCCCATAATCCATTACAACTGTACCAGTCTTTAAGACCATGGACAACCAGTGTTTAAGACCATGGACAACCAGTCTTTAAGACCATGGACAACCAGTCTTTAAGACCATGGACAACCAGTCTTTAAGACCATGGACAATTTTTTCTCATGAATCTGGGAAAGGGAAGAAAAGTGAAGCTAAGACAGAATTCTAATGCCTCCAACTGCACATAAAAGAGGGATATAAACAACAAAAGATTATGGCCACAAGGCACAATTATTTCACTATGGTATCAGGGGGTCATCGTATGAACCAATTCTAAAACACAACAAAGATTCTCATTTAAGAACAAAATCTTGGGCAAAGGAAATGCATAGAAATTTAACAACAAAGAAATCATAAAGACAAATGGCCACAATTAAACATTTAATTATATTTGTAATTAAAGAAATGCAAATAAAAACAAAAGAAAATTGCTATTTACCTTTCATATTAGCAAATATGAAAAGATTGAAAATACCCAGCATTATAGATGGCACAAAGCACTATCTATCCCACGTAGTATAAGAAAATAAGGTGCCTCTTATCCTAGAATTTTGTTACTAAAAATATATCTTAAGGAGACACATCAATAATTATACAAAGAATTTTAAGCAAGAATGTTCACAAAACATTTTTTAATAGCAGAACTTTGGAAACAACCTAAATTTCTATCAATTACGAATCTAACTATACAGAGGTATCTAAACTACATTTTAAAATGATTATGAATATTGTTTTTCCTGTAAGCCTTTAAATTTACTGCTTTCCATGTATAGATGTGCTCCCCCATACATCTATGTGCTCTCCCACATTTTCCAACACCCTTTTAGTTAAGCCAGATTATATGACTACTTATGGATCATCAGTGGTGACCAGAAGTGTTGGGTGATATTTCCGTGATGAAACATTTAACAGCCAGTACGCGACCCTCCATCACTCTCTGCCCTTGATCTAGAAACTGTATGTTCCAAATAGCAAGGCACATGTTGTCCAGATCATTGAGTCACTGCTTGGAAGATAGCTACTAGGTCCACGACAGACTTTATAAAATCAAGAAACAAACTTAAATGTGTCATTAGTGAGATTTAAGCATTTATGAGTTACTATCACAGAGACCAGCTGACTAATAAAAAGACATTTATAGCAAAAGTAGGATACTTTTGTAATAAAAAAAAAAGAAAATATGTGGCATTGGCTTAGTCATCAGATGGAAGGCAGTAGGAAAACAATTCCCAGACAGTAGTGAGATATTGATTTATGTTTGCAGTAACAAAACATTGGACAAAATTAAAGACTTGATAATTTGAAAGAGATAATGTATCTAATAAACTTGTACCTCTGGGTTCATGATCATGATTAAATGCAGCCAACAGTAAGGGTTAATTGTTAATTGACTGTGTATGACAAGATATCACAAGAAAACAATGAGCTCAGGATAGAATTAGTAAATGCACAATAAGAAATAAAAAGTAATTTGGGCTTTGCAAATTTGCAGAAGATATTTATCCTAGACCTTAAGAAGTGAAAATGAAATTAAAGGTGACTTTGAGTGACACAACAACTTGAATCCTGCATGAAGCTGGAACGGAAGGTTGTGCCCCTGCAGCTCCACCTGCACAGGCCTTTGCCCTTTCTCAAGAGCACCAGCAAATGAACACACCATACCAATAAGTGACGCTCAAGAATATAGATTTCAGGTAATTATGGCAATTCCTAGATCCTGCTCAAAGGACCTTGTCAAAAATCTAATGATAGAGATGTAGACAAAATTAATCTCAGTGAGTTACCATGGGACTAAACTCACACTCCAGTTGGAGCAAGGAAAAGAACTCAAGTCAGTAGAGGAGGAATTTCCAAGTTAGACTTAGCTAGAAGAATTATGGAGAGTTAATGATTAGAAGACAGAGAGAAGGCAGGGTAATCATTCAGTGTGTTCAACAACAGCAAAATTTTGATATGTTCATCAGCAGCAAAATACTGACAGAGATAATGTATTTGAAAAATATAAACACACATATCTAATCTGGGTTTAAAACCCCTTCCTTCAAAAATGTTTCCTGTGAATATGACTCCTATCAAAAGGATATAAAATATTATTTAGAATCAATGTTTTCAAAGAAAAGCCTTTCAAGAAACCAAAGTTTCAATGAAATTAATTAACCTAGAAAATCAACAATTGATTCCAACAGTGAGAAAATGCATACGCAAGCAAATTTTTACAAATATAGTCAAAGTAGATGTTCTAGTTATTTAGCACTTGTCTCTGAATCCCAAATATATCAGTCTTTGCTATTCTCTGTGATTCTGGAGCTAGGACTCTACAAACCACATTTATGTGCAGCTGGCTTTCTGTTAGATCTGATAAATGGGGGCACTTGAATAGTTAAGAGAGAAGTGAAAAGAAGTTTGCTTTTTTCCTGTGCACTTGCTGTTACTGGAAGCATTGTCTCAGCAATGTCTCCTGACCTCAGCAATTGCTGACCTCAGCAATTGATGCCAGTCTCCAGTTTCTTTCAGCTCCTTCAGAATCAACTTCATTGCACCCTCTTCATGGTTTCCAGCAGAATCCATCTAGGCAGCACCTGTCCTCAGAGGCTGAACTCCAGCTCTATAAGTTACTTCCTTCAAAATCTTGAAGTACTAGCAGTAGCCAGGTGTCCTCTTCTAAGAAGTTAGAGTCTCAACCCTGCTGGGCCCCTTTCCTGAAGACCCATCCTGTTATACATTCCCATTTTCTGGCTACATAGTTTATATAGATGTACTCAGCAACTGACAGAATCCCCACATTGGTTCCCTTCCTCATGGAATAAAGGCTATTATGAAAGACAGGACAAAGTGTTATCCACGGGAACTTCCTCTTCCTACATAAGCCTGGGAAATCTGCAGAGAACAGACACCAGAAGAAAGCAGATGGACCTTGGCAAATAAATATGTACTACTATAAATTTAATAAGGCAATTACACCAATTACAGCAGCTGTTCTGGAAACATTGTTTTTATTAGAGCAAATTTTCAAAGACCCTAGTACCTGGTATGCACTTATTGATTTGGAAATTGCTACTTTTTCCTTAAAAATTGTCAAAAAACATGAAGAGTAGCCTACTTTTTCCTGACATGGTCAAAAATTGTTTAGAAAAAATTAACTTCTGTTCTTTGCGTAACTCTAGTCTTCCTAGAGTTGGATTATCACAAAATCACTCAGAATACCTCCTTTCTTTGCCACATTAATATTATCATGAAAATAGGGCCTGAAGAGCAAGAACCAGAATTACCATAGATGATTTAGTAAGATAAACATAAACTAGAAAGTAAAGGAGATAAATCCCATGGAAATTCAGAGACTAATCACTTCAGTGATGTTTCTGGAATCTGGTCATTAAGACATTTCCTCTAAAGTAAAAGACAAATTGCTATATTTTCTCCTTTTATTAAAAAAGATGCACAGTGTTTGGAGATCTCTTTGAATTCTTGAAACAATGTACAGCCAGTCCTCCATATCTGTAGGTTCCATATTCACGGATTCAACCAATAGCAAGTTAAAAATATTTGGAAAATAAATAAATAATACAATACAGATTATAAAACAATTAGTATAAAAACATTACATAGCATTTGCATTGTAGTAAGTATTATAAGTAACCCCACCTCTACTAAAAATACAAAAATTAGCCAGGCACAGTGGCACGCACCTGTCATCTCAGCTACTCAGGAGGCTGAGCCAAGAGAATTGCTTGAATCTGGGAGGTGGTGGTTGCAGTAAGCTGAAATTGTGCCACAGCACTCCAGCCTGGGTGACAGAGTGAGACTCCATCTCAAAAAAATAAATAAACAAGTAACCCTGAGATGATTTAAAGTATACAAAAAGATGTGTGTAGATTATATACAAATATTATGCCATTTTATATAGGGCACTTGAGCACCCACATATTTTTGTATCTGTGGAGTTCCTGTAACCAATGCCCTACAGAAACAGAGGGATGTCTATCTATCACTTTGGAATGTGCTATTCTTACTAATTTACAAAGGAACTTTAAGATTAACAGTTTTGAATGGGACTCAGAGCAAGAGAGGGGCCTGTAGTTGGCCCAGGCTTTAATGTGAATTACTCTGCTCCTTGAGCCTCTCGACACAACAGATCTAATGCTACAGTGTCTAAGAAAAATAGGGATATTATATACAGCTCTGGCAATCCCCAACAGTACAGACCCATAGGAGTTGGGAACAAAACCATGGTTCTCTTACATGGGAATTTATTTTTTTGAGAAATACTTCCTTGCTTGCTAGGTGGTCCTGTTCCATTTCTCCTCCATGAATGTCAAGTGACAATGCTCTCTCAGCATAGACTGGGCATTATCTGATACACCAGTCCATAAAGATCAAGCATGTATGGTGGCAATTCATCATCAAATAGAAATGATTCATAAGAGATTGTACTCAAGTCAGGCAAGAAGGCACGAGAGGTGCCTACAATTCCCGCAATACCTACTGCTTCTCCATTGTCTCTTCTCCTTCACTCTACATTGTTGCAGGAAGTCAGAGACCCCAGATGGAGGGACCGGCTGAAGCCATGGCAGAAGAATGTGGATTGTGAAGATTTCATAGACATTTATTAGTTCCCCAAATTAATGCTTTTATAATTTCTTATGCCTGTCTTTACTGCAATCTCTAAACATAAATTGTAAAGATTTCACGGACACTTATCATTTCCCCAGTCAATACCCTTGTAATTTCCTATGCCTGTCTTTACTTTAGTCTCTCAATCCTGTCAGCTGAGGAGGATGTAAATTGCCTCAGGACCCCGTAATAATTGCATTAACTGCACAAATTGTACAGCATGTGTGTTTGAGCAATATGAAATGTGGGCACCTTAAAAAAAAGAACGGGATAACAGCAATTGTTCAGGGCATAAGAGAGATAACCTTAAATTCTGACCACCGGTGAGCCAGGCGGAACAGAGCCATATTTCTCTTCTTTCAAAAGCAAATGGGAGAAATATCGCTGAATTCTTTTTCTCAGCATGGAACATCCCTGAGAAAGAGAATGCCCACCTGAGGGTAGGTCTCTGAACTGGCCCCCCAGGCATGGTCGTCTCTTATGGTCGAGACTGCAGAGGTGAGATAGACTCCAGTCTCCCATAGCGCTCCCAGGCTTATTAGGAAGAGGAAATTCCTGCCTAATAAATTTTGGTCAGACCAGTTGATCTCAAAACCCTGTCTCCTGATAAGATGTTATCAATGACAATGGTGCCTGAAACTTTATTAGCAATTTTAATTTAGCCTCAGTCCTGTGGTCCTGTGATCTCACCCTGCCTCCACTTGCCTTGTGATATTCTGTTACCTTGTAAAGTACTTGATGTCTGTGACCCACACCTATTCACATACTCCCTCCCCTTTTGAAACTCCCTAATAAAAACTTGCTGGTTTTTGTGGCTTGTTGGGGCATCATGGAAACTACCGTCATGTGATGTCTCCCCCGAATGCCCAGCTTTAAATTTTCTCTCTTTTGTACTCTGTCCCTTTATTTCTCAAGCTGGCCAATGCTTAAGGAAAATAGAAAAGAACCTACGTGAATATCGGGGCAGGTTCCCTGATACTACATCTATGCCCTCATGAAAAGTTCTGATGACCTATTGACAAGGGAAGAAAGAAAAACTCAGACTTTTAGTGATGGCTCTGCACTATATTCCTGAATCAACAGGAAGTGAACTTTGTAGCATCATAGTTCCATTCAGAAGTATCCGTGAAAAGCAGTGGTGGAGAGAAATTCTTTCAAGAGAAAAATTTTGAACCATAAATACGATTTTTCAATTTGTCTGGACTAACTGGATGGCCTGAGTATGTGTCTATCCTGATGCATGTTAGAGTAGTTAACAGTCCAACAAGATTTTTAGTGACTTGGAAAGGAGAGATTAGAGGATTAGTGAGAAGGTTTGGAGAAGAGACATGTAGATGAACCATTGCAACAGGGACAGCATATAAAGATCTTTGTAGCCCATGTTAATGTTTGTCAAAGGCATTCACTGTCAAGGAGTCTTTCAAAACTCAGTTGGAAAGGATAATATGCTTTATTGTTCTCAGACAATCTCCTTCCTCAGCCACTCAATAGTTGTTCAGTGGATCATGGACATACTAAAATTGTCTATGGTGACTGCTCTTCATGGGTCAACAAATGAACATTTCCTCATCAATTCTAATCTTTATATTGCTACTATTGCTACTTAGTCTGCCAACATCAGAAACCAAAACTGATCAGCATTCCTCAGGAGTGGTAGAAAGACTGGCCAGATTCTGCTATGTGACACCAAAGAGAAGATTCCCACAAATAGGCAGAACTATGAGACTGTAAGGCAAGAGGTTGGAAGATGGATTTAGTCCCTCATAGTTTCTTTCTATTCTCATCAGCATTCATCCCAGCTATAGTCCTTCATCCCAGAAGCAATAGTTCCTAGTCCCTGGCTATTTTGATATTCCTAGGACCAGCCTGATCATAGCCCATCAAAGCTACCAGCCACAGACAAAATGTCCTCTTCTCACAGGTCTGAGCCCAAGTTTTTCAAGGATCTTCCTTTGATATTCTGCCAACATCAGCCAACAACAATTATCTCTTAAATGTGTGAATTCCAGTTTGACAAGCCCCTCCTTCATGTTTCTAGCCTATAATATCCCCAAACTCTTCCTATTTTTCCCTAGCCGTGGTGGTGATCATTTCTTCCTGCAATTATTATCTCTGTGGGACTTCAGTGTCCTTTCTGTTAAGTCTCCAAAATCTTTTTAAATTAATCCCTACATTAAATTATTTCTACACAAACACCGACTATGATTTCTGTGTCTCTGACTAGAACTAGAAAATACAATGAGAAGGTCCATATTCATAATCTTATTCCGCATCGGATGTCTGAAAATTTTTAGCGCCACCTTGTCTATAAGCATGAAAAAGGCTTTGAAAATAATGAGGTTTTTATTTCAACTATGAAGACTCAGATGATGGAGAAACTCTATGAATGTAATAATGAATGTGGGAAGGAGAAACTCTATGAATATAATAATGAATATGGGAAAACTTGCAATTTAAGTCAGCCCTCAATGATTATCAGAGAACATAAAAATACAGGGTGAAAGAGCCCTAAAAATATAATGAAAGTGATGAACATCTTCCATTTGAAATTTATCTCACTAAAAATTAGCCAACACCTACTGAGGATAAATCCAATGATTGTCACATATGTGGAAAAATCTAACTACAGCCAGCATCAACATTTATTACAAACAAAACAGAAAAAGTGTATGAATGTACTAATCGAGATAAAACTTTTCATGTGAACACATATGTCACTTTACATAAGAGAACATACACAAGGAAGAAACATATAAATGTAATAAATGTGGGAATGCCTTTAGCAAAGAGTTTCATGTCATTATTTATTGAAACACTCACATCAATGACATCTTTAGACCCAGGAAACTGGTGGTTTTTCTCAAGTACCATAATTTGAAAGGCTGCTTTTGATCTTCTTCAAGCCATAGCCTTCCATGGTGCCTGAGCCCATAGAACCTAAAAACCTGTGGCATCTGTTCTAAAATATGCTTTCTGTATCCCAGAACTCATAACCTCCTGTCCAAATAGCCCAGAGCCAATTGTAGGGCTTGCAGCCTGTTACTCAAGTTTGTCCTCCAGGAACAGAGGACATGCAACAGTATGTAATCCTTTAGGCTTATATAATGGACAGGAAAAGACTTTTGGAAAAAGCATGAATATACACAATGGAGTGCCACATGCCCTCGCAAAAGGCCTCTGACAAGTCAGGATTATTCTTGATATGAGAAGAGAGGGGGCAGGTAGGATCCAGGCCCAGAGGAATTCAGCCACCTAGTGATATCGCCTACGAATGCAAGAACCAACACACAGGCACTGATGAATGAGAGAATTAAAATAGGAGTAAAATGTCATAAACATTTGAAAGCGTGAATGTGTTCAATGATAAATCAAAACCTATTCTATATCAAAAGATTCATGCTTGGGAAAAATCTTATCAAATATGATATTATGAAAAAATATAACTTTTCTGCTAGATATAATTTTGTTATAAATCATGTTTCAGGTGTGATACCAAACTTTTTATAGAAAATTTCATACTTTTTTCATTAATAGGTTTAGTCACTGTGAAATATGAAGCTATTTAAAAAGAATGTGAATAATTTAAATGTCAGGCCATATATGTTAGACATATACATAAATTATTCTTGGAATAATAATTTATACAACAAAAATATAGCTATATTGGATTTGCTTGTTAATCCACCTAACCATAACTATGAAATTAATATTGTAACTGGATAAATTTATTAGTATTTTCTAGATTAATATCACCAGTATAGTATAATATACAGTGAAAATAAAATAACATTTAAGTACTTTAAACTGTCATTCCACAAACCTTTTCTCCTATTACTTTTTGGCAAATATAAGTAGCTCTGACTAACTAACTAAATTGTACCTTCAATAAAAATCTACCACTTTGTTAAAGTTGAAAAAAAAAGAAGTTTGAATGAAAAATACACAGCAAAACATATCATAAATTCAAAGTTTCAGGGCTAAAATTAAAGATATTGTCAAGAGGTGTTTTTGAAACACATTGTACTAAAACCTAGATTAAGGACAAGACTTGGCAGTAAAAAGATAACTAAGTAAATACTGTATCTCAGGGAGAGATTGGAGACTTATCTCCTTGGTGGCATGTGTTATCTTCCAAAGGGGAATGAAAGCTGGGGCCATGGAGATATTCCAGCAGTTGTAACCAGTAGAAATTTGCTGTATCCATTCCCAACCTTGCAGTTGTTTATTTATATTCCAGAAGGTGAAGACTAAGGATATTTGCCTTATCTTTCCATTGAATATTTGTTAACTGAAGGAATAAAATGTTTGTTTCATTTCTCCGGAGGACAAAAGAAACAGTTGTCCTTCTATATAATGTTTCAGATTCATATTTTTGGGGTTCCTCATTTAGAGTATAGATCAATGTACATGTAAGATGACAGGTATGTGTATTTCCTCACATCACCCAAGAATAGAAAATAATTAGTGAACCAAAGCAGTAATTAATATAAGTAATAATATGTTCACGCCCCAGAAACCTTGTGTCTACTTTCAGAATAATACAGATATAGATATTAAAAACTTAACTGGTTTCTTTAAGCAGTGTTTTGTGGTTCTCCTTATGGGAATCTTTCACCTTCTTGGTTAGATTAATTCTTAGATATTTCATTTTCTTTGTGGCTACTGTAAGCGGGATTGTGTTCTTGATTTGGTTCTTACTTAGAATATTATTATTGATAGAAATGCTACTGATTTTCCTACATTGATTTCATATCCTGAAACTTTACTGAATTCATTTATAAGCTCCAGGTGCCTTTTGGCAGAGTCTTTAGCATTTTCTCTGTATAAACTCATATTGTCAGCAAGAGAGATAGCTTGACTTATTATTTTTTCCTATTTTGACACATTTCATGTCTTTCTCTTGCCTGATTGCTCTGGCTAGGACTTCCATCATTATGTTGAGTAGGAGTGGCGAGAGTGGGTATCCTTGTCTTGATCCAGTTCTCAGGGGGAAAGGTTCCAGCTTTTGCCCATTCGTTGTGATGTTGGCTGTGGGTTTATCATAGATGGCTCTTATTATTTTGAGGTACGATCCTTTGATGCCTAGACTGTTGAGGGTTTTTATCACAAAGGGATGTTGGAGTTTATCAAAGATTTTCCGAGTCTATTGAGATGATCACAGGGTTTTCGTTTTTGATTCTGTTTATGTGATGAATCACATTTATTCATGTATGTTGAACCAAACTTGCATCCCAGAAATAAAGCCTACTTGATTTTGATGAATTAACTTTTTGATGTGTTGCTGGATTTGGTTTGCTAGTATTCTGTTGAGAATCACTGCATCTATGTTTATCAGGGATATTGGTCTGAAGTTTTCCTTTTTCATTGTCTCTGCCATATGTTGGTATCTGGATGATGCTGACTTCATAGAATGGGTTAGGGAGAAGTCTGTCCTCCTCAATTTTTTAGAAAAGTTTTAGTAGAAGTGGTATTAGTTCTTCTTTGTCCATCAGGTAAAATTTGGCTGCAAATCCATCTGCTCCAGTGCTTTTTTTGATTGGTAGGTTTTTTATTACTGATTCAATTTCAGACTTCCTATTGGTCTATTCAGATTTTCACTTTCTTCCTGATTTAATCTTATGAGGTTGTGTGTCTGAGAATTTATCCATTTCCTCTAGATTTTCTAATTTGTGTGCATAGAGGTAATCATAGTAGTCCCTAAGGATCTTTTATATTTCTGTGGGATTGATTATAATATCATCTTTGTCATTTCTAATTGTGCTCATTTGGATCATCTCTTTCTTTAATTTAGCTAATAGTCTATCAATTTTGTTTATTTTTTTTAAAAAAAACTATTGGTTTTATTGATCTTTTGTATGGACTTTTAGGTCTCAATTTCATTCCATTCTTCTCGATTTTAGTTATTTCTTTTCTTCTACTATCTTTGGGGTGGAACTGTTCTTTTTTTCCGTAGTTCCTCTGGTTATAATGTTAGGTCATTAATTTAAGATTTCTAACCTCTTGATGAAAGTGTTTAATGCTATAAGTTTTCTTCTTAACACTGCTTTAGCTATGTCCCAAAGGTTTTGATAATTTGCATCTCTACATTCATTTATTAAAGAAAAAAATCTTAGCTGATATTGCCTTCCTAGTTCCTGTTCCGGATAGTCTCAAATTACCCATTATTAAATTGTGAGAGAAAAATTTAAAGGGACGAAATGAAACAGATGGAAGAAGTGTGCTTATAAAAGAACTATAGATGAGATTGCTGCATGTAGAAATGAAAGTAATCTAAAAAATGGGAAGCCTTTTGAGATTATGAGTAAGTTTTACTCTCAAGTAAATCATATTGTGTCTTTAAAAGCCTGATTGTTCATTGCTTAAAACAGCTCTTGACTCTACAATCCTTGTGGAGTAGCCACAAAGGATTTACAGTAGCCACAAAGAAAATGAAATATCTAAGAATTCATCTAAACAAGAAGGTAAAAGATTCCCACAAGGAGTGGGCAGAAATTAAATTGAAAAATCTATGCAGCCACCAAGGAAAACAAAAGCCTGACATCCACTTTAAATGTACCTAAGATCGATAGAAAGAGTCTCCAGATAGACAAAATCTGGAAGCCTCAGAATCAAGGGCAAATAAAGATATTTTGTCTTCTCAGAGTCTAACCTCAGGACTCCCCACACTCCTAAGGTAAGGAATTTTCACAGTACCTGCCCAGCAGAATTTCAGAATTGTTTTACACCAGTGATATACAGTACCCAAAAGAAAAACAGAGATATTTATTGGTCACCAAACATCCATGTGTTCTAGTTTTCTCAGCCCCTTTGCAGTTAGAAAAACTGTGCTATACGTTTTAAGCAACAGACTGTAAGCAGAAAAGATATGAGTTACTTTCTGGCGGTGCAACAAAGGAATTAAAAGCTAGTTCGCTCTTCTCCACTATGGTCATCTAAGGGCCAGATGGTGTTCCTACATAATACGACTTGGGTCCCACACCTTAGAAGAAAGCTACTCTTGAGAACTGTTGAACTGATTGCAAACTTTGCATGAGTGAGGAATAAGTATTGTACTATGTTAAACTACTGAAATTTGGAGGTTTTGTTGCCAAAACATTGCCTATCCCTCCAGGTCTCCATCAGGAGCAATTCCGCCACTCCTGCCTCCCAGAGACCTTTGGCCATGTCTGAAGATATTTTTGGTTGTCACAACTAAGAAGAACATGCTACTGGCCTCCAGTGGGTAAAGGTCAGGGATGTTGCTAAATAACCTGCAATGCACAGGAAAGCCCCCCAAACAAAGAATTACGTGGCCCAAAATGTCAACAGTACCACTATTGATAAACCCTGACCATGTCAAACCTGACTAACACAACATTGAAATGGCCCATGACATATCATTCAGTGAAAAGTTGCATATTTATTCTGATAAAATTTATATACCATTTTGAGAGTACGTGAATCTCTGCATCCACTCATGCATATGTTCTATTCTTCCCATAGTAATCAGAGTAATTTTTCATTTCAAATGTAAAGCAAATCACATCACTTTCCTGCTAAAAATTTGCAAGGATATCAGTCACACTTATAATAAAATCTCTACTTTGTACCTCGGCCTAGGAGACACCTGCCCTCCTACCTAATCCAACATCATTGCTATCCCTCTGGTCCATTTTTATAGGCCTTTCTACTGTCCTTCTAACTCGCCAAGAACATTCCTGCCTTGGAGCTGGAGGATTTTGTTTTATTCCTGATCTGTTTATTTTCCAGACAGTTGACAACTCTCTCCTCAAGTGAGGATTCTGCTTCAATGTCTTCTCCTCAGAGGGTTCTTCTCTGATTACCCTTACCTGAAACAGACCCCTACCTCAGTTATCCAGGGATTTTTACTTTCTTATCATTTTGTACATCGTTTAATTTTCTGTGGCACATGTGTTACCTTTTGGAAACCAGTTTTTCTTTTCAAATTTGAAGGACGTATGCAAAGGTTGAATTTTGGAGGTGGTTCCTCTATTACATCCATAAATAGAGAACATTTGTGAGAAATTTCACATTTTGGCCTGTTATACTTCCTTGGAATCAAATGCAGCATCCTAGGTTCGTCTAGTTTTGTATTTCAATAAGGATTTCTTCGGTGAATATTAAATCCATTTGAGTAAATAAAGGAGTAGAAGAAACATTCCCTAATACCTCAAAAAGTTTCAACTTAAAGTACCAGGATCAAGATAAATACTTTTTTAAAGTCCCACAAATAACACGTGGTTATAAAATAATAAGATTTCTACCCAGACTCAAACTTCAGAACAGCTCTTAGAAACTACAAGCAGTCCTATATTCAGCACTAATGGGCTCTGAATGAACTCTAAAACAATGATAAGGAAAACATGAATTTGTCCTAATGAGAAACTCTGGGTACAAGGCATGTTTGAGATAATTTAAAAATAATGGGCATTGAGTATTAAGAAAGGATGTTAATCTTCACTAATGAATGAGACTGTATTACAATGTTATAATTAAAATGCCTGTAGTTTCTTTTTAAAATTACAAGCTTAAACAAATTATGTAAGCTTTATGGGAAAGTCCAATCACAGTGTACCTCTGAAGAAAAATCCATAGTGTATATGGGCAGTAAATGAAAGAGAACATGCTTTCCTCATATACCAGAATGAGAAATTTTCAAGGGATGAAAACAATATTGAAACTAAAACAGTGTGTGTTATCAGATTATAAACAGTTGTAATAAAAACAATATCCTAAACAAATAATGTAAAAATAAAAAACTTTCAAGTACTGTTCTTGGAATAGCTCAGTTAGTGTGTTCAGATTTTTTTCATTATGTCTAATAGGAGAGGAAAATACATATGGAAGGCTGAAAAGCATTGCAATTTTTTTAAAAAACTAGATACTATTGACAAAATTGATACAGAATTCTCAAGCAAGACCCATGTTAGCATGTCTATTAGATTTGTAACTTTAAGAACATGCCTACCAAAATACGGAAACATTTACAAAAACTACAGCTCCCTTAAAGAGGTAAAATGCCTATTTATGTAAATGATCATTCAATCAAAATAGAACAAATAATATTGAGATGATTTGTCCAAGTATCTGAGCAGGTAATGAAATCAAATTCAATAAGTCTGTAATGTGACGAAGCTATATTTAATCGATTTTTTTTTTTTTTTTTTACTTAGTAGACTTATGCCATTGAATGATGTGAATATAAACAGAATACAATAGATGCTTTCTATTAAGGTTTTATTAATGGTTTTGACATGATTTCCCCTGATATTTGACCTTCAAAATTAGTACAAATTATTTTAGATATGAACTCAATCCTAAAAATGGAAAACTGATTTTCGGATTAAGCAAAAGTTAACCACAAATTAATATTAATGGAGCCAACTGGATAAGGCTTCAATCAGCTCACATTAGCAGTGAACTTTGGGATTGGAAAGCATTGGATTTAATGGTAAACAAAGCATTTAGTTGAGTACTTACTAATGGGCAAAAAATGAGGTTTAATTACATTTGCTGATTATATTAAAATGGGAAAGTGGTGAGAAATGACAGAAGGTATTGTGCTGGGTTTTAGCAAAAATGAAATTCTAGGTGTGGGAGACAGGTAATTTAAACTAATATTGATTGGGATTCTGTCTCAGTGAGTTGATATTCAGGAGCTTGTTTTATGTAGTTTGTTCTAAAGGAGTCATTTTTCTTGCCTGAGAAAAGCAACAATGATAAAAAAGTAGGCAGATTTGGAGGCTGTTTATAATTCTATATTTTGTGAATTCATAAAACTTATTTTAATGTAGAAGTTGCTTGACAGACTTTAGGTGGTCAAAAAGGGTCAAAATGGAAGTAAAAATATAATTTGGTCATTTATTTATTCTACGCATATTTATCTTGCCTAATCTGTGCCAAGCACTGTTCTAACAGTTTAGAATATTGGTGAACAAAACAGACTAATTCCTGACACTCCATGAAACTTAAATTCTAGCAAAATTATTTCCTCTTGGGTTTTTTTTTCCTTTCCTGTTGACACCATAGAATGTTTCATAGGAAGGCATGATAGCCATCCCCCATGCTATGAGACTAGAGTCGGAGACAGGAATTAGCATTTATGCAGCATCTACTGGTGTTCTGAGTTGGATCTTAAGGGGATGCAGAGATGAAAACCACCTACAGCTGCTGGGAAGTATTTAGGGACAACAAGTTGTCAACAAGAGTTACTTGAGACTTGATAAGAAATTCTTTTAACAGGTAGATAAGGGAAGAGAGACCTAGAAGGAGAGAATAGCATATGCAAATACAGAGGGGCATGAGAAAGTATGACATATTCCATGCAACACAAAGAATGGTAAAAGATGAAGGTAGGCAAAGGCCAGATCATAAGGAGCCTTGCACAGCATGCAAATAAATTTAGAATGATAGCATTGTGAAAGGGGACTCATTGAAGGATTTGTGACAGGGAAATAACATCAGATTTGTATGAGGCTCATGCTGGTGAAGAAGAAAATGAGCCTAGGTACAGGGAACTGATAAGTCTATTGCAGCAGCCCTGGGTACAGATGAAAAACCTGTCATCCAATATGGGAGCTACTAGTCACATGCGCTATATAAATGCAAATTGAAGCTGAATGAAATTGAAAATCTAGTCTCTCAATCATATTAATCATATTTCACCTATTGTATAATGCAAATGTGGAACATTTCTATCATCCCAAGCATTCTACCTAACTTTGGACAATAGTCACCCCTTCTGGGGAAGAAAGTGAGATTATCCTTAGGGAGGAAAGAAGGGTATTTTAGGGCAAAATAACTTTAGAATTTACCCTCTGTATGTCACTATGTTTTTTATTCTTTTACGACAAAAATGTTTTCAAGTGCCATTTGAAAAAACTGAAAAAAAAAATCAAAGCCTACAGTTGGCATTTATCATGGGGATGAAAAGGAGGGAATATGGTCAAAGAAGTAGATCAAACCTCTCTTCAAGTGTTGTTGCCCATGTTTAATGCTCTCTATTTGACCTTGACTATAAAATCCAGAATTTAAAGTATAAACTCTGAATTTGTGAAATACTTACTAGCACTTACTGTAGAAAAGTTATATTTAATATGAAAACCATTTATGTCATATGATATTAAACCTTCTTTATTATTACTGGTATTTGAGGAAGAAGTAAACACTCAGTGGAATGGAATTACACTGACCATAAATTATACATGGAGATTTGGACAGAAGACAAATGTATTTACCTAATCACTATCTAGAGAGCAAGCAGATAAGCAGACAGAGATGTGGCATGGCCCTCAGCCAATATGGACACATACCAGCACAATCACCTGTCAGTGATGCCATGTTTCTTGGGCAGGGGTGCCACTCCTGCTGAGTATTTGGGGGATTCCCAGTGAGCTCAACCAGAGTAGGCAACAGGGAGTTCTTGCTCTCTAGCTGCCAGACTGCCAAGCCAACAAGTCAAGGAATCCTTCACAACATGCTGCCAAGGCAGTTTTTGCACTTGATTCTTATCTAGCTTTCCTGGTGTGGTGAATATTATGTTGCTTCTTTAGCCAAAATAATGCAAATCAAAATTAAGGGTAAAAATAAAATGAATACATACATTGGAAAAATCAGCAGGATTCAGAGCTAAATTCGAAAATGGTTTCAGATGGTTTCCAATTCACATTTCCTCTCAAAATACAAAATGCATACTTTAAAAGAAATTATTTTTAATCCTTGAAATTAAAAGATGGACCCCCTCCTAGAAGCAAACATAAAATTTTATGTTATCTGTAATAAATGAACCACTTATCAATAAACTAAAAACCTTAAGCATTCCCTAATTCCTGTCAGCTGCAGAATCAGTTGGATTTAGATTGCTTCTATAGGGAATGTTCCAATTTTTATTTTTGCTACAAAAACAAGACAAGCTAGGAATGCAGTACAGAGATTAAATTACATAGTTATCCTAGCAAAGATGTTCTGCAACATGTTTCATTATAATTGTTTCAGAAGTGCTGAAAATCATTTATATTTACCATATACCCATGTTTGCCTAAGAAAACTGGAAGTGGTATCTAAATATAGATAGAAGTATATATCATCCAGCACATTACAGCTTTTTTCTTATTTATTATGTGAAAAGAAAATAAATATTACCACATGACTATTTTTTAGTTTTAAAAAGGAAAGATAAAATATTAATAACTCAAAAGTAAATACACTTCCTGTGATATAAGTAATACAATCCAAGCCACCTGACCTTTTGTTTGAGATTAAAACTCTTAAATATGAAGGAAATATAAAAAGTATCCCTTAAAAGTAAAGTGAAAGATTGATGATATTCTCGTTATTCTAACACTATAATCAGTAGAGTAATTTTCTCTATTGTTTCTAAGCGAGACCTCTGCTGGCTTTTCTGAACAGTGTGCTGGTCCATTTTCAGTCTCTGAAGGTCAACTGGAGTTTCTGCACCTCCACAGCCCATCTTTCATATCCCGAACCCGCTGCTATCAAAGACACACACCTCAGGCCAAACTGTATAATAGTGGTTTCCAGCAGCGACAGCGGGCATTTTGGCTGGGTCTATACAGACAGCTGGATGGTGGTTCACACTTCCCCAGCAGGGCAGGTCTGTCACATAGACCTGAAGCTTGAGGAATTTTGGAATTGTGTGTCCTACTTTGGTTGATTATAATTTTCTGTGAATTCAAAGAAGTTGTACATGAAAGACAATATATATGTTTCCACATCAGTATATATTTTTCATACTGACATGAAAGAATATGTGTGTGGCTGCGTATGTATATGTAAACATATATACATATGTATGGTACATGCATATATACATTTGATTCAGTTACACAAATATATATTGAATACCTTCTGTGTACCAGTTTATATATGCTTATAAGCTGAGATCCATGATTTTTTAAAGCTCACAGTCAAACTACAATGTTGGCTACCTTCTTGAGTTAAAAGTTTGCCTGATGTAATTTTATTTTGTTTCGAAAATAGAACATAACTTGAGCTTAATTGGAAAAAAAAATGTGATGCACTAGTCAAAATAATGGGTAGATTTTCTTCTATAAAGTTTCCTATGATTTGTTGAAAACATCTGATGATAAAATCCCAATTCCCTTAAATTCATTCACAAATATGAATAGCTTTTCTTTATTTATGTACAAATCAAAGATTTGAAATGTTGTGCCGCTCATCAGTTTCACATTCATCTAGATACCTCTCTCGTTAAGACATCTGTCCAAGTAGTAAGGAGGAAATGCTTTAAAAACTTGCTCATTATTAGCCACCTTTAGTCTCACCCAGCCCAGAATTTCTCCTGAACTGAACGAAGTGCTTTTTATTCTGTATCGTTTCGAAATTGCTTATTTAAAAATGAAAAACCACAACAAAGCTGCAAATAATAAATATGACATAAAATTAGTTAAGAAAAACAGGTGATGAAAACCAAAATAAAACAAGATTTAAAATTCTATAACCCTGCACCATTTCTTTTGTCACTAAAACTTAATTTGAATACTAAGCAATATCGTGTGCCACTCTCTGTATCTAGTCTTCTCTCACTCTCTACAAGCCAAATTTCTTTAACTAGCTCTTACTCAAAAACAATCAATTATTTCTTGCTCATCTTTCTCCACACTATATTAATGAGTTGGAATAAAAAAAAAGCCTGTAAGCTGATATTCTCTAGTGTGCCACAATTTTTTCTCCATTCATAAACCACAGCATCATACAGACTAACTCTTCAACCTGTCCCCAACTCCCCACCTCTCCTTTGTCTTTCAATCTCTAGTAACATCTTCCCCCTCAAGCTCTACTGGAATCACATCACCATTCTCGAACACCGTAATTTAATAGTGATTTCTATTTCTCTTTGTCATCACATTGACTCTTGATCACATGTTCTCTTGCCTCACCCAGTTATGAAGCTCTGACTACAAATTAAGAAAAGACTTTCAAACCCACCGCCTCATGTATTTCCTGACTTCATATCTGTACCAACTGCCACAATTCTAACATGCCATAAGGATGACTCTGTTTAACTTCATGAAGTACAAACACAAATCCTTCAAATTTCACCCACTTTAATAAGACAATGTTTCTAATTATGTTAGCACAAATGAGGCATCTCTACAACTACATGTGCCAACACTCAGAGAATGAAAGCATTTCAGAGCTGAAAAGGACCTTAGAGATCAATGGGCAGGTCAGACATTCTTTTTCTCAATTAGGTTCACCACCAATTATCTCAAGTAACTTGCCTAAGGTCAGATGGGTAGCAACAGAAATGGTTCCAAAACCACAGCTTCCTAACTCTGATTCCAAAATCTTCCTTCACAGAGGAACATGCATCAAAATGGTTTCCTGTAGTTAGTCTCTCATGAACACCCACTGCCCTTCTTATTTTCATCATCCTTCCTCCTGTTTACACCATCCTCCCCTACTTCCCTTCTGTGTGTTTTTCCTTCTATTTATTGTCTCTGTCTGGCTTTCTGTTAACTATTCCAAACTTGAAGTCTTTCAATTCTCTGCGGCATTTATTTTCTTTAAATACCTACAGTGTTTTATTTCTATTTCTCCTGTTGAATTTATCATAATCTACCACAAACAAGGGTTATTTATATTCTTGTTGTATCTTGCTATTAGGAAAGCAAGTTATTTGAGGAAGGACTCATGGTTTCTTACAAGCCTTCATAGGCTTTTTGGCTCTTAATAAGTCAGTGTTCAACTGAATACAATTCCATCTATCATAGGATATAACTGGATGAGAAGCAAATTGGTTACCACTCAACAGTTAATCTATCTGATTTGCCATGAGCCTAGGGCAGTTTTTTTGAGCTCAGTATTTCTTATTTTTTGTTATTTGCTGGGCCACGATAATAAACTATAGCAAATAGCAACAGAACTTTTTCAGTCACATCCAATTCAATCAAGTTGTAGATCATAAACTCCCAGAAATAAAGCATTTCTATTTTCTTCACTTCATATTATCTGTAACAGAGTCACATTCAGAAAAGACTCAGTGTATATGTTTATGTTAATGCCAGTGCTAATGCTGGAACAGGAAGAGACTATGAAACATCTGGGTTCAAAATTATCAGAATTACATCAGTACTCCAGAATTCTGACTTATGATATAAAAATTTTACTTTGTGCTTGTTGTGATTGACAGTAAATTTTTTAAAGGAATCTCAATTTGTGTTTTCTATTGTGTCATTTTAATATTATGTAGTCATCTAAGATATACTAAAGGTGACCACAATTTTAGAATATGCATAGCAGAGATTAGTATGGAGTTGATTATCAACAGAAGCTAAATGAATAAATTATTGACTAATTTACACTAGCCTGTCCCCGAATCCATTATTTTGGAATCATCTGTGATACTTATTTCTTCCATGAGAAGAGGAATTTAGAAACTCTTATTCCATTTATTTTGTAGTGGGTGAAAGTAACGCAAGCAATTTTCCATAAGCACAATAGCTTTTCTTTTAGAACACCGTAAATCTGAAATACTTCCTGTCTGTCTTAACAACATTCCTGAATGATCATCTTAAGAGCTGGGTTTCCCATTGTGCTTACTAGTCTGTAAGCACAGCAGTTGCTTCAGTATGTATGCTACTACTGCCTCGTTCCTATATGGTAGAACCTCACCATCCCAAATAAGTCTGGGCAACCCTTGTAAGAAAAAAAAAAATACGTTCTATAATCTTTATAAACCAAAGCACTACATGTATTCAGTTCAGAGCCAGATTTTCTGGAAAGAAAAAAAAAAGTTGCCTAAGATATATTGTGTTTCAATAGCTCACATTTCTTAGATAATGAAGAGAAAATATGAAATATGTTCTCAAAGATTGACTCTTTGATAACCTATTGTTAAGTAAAATGCCTATTGGCATAGACAAATGTATTTTAGCAGATAATTTCTATCTGATTATGTTTACATTCTTGTTTGTGGGTCCGCCTATATCAACACTTACTTGTTTTTGTAACTGTCTCTGTTCTTGGTGTATGTATTACCGTACTTCACGCAAAGTAAAATTAAGTGGGGGTTACTTAGCATTTATTAATGATGCACAAATCTAAATGTACCTTGTAAATGTAAATTGACATTATATAGTTAGATCACCCAGTAAAACAAAGCCTATCTTTAAGGTAAACTTCTGATAAAAATCTACTCAAATGTTATAAAAGAGAAGTTACTGACCCAGGAGTATGAAACTTTTACACCCATGAATCTGACATAGAGGGAGTTATATAAGGGTTGGAAAACCCCTGTATCAAATGGTGCATTAAAAGTATTTATTCACCTTCAGGTAGTGCAATGTCTTTCTCCAAAAGTTATTTTTATCACCTCAGCACCCTTTGTACACATAGCCATTGAACTGACAAGTAATCCTATTAAGTAGTCAGTGGATGTTAGTAATCCAAGGTTTAGAAACGGCTACATAATAATTCATCCTAAATATATTTCATAAGGGTTAATTACAGAGCAATAATACTTGCATACAAAGAGACCATAGAGATGCAACGATGGGTTTGATTATGTCTAGAAAAGTTCTGAATAGCTTAGTGAGTAAAGCTATAATTATTTGCAGCAATATTTTTATATCTATTGCCATGAGATTATTAACTTGTGTTTATATAATGTCTTTCTTAGATTAATTGGAAATGCTCCATTTGAAATCACAGCAGTCTCTAGAGAATGCTGCTAAAATGTTTTATCCATTACAAATAATTCAAAGCCAGTTAGCTGGCCAATGAAAAAATTTAATGCTTTAGGAAGTCTCTTCTAAACACTTATGTTGGGCCACCATGCATGTCTGTATCTGGTTTTTGAATTAAACCTCCGTGTAGAATATTCTATGTTAGGCCACAACTAGAAAAATGAATAGACTCTGTGTCACACAAGCGATTACAATGATTTAAATGATCCATCAGCTATTTTCATTGTGTTTTCTTTGTGTGCATAGAAACAACTTGCTTGGAGACTGAGCTCAAAAAGAAAGAATCACCTTATATTTTAATTGTATATTTCATGGCCTTTAATACTGATAAACAATTGTTATATATACTGTTAAACAATTGTTATATAATCCCATGGGATCCTCAGAAAAATTCTATAGATCTTCACAAGTAATAACAATAGCTACTGTTTATTTAGTAACTGAAATGTTACTAAATATGCTAGGCATACTAAACATGCTAGGCATACACACAATTTTTTAACTTTCTTAACAATTGTAGTGTGCACTATAGTGTGCACCTAGACTTCCCCTTCAGGACCAAGGCATTTGTTTGCAAGCTGTCAGGAGGGTTACCTTTCAAACTACATCCTAGGAATTTCCTTTGGCCAAAGACAGCTGTCTTCCTGGAGATTACACACCCTTTTCTCAGGGCAGCCTGCATTCAGTGCTTTGTTGGTGAGAAGTTATACAGTCCTGGATCCCTTGCTTCATTTCAGGATATCTTTATTCAAGGGTCATCCCAGTTCAAGACTCCAGGAGGAATTGGCTGAGGCCTTTGTTATAATTGTATAGAAATTTAATTTCTCCTCCTTTCCTCATTTCTTCACAGATGCTCTTTCCTCCCCATCAATAACCCTCCTTCAATTGCAGTGTCTATTCACTATTAAACCTAAGACATGACTCTTGTTATGGTTTGAATGTTTGTGTCTCCCTCCAGAATTTATGTTAAAATTTAGATCTCAACTTTAAGAGTATTAAGAGATGGAGGCATTAGGAAGTGATTAGGCCATGAGGACTGTATCCTCATGGATGGGATTAGTGCTTTATGAAAGACGTAGATGAAATTAGCTAGGCCTTCCATTCCTTCAGCCCTGTGAGGACACAGTATCCACTGCCTCCAGAGGATGCAGGAAGAAGGTACTATTTTGGAAGCAGAGAGCAGTTCTCACTAGACACCAAATCTGCCAGCTCCTTAATCTTGCACTTCCCAGCCACCAGAACTGTGATATATATATACACACATATATTTATAAACTTCCCAGTGTCAGGTGTTTTGTTATAGCAGTATGAATCTAATAAGACAAATCTCAACATGGTGGATGAAGAAACTGAGGATCAGAATGAATGCAAGAAATAAGGTTCAAACCCACAGCTTTTCATTATTGCTTAGTGATGCCTGGCTAGGAGGAGGTAGATCCAAAAATCTAAGAGTTCTTATTTCCCAGTGAAGGGTTATTTTAACTCTGGGAGAAGGTAGCGGTATATCCAGACCTGATCACATAAATTCCTTAAGAATCTTTTAAAAAGGAAAGGTTTTTAAAGAGTTATCCACAACACCTCTCTAAAGTAATGATTAAATCTTTATTCAATTTGTTTATGAAGGTAGCAAATTATAATTCATTCACATACTCTTTGTTAATTTTAAATTTAAAAAATCTAACACAAAGTAGAAACTATGGAACTCATAAAGCTTTTTCACTACTTAGGAACACAAGGAAAAACATTCTATGAATAATGAAATTCTATCTCAAATCTCTGTCTTAGTTGACCTATTTTTCTTATGACATTAAAGGCAAATGTTATAGAACTTCGGTTAAAATATTTTTAATATTTGTTTTCTGTCTTCATGTTTACCTAGAAAGAGCATCGATTACTCTGTTGATGTAAGTATGTTATTAGTAGAGCAGCTGAAAATATCCTTTTCCTGCAAAGTTTACACTCAAGAGTCTAGAAACAAAAATACATTTAACATCTGATTTTGCATTTAAGTTATGGCCCTACACAAAGTAGTACTGAAAGTTCTACATAGTATACTTCCTGACAAGAGGTCATTTTCTTTATTCAACTAGAAAATTAGAGCAGTAAAGATTTTCCATAGCAATAAGACAACAATATATGATTTATTTGAATAATAAATGTGGAAACTAATACTATCCCCCCATATTAAGCAACAGTGTCATTTTTTCTACATGTCCTTGAAGCAACACTGTAACGCTGTACAAAACTTTGGATTCCTATCACTTACAAGGTCTATGTCCCTTTGTAAAACAAGTCTTCCTCTTCTACATCATATTATCTTGTTTATTCTCCTTCTAATGTTTTCAGGATCAGACCCTTGAAGCTCAACTTTTTTTGAATTACAAAAATAGGAGAAATTGTTACAACAATTCAATTATATAATTTCACTAAAAGCTGTTTAATTTGTTGACTTTTTACATAAAATACAAAATTGTGATATATGGCAGGAAATAAAATAGCAGTAGATAAGGAAAAGTCAAAATATACTATACATTCTGAAAAACAGACACAAAAATTTGCAAGATGAATTTTTAAAGCCATCTAATCACCAATCTCAAGAATATATGAGGCCGGGCACGGTGGCTCACGCCTGTAATCCCAGCACTTTGGGAGGCCGAGGCGGGCGGATCACGAGGTCAGGAGATCGAGACCATCCCGGCTGAAACGGTGAAACCCCGTCTCTACTAAAAAATACAAAAAATTAGCCGGGCGTAGTGGCGGGCGCCTGTAGTCCCAGCTACTTGGGAGGCTGAGGCAGGAGAATGGCGTGAACCCGGGAGGCGGAGCTTGCAGTGAGCCGAGATCCCGCCACTGCACTCCAGCCTGGGCGACAGAGCGAGACTCCGTCTCAAAAAAAAAAAAAAAAAAAAAAAAAAAAAAAAAGAATATATGAAAAATCAGAGATTGAACATATTCCATACAGATGAACTTGTCATTTCAATCAATTCATTGCCTAAGGTAATTATTATAACCCAAATCATCAAGAACCATGATGATAATAAAGTATATTAGATTTAGGCACAAGACTCATTCATTATTTAAATTTGGGCTAATGAGACACTTAATATACACTTTTTTTTGTTGTTTTTACTAGTACTTGGTTACACCAACAGCTGCATAGAAGAAATATGCTTATTTACTTTTATGGCATAGTACTTCAGACAGAATAAATTCAGTGGTAAAACTGTTCCAGCTCATAAATACAGCTGCTAATAAGTAGTCATTGGACATTGTAAGTCATATTGTGGATGAAGCCATCATATTCCACGTAACCTTTGCTTGAAACTTTGCTTAGAAGCTTCTACTCTAGGAAGTCTGATGAATATCAGCACTTATAATGGAACTATATGTAAAGCCTACACAAATACAATGACTGAACTGCTTGTCCTTTTTAAAGAATCATTAAAATCACTGCAATTTTAACAGCCACAAAATGAGCCTCTTAGCATTTGGAACTTTTTCACGTGCTGGAACTCTGTGTTGTTAGAAATGTTCAGAAGGTAATATAGGGTTATATGAATATAATGAGCACAGTGATTTAAGCAAGAAAAGAACATTTGTTGCTACATATTAAAGTACTATCTTTGGTTTCCTATTAGCACCACTAAGAAGACACATTTTCTAATTAGGGTCTGGGCTGTGTTGCTTGCAGGAGGTGGCCCATAGGTTGCATAAATGGAATACAAATCTAAACAGTCTTTGAATTCTTATAGGCAAAGCTAAGAAATTACTAAGAGCAAAGACACAAGAATTTCCACCACCTTTCTTGATATTGAAGACCATTTTAGGTTCATGTGCATAGAACTGGTATGTGAAAGAACATAGTTGACCCAGCTTTACTCAAGTTAAAAATAACAGGGAGTTTCTGCAAGTCTCTCTTCTGTGTATTTTACATCTTTGGTATTCAAATATGATATATGTATTTATGAAAATTACAGATAGGTGAACATATGACTTCCTCCCTTATGTCACACCCTGCACCCAGAGATCTTGGAGACTTTCCTGGGGTTACACAGTAACCAGAGGATGAAGGCAGAGGGAATACTGCCCTGTGGTTTTTACTTGTTTTTATTAGACTACTTAAGGGAATTTTCCTCCCAGTGGGCACATTTTCCAGGCAAGAAAATTACCTACATTAATTTCAGAGAGAATAAGAGAAAGAAACAAAATTACAGAGCTAGGTAACCACTGTCCTGGGGGAAATGTTTGTATTTGTCAACCTCCCAGTTGTTCATCTGTACAGGCAAAACTGTGAGAGACTTCCTCCACTTTCAACTGTGGAAAAAGCTTATCTTTGGCAGCTTTTAAATTATCAATGCTCTATACATACTCGATGTTATTTTTTTGTCTTTCTCTTCAAAAATCTATCAGGTCTGTCATGCTTGATGGCACAAATTTAAGAGGAAGATAGGAGAAGGAAAAAGAAATAAAGAGATAATAGACCTGCAGTCAACTTTGTAGCATATTCTTTTCTCCCATTCCCCTTCTGCCAGGCTAGTAAGACCAGTGTCATAAGAGTTCTAGGAAAATAAATAACATCTAAGTCCTATCTCTGTACAAGGTGCTTAGTACCTGAAAGATTAGTTTTCAAACAGGCAGTGAATAAAACAGGTGTGATGTTTAAAAATTATCCTATTTAGTAGGTATATACACAAACACATACATATATACACATACTCTCTCTCTCTATATATATATGTTGATAGAGATATATAATATATATGTTGATAAAGATATATTTTATATCTATCATATCACATATGTCATACATTTATCTCTATCATATATATCATATTTATCTCTATCATATAATGTATATCATATATATAATTCATGTTGATATATATATATATTAGAGAAAGAGAGAGAGAGGATCACAAAGAATGGGAGGAGTAACATTTGCAAAATTGAAAAATAGGAGATTTTTACCATATCCTCCCATAAAAGCATCAATTTTAAGAGCTACCTACAGGCAAGAGTATCTCTGAGGGAGTCTAGAAGTCCAACAGAGAAGTTCCAGAACATAACTGGAGCAAAAATTCTGAGAAAAGGTGCATTGAGGATAGTAAGAACAGTTTTACTTTACCTGCATCACTCTTCCTCCAAGGTGGCAAAATTCAGTGCCAAAAAAGACCTACAATTTCTCTCATAGAGGAAAGTGAGAGCACAGTAAGTGAGCACCCAGCTCCCTCAGTCATGTGGGATGCTGCCAAAAATACTTACTTTTTTCTTACCTAATTTAGATTACTGAGGTGATTAACAAAGCTGAAAGGCTGGGAAAGGCAGGAAAGGGGAAAGAAACTCCAGATTCTACAAAGAGTTTAACAGACTCCATCAGAAATCCCACCCTTAAGCCAGTTTGGATCCTTTGCTTGCAGATTCCACCAACTGGCCAATGGGCACTGCAAACACTCCACACACCTAACCTCTAACTTCCTCTAGGCCACACACCTAACCTCTAACCAAAACTCCGGGCCATTTTTCCAAGTACACCCATGGAAGACAAGTGCAAACATCTCACATGAAAAATCAGATCAAGCCTGTGGAATTGGAAAAGGCACATAAACTTGAGCGACGCATTACCCTAGGAGAACAAAAAATAAAAGGAGGCTCTCAGGACCCAGCCTGGCTTGATGGGATCAAGAGAAAGCATGCAATCTTAAGAATTCACCACCAAGAAAACAAGAGATGTGGAGTTGGTGCATCCACAGAAAATATCTGAGAGAGCCTCAGAGTCCTTAGCAGGGCTGACCAGTTAAGGCATTTCTCTCCTGATGCCAGTTACAACATTTCTGTCCTGAAAACATGACTACCTCTTCAAATGCAAAGACAGCAAAGCAAAGCTTCAAGAAACAAACAAAAAAAATTAAGGAAACAAGATGCTACTAAAAGAATCCAATAACATTATAATCACTGACCCCAGAGAAATGGAAATCCATTAATTACCTTACAAAAAAATTCAAAATAACTGTTATAAGTAATCTCAGTGAGCTACAAAAAAACACAGACAACTCAATGATATTGGAAAAAAATGCATGAACAAAATGAGAAGTTTAATCAGCATATGAAAACCATTAAAAAGAACCAACAGAAATCCAGGACCTAAAGAGTACAATCACAGGACAGAAAAATGCAGTAGAGAGCTTCAGCAGCACACTCAATGATGCAGAAGAACTAGTAAACTTGAATACAGATTATTCAAAATTAATCAGGTGTTCTCACCAAAAAAAGAGATAAGTTTATGAGGTAATAAATATGCTATAATAATTGGCTTAATTGGCCATTTCCGTGTGTGTGTGTGTGTATGTGTGTGTATGTATAAAATATCATGCTGTAAACCATAAATATATACAATAATTATTTGTCAGTTTTTTAACATGAATTAACTACTTTTAAAAATTCCAGTGGCTTTTCTTACAGAAATTTAAAAAAAAAATCTTAGAATTAATATGGAACCACAGAAGATCCTAAATAAGGCAATCTTTAACAAGAATAACAAATCTGGCAGCATCACACTTTCTAATTTCAAATTATATTACAAAGTTATAGCAGCCAAAATAGCATGGCTTGGAAATTAAAATCAGACATATAGACAAATGGAACACAGTAGAAAGCTCGTAAATAAACCTATGCACATACAGTTAACTAATCTTCAACAAAGGTGCCAACAATGTACAGTGCGAAGAGGACAAGCCATTCAATATATGGTGTTGGGGAAAACAGCATATCCACATTTTAAAAAATAAGATTGCATCATATAATAACGACTAAAAAATTTAACATAATTCCTGAAACCACAAAACTTGCAGAAGAAAATATTGGGGGAAGTCTTTATGAAATTGTTCATGAAAAGCACAGGCAACAAAAGAAAAAGTAAACAAGTAGAACTGTATTAAATTTAAAACTTTCTGCACAAAATGTCTCACTTGCCTCATAAATATATACACCTACCATGTACTCACAAAAATTTTCTTAAAATAATAAAAAATAAAATAAAAGTTTCTTCACAGCAAAGGAAATGAAATGGAAAGGCAACTTATGGAATGAGAAAAATATTTGCAAACCATATATCTGATAATGGGTTAATATCCAAACTATACAAAAACTTATACAACTCAATTACAAATATACAAATATCCAGTTCAAAAATGGGCAAAGGATATGAACTGACATTTTTCCAAAGAAAACCTATGAATGGCCAATAGGTCTATTGGGGGGGGGGGGAGGGGGGCGGTGCTCAACATTAATAATCATCCAAAAAAATGCAAATCAAAACCACAATGAGATATCACCTCAGAACTCTTTATAGGATGACTATTATGAAAATGTCAAAAAGTTACAATTGTTGGCAAGAATATGGAGAAAAGGGAACCCTTGTACCCTGTTGCTGGAATTGTCAATTAGAGCAGCTATTGTGGAAAACATTATAGAGATTCCTCAAAATATTAAAAATAAAACTATTATTGGATCCAGCAATACTACTTCTGGGTATGTGTACAAGAAAAATTAAGTTACTAACTCAAAGATGTACCATCATGTTCATTGCAGTATTATTTATAAAAGCCAAGATATGGAAAAAAAACACAAGTATCTGCTGATGGATTAATGGGTTACAAAAAAATATAATCATACCTCATCTTATTATATGTCACAGATACTGTGTTTTTTCTTTATAGATTGAAGTTTGAGACAACCCTGCATCAAAGCAAGACTATCAGAGCCATTTTCCCAATAGCATATGCTCATTCCCTGTCTTTGTGTCCCATTTTGGCTATTTCTCAGTATTTCAAACATTTTTATTATTATTATTAATCAGTTATGATGACCTGTTATCAGTGATCTTTGTCGTTCTTATTGTAATTGTTTTGGGGTGCCACAAACAGTGCCATACATGATAGAATACTTAACAAATATTTTTTGTGTTCTGGCCGCTCTAGTGACTGGCCACTTGCCCACCTCTCTTCCTCTCCTCATGCCTCACTCTCCCTAAATACACAACAATATTGAGATTAGGCCAGATTTGTAACCCTACAATGGCCTCTAAGTGTTCAAGTGAAAGGACAAGTCACATGATTCTCATTTTAAGTCAAAAGCTAGAAATCATTAAGATTAGTGAGGAAGGTGTATCCAAAGCTTGGACAGGCAAAAAGCTAGGCCTCTTGAACCAAACAGTCAGCAGAGTTACAAGTGCAAAGGAAAAATTCTGGAAGAAAGTTGGAAGTGCATCCAGTGAACACTTAAATGGTATTAAAGAGTTATTGCAATTATGGAGAAAGTTTGAGTGGTCTGAATTGAAGACTAAATCAGCCACAATATTCCCTTAACCAAAGCTTAATCCAGAGCAAGACCTTAACACTCTTCAATTCTATCAAAACTGGGAGAGGTGAGGAAGCTGTACAAGAAATTTTGAAGCTCACAGAGGTTGGTTCATGAGGCTGAAGGAAAAAAACCATCTCTGTAACAAAAAAGTCAAGGTGAAGCAGTAAGTGCTCGTGTAAAAGCTACAGCAACTTATCCAGAAGACCTAGCTAACACCATTGATGAAGGTGGCTACAGTAAGCAACAGATTCTCAGTGCAGATGAGATGGCCTTTCTTTGGAAGAAGATGTCATCTAGGACTTTTTATAGCTAGGGAAAAGTCAATGTCTGGCTTCAAAGGACTGGCAGAATTTCATTTAGAGTATAATGTAGTGGTGCCTTTAGGTTGAAACCAATGCTCATTTACCATTCCAAAATTCTTAGCGCCCTTAAGAATGATGCTGAATCTACTCTTCCTGAGCTCTATAAATAGAAAAATAAAGCCTAAATGACAGCACATGTCTACATCATGGTTTATTTAATATTGTAAGCCCACTATTAAGATCTGCAACTCAGAAAAAATACATTTTTTTCAAAATATGACTGTTCATTAACAGTGAAATTAGTCAGCCAAGATCTCTGACAGAAAAGAATAAGATTGATGTTTTCATGCTTGCAAATACAACATCCATTCTGCAGCCCATGCATGGATTAAGGAGTAATTTTGACTTTTAGGTCTCATTATTTAAAAAACACTTTTTGTCAGGCTATAACTTCCATGGATAGTGATTTCTCCAATGGATCTTGAAAGGTAAATTGAAAACCTCTGGAAAGGATTTACCATTCTAGATGTCATTATAACTGTCTTGTGATTTGTGGGAGAAAGTCAAAATACCAACATGAACAGGAGTTTGGTACCCTCATGGATGACTTTTAAGGGTTCAAGACTTCAGTGGAAGAATTAACTGAAGATTTAGTGGGAATAGCAAAAGAGCTAGAATAATAAGTAGAGCCCGAAGATGGGATTGAATTGCTGCAAACTCATGGTAACATTATTGTACATTTTAGAATAACTGAAGAAGCACAACATTTGTGACACAAAGAAATAACGAATGCTTGAGGTGATGGATATCCCATTTACCCTGATGTGATTATTATACATTGTATGCCTGTATTAAAATATCTCATGTATCCTATAAACATATACATGTACTATGTACTCATAAAACTTATTTTGGGCTGGGCACGGTGGCTCACGTCTGTAATCCCAGCACTTTGGGAAGCCAGGGGGGGCAGATCATGAGGTCAGGAGTTCGAGACCAGCCTGGCCAACATGGTGAAACCCTGTCTCTACTAAAAATATAAAAATTAGCCAGATGTGGTGGTGGGCACCTGTAGTTCCAGCTACTCGTGAGGCTGAGGCAGGAGAATGGTGTGAACCCAGGAGGCAGAGCTTGCAGTGAGCCAAGATATCACCACTACACTCCAGCCTGGGCAAGATAGGGAGACTCCATCTCAAAAAAAAAAAAAAAAAACTTAAAAGTTTTAAAAATAAAAAAAACTTGAATGGATGAGGGGTTGCTTCTTAGGTATGAGCAAAGAAAGAGGTTTCAAGGTTTCATAGAATCCACACCTGGTGAAGATGCTATGAACACTGTTGAAATGACAACAACAACAAAAAATGTTATATAAACTTAATTGATAAAGCAGCAACATTAGAGGATTTACTCTAATTTTCAAATAAATTCTAATGAGGGTAAAATGCTTTCAAAGAGCATTGCATCTCACAGAGAAATCTTTCACAAGAGGAAAAGTCAATTGATGCTGCAAACTTCATTGTTGTTTTATTTTAAGTGATTGTCACGGCCACTCCAGCCTTCAGCAACCACCACACTGATCAGCCAGCAGCCACCAACATCAGGGGAAAATCCTCCACTAGCCAAAATATCCCAACCTCCTGGAGGCTCAGATAATTGTTAGCAATTTTTTAGCAATAAAGTATGTTTAATTAAGGTACATACATTGATTTTCACCACAATGCTGTTGTATACTTATTAGAATATAGTATAATGTAAACATAACTTATATATGTCCTGGAAAACAAAAAAAAGTTGTTGTTTTTACTTGCTTTATTTAACTTGCAAATGACTTGCTTTATTGTGATACTTGCTTTATTGTGGTGGCCTACCATAGAACCTACAATATCTCCAAGTTATGCCTGTGGTGTGTGTGTGTGTGTGTGTGTGTGTGTGTGTGTGTGTGTACTTGAATACTATTTGGCCTTTAAAAAGAACTTACTGTCATTTGTGGCAATACTGATGAACCTGGAGGACATTATGCTATATGAAATAAGCCAGACATAGAAAAACAAATACTGCATAATCTCACTTATATGTGCAATCTAAGAAAGTAGAATGCATAGAAACAGAGAGTAGAAAGGTGGTTACAGGGAGTGAGAAAAACCAGGAAATGTTGGTCAGAAGGTACAAAGATTCAGTTATGCAGGAAGAATCCATTCTGTATATCCAATATACAGCATGGTGACTATAGTGAGTATTATTGTATTGTGCACTTGAGATTTGCCAAGAGATTAAATTGTAAGTGTTTTCAGTGCCAAAAAAGAAATAGTAACTATGTGAGGTGATGGATGTGTTAATTAGCTTGATGGTGGTAATCATTTTACAATTTATGTGTATATAAATACATCATAATTAAATATATATAATTAAATACATTATAATTAAATATATATAATTTTTAATTGTGAATTATACCTCAATAACAGTAAGAAAAAAGTCAAATATATTATAAAAGAAAAAAATAGTAAGAATTTGAGAACAGTTGGGGTTTAAGATAAGCTATGAATTCTGTAGAGCTTTCACAGGGCCTATGACATGGTAAAGTTGGAAGTTTGGGATTATGGGAAAACGTGAGTAAAGGAGCAGAGGAGAGAAAATGAAGAATGGCTTTGAGAAAATAATCATGATGGAAAAGACCATAAGAGCAAATGGTGCGATAAAATATTGAGATAAAAGGGAACTTATAACCGGGCCTGAATGACAAAAGGAGAAGCTTAATAATGATATACTAATTGAGAATTTATTGAAGGATGCTTATCAGAAGAACAGAACAACACATTTAAGAAGTAGCATGTGCCTATATACCATGGAATACTATGCAGCCATAAAAAATGATGAGTTCATGTCCTTTGTAGGGACGTGGATGAAGCTGGAAACCATCATTCTCAGCAAACTATCGCAAGGACAAAAACCCAAACACCGCATGTTCTCACTCACAGGTGGGAATTGAACAATGAGAACACATGGACACAGGAAGGGGAACATCACACACCAGGGACTGTTGTGGGGTGGGGGGCGGGGAGGGATAGCATTAGGAGATATACCTAATGCTAAATGATGAGTTAATGGGTACAGCACACCAACATGGCACATGTATACATATGTAACAAACCTGCACATTGTGCACATGTACCCTAAAACTTAAAGTATATATAAAAAAAAAAAAGCAGCATGTGCCTATTTCCCTGTCTTACACATATTTGGATTCTGACCACTTAAATTTCCAAAGAATATTAGAATAAGATTTTTATTAAGTATTTGCTCCTCTTTTTCATTTGTCATTAGTGATCCCCAGGAAATATGGCTGAAGATAGAGAAAAGGCATGGTCAAGAGATTGCCTTAGAATAACGCAATGTGCTCATTTTAGTTTCTTCAGAAGAGATGGTGAATAGCAAGTGAAACTGTTTGAAACATTTGAAAAATAAAGAAGAAATCTATACATTAGACTAAGAATAGAAGAACAATAAACTGAGAATGAATTTAAATTTTCTCCTTAAAACTACAAAGCCACAGCTCTAGAAAGGAGCTCTAGTGCATTCTATTTCAAACTTTGTACCTCTCCACAAACTCAGAGATGTCTAAGGAGACAAATGAGGACCTCAGTGAGGCATATGATTCTCTTGACCCCAAGAGACACATATTCAAAAGCACAGGACAAAAGGAAAATTTTTAGAAGATGCAAACTTGACTTTAATACTCCATGGACCAATTACCTATACCTGCCTACAATATTAGCCAATATCTGAGATAAATTTTCTGACAAAGTTGCAAATATCAGCAGTCTTTTGAGTTTGTTAAGAAGGAAAGGCTTATAATTAGCATTAAGAATCTTTTGAAACACTTTCCTGTGATGCTTACCTTGCCCTGGAGGACACCATTATAGTGGCATTGTCTCCAAAATACGATTTAAACCCGCCTAAGATTTTCAAAAGGCCTGAGGAATTTCTAATTATTTACAACAGGCAAAAAGCAAGCATGCACAGATGTCTATGAAAACACATGAACACAAACCTGGGCAATAAACTAGGAATGAAATCTGTAATTTTACAAATTGGAAAAGATTAATAATTAACCCATGTTTTGGAAATGGACAGAAATACTTATAAAAGTGTCAAAATGGTGCAAAATAATTCTATCCATGAGAAACCAGCAGAAATAATAAAAATATATTTTAACTTTAAGTTGAATTTTATGACTCAAAGTTGGAAACTAATTACTATGGAGTACTTGATCACTAGTCTTAGCAAATATTTACTGAGTTTTTTTAGCTTCTTGTAGTCATGAAAATAACTTCTAATTGGAGAATATAATGAAAGAAGTATAAGTTAAAATTTACATTTTTATTAGCATGTAATTGACTATTCAAGAAAGGGGCAAATTGAACCATTTTGAAACACATATACGTTTATTTTATAGCATGTTGCCTGTGTAGTATAAGCTAGAAAACAGGCAAGGACAAACAAATATCCTTTTCCAATTAAAGTTGTAAGGCATAAACTGAAGACTTGTGCATCTGCTAAATAAGACCTACTACACACTAAAGAAAAAAAATTTAAAACTAAGTGAATTTTTTTTTAAAGTTGCTTTAAAAGCATCGACAAAATAACGACAAAAATTACTAGACGATAACCTAGGAAAAATCAAGAATCTGGAGATGTAAACACAAAACTCAGAACCATATATATCCTAAGGGTATTTCTAACCCTAAAGAAACAGCTACAACACTGCTGGCGGCCTCACAGAAATAGGGAAACATCCTGGGCTTGGGCAGGGTGGAAAAGCTGGCAACATCCCTTGTACCAAACCTTCCCTTATATACTCGGCGTTTTGATACTGCAGCCAGGAATCTGCAAACAACATTTTTCCTCAACTGGCCAGATCCTTATTTGACTCCACCAATAGAGAAGGCTAAAGAGAGCCTGAAAAGCAGGAGGGGAGAGGAAACTTACTCCCGTTTATTTGCTGCTCCATTTACTGTAATCCCAGCAGTGGCTCTTTACCACAAGCTGTGGATTGCAGTCATCAGATTTTTTCCAGCAGTCCCAGAATGAGAACCAATCTCATTGTGCGCTTCAGAGGTACCAGCACTTTCCAGGTAGCATCGTCTCTTCCAAAGTCTGTGCCCCAGTTCTGTGGGGCCTCTCCTCTGAGAACTCTGTCTCCATCCTTTGTTCCCAGCCATTTCAATGTTATTAACTCTATCTTAACTCTATGTTCTTTTTCTGCTTTTTACTTTTCCAATATCTGTTTGATCGATTCCCTCATATTAAATTATCTCTGTAAAATATCTAGCGTAATCTCATTTTTTCCTAAAAGAATTTTTGACTGATAGAACTGCATACTTTAAGTTGGGACCTCGAGGAGTTACATTCCCATGGAAAGGATGAACTACACAAAAATAAGCCCTTATGTGACCCAAGTATTCATCTACTCAGTGGCCCAAGAAACATCAAGCCTTGAACTTGGGTTAAGGTGGTCTTGAAGTGGCAATACACTTATATTCACCCATACAGCAACAAATGAAAATTATCTCTGTAGAATGAGAAAACAATCCTAGAGTTCAAATTTTTCTCAATATAATTTTCAAATACTAAGCAGGTCACACAGTCAGGGATATATCAGGCACACAAGGAAACATGACACGATGAGGAAGAACCAGAATAAATGACAGAAGAAAGAACGTACGAAGTATGAATCATTAATTATCAGAATTATTAGTCATAGAATATAAAACATCTGTACTTTATTTAAAAATACAAGCTTGAAAATGTATTCAAGGAATAAGAAACACCAAAGAAAAGAGAATATTTGAAAAGTCTTAACAAAAACTCTAGAAATGTAAAATACAACAGTCAATATAAAACTTCAATATAAGACTCAAGAGAAAATTGGTAAGCTGGGAGATAGAAAAGAAAAATGTTATCTGGAATGTAGCACAGAGAAACAAAAGAATGAAAAAACACAGAATTTGGGTAAGAAACATAAAGGATACAATCAATAGTCTAACCTTAGTTTCACAAGTGTGCCAGAAAGAGACTGAAGAAAGGAAATGGGAGAAACAATCCATGAAGAAATAATAATAGCAAATTTTCCAGAATTGATAAGAATGATAAATCTACAGACTCAAGAATGCAATAAATCTAAGAGTATAAGCAAAAATAAATCCATACTTAGATCTGTTCTATTGAACACTGCAGAAAAATATAAATTTATTAGAACACCTTAAAAGCAGCTGAAGAAAAAAAATGGTTATCTTCAGAGAAATGATAATTAGAATGAGAGGTAGTTTACCAACAGCACCGATAAAATCAATAAAACAGTGGGATATTTTTAATGTGCTAGAAAAGTAACTGTCAACTTAGTAATCTATACTCAGCAAAAAAAAATTATTCAAAAAGAAAGGTGAAATAAAGGAAGAAAAATAAAGCATTATAGAGTTTACCACCAGCAGACCCTCATTAATGGAAATTTTAAAGGATGAACTTCAGGCAGAATACAATATCTCAGAGGTGTAAGAAAGTATGACAAAAATAATGTAGTAAATGGGTAAGCATCAAATCAGTATCGCTGGCCTGACAGTATTTTGTGTATATTTCTCTCCACTGTGCTAAAATCAAATCTCCATTTTATTTTCTAGGAAATTCAAACAGTGAAAAAGAAGTGCTGAGTACATTCTTTTTTCCTCTTGGCTGAGAAATCATTATTATTTCAGTTACCCACATAACTTAATCAATTTCACCTATTAAATGGCTTCACCTTTCATTCTCATTGCATATATGGTTTTTATCAATGAAGCATTATTATTTCAATTACCCACATAACTTAATCAATTTCACCTATTAAATGGCTTCTACCTTCCATTCTCATCACATATACGGTTTTTATCCATGCTTTAAAATAGAATATTTTAACAAAAAGAAAGGCAGCGGTTGTGTCTGTATCCCACTTGAAATGATAACACAGAAAATATGTACAACATGGTTCAAAGAAATATGGATTTCACTTAAAATCCCAACTAGAAATGCCCAGAGACTCAGATTTAGCTTTGGTTGGGCCAAATATGCCAATTAGAAAAAGTCCTAGTTGCTAATGTTTACTTTAACCTTATTTCTGGCATCCCTGAACTTGTGCTTAGTCAATACTTTTATGATTCCATAAATTACCAAAATATATAATCTGTTTAGCAATGACAGTAATATGAACAAAGCAATCCTTTGGATATAATACAAATATTTAGAATGAATGAGTGTGCTAGATAACTTTAGAAAAACATTCTTTCTGTGGAATATCACTAAATATTTAAATGATAACAAATGACAGAATAATAGAAAGCAAATATTTTAGTAATTTTAGAAATATTATTTGGTATCAACATTCATGACATTAAGCAAAATAATCTTTAACAACTAATGTCATTAAGCCATGAGTCATGAAGTTCTATTTGGGAATTCTTCAAATTTTGGGAGGACAAATTAAAAGCAAAACGTCAACTCTGCCTCCTCACAATTTTACAAAAAGGAAAATCTCCAAAATCATGTACAACAACATCCTTGACAAATTATCTTCCAACTAGTTGTAATAGAATTTAAAGAATATGAAGAAAAGACAAAAGTGTTAGTGAGTAAAAAAAGAATCCAAGATATAGCTTGCTCATCCATTGACCTCATTTGAAAGACAATATGTTTTATTCTTACAAGTATTACCCAAGGAGTATATTATCAACTGATAGTCTGAGAATTTATTGTCTTTACACAATAACCGTTTAAAACTTGACCACCACAATTTGATAATAAAACGGTAACAATATTTAAATTTTTGATATAATTTTTCCTTTAATCATTTATACTATAGTGGAGATGTTTGCTCATTTTTCAGCATTAGCCAATATTTTCTTTAACAAGCAATCATTTAGCAATTGACAGAATGCACATTCAGTGCTGCTCTACCTCTGTTCCAAACTATTTGTTTGACTTTAAGTCACTTACACTCACTGTTCCTTATTGTCTGCATCAAAATTGGGGATTATTTAAATTTTTAAATAAGGTTATACATGTAAAATCATTTAGCACAATGTTTAGCAAAGACTTCATTAATCTCAATTTTCTTGTTTATGTTGATGGTTTTGATTTGTTTCTTACTATATATTTCAGTGTAAGCTGACTATAAATCTATTTCAGAAGAGATCATTTGCTGGGACTAATCCTTGTTGAAGAAAATGCAATAACAGAAGCTAGTGACTTGGCTAACATAGGCTGTACTCTTACATATGTACCAAATCTATAATCAGATTCAAATATCTTTTTGAAACTTCTAAAAACTTCAGTGCTTTGCTCTGAGAGCCTTTATATAGGAAAGACACATTATATTTCCAACTTATTTGATCTAATTAAACAGTATTTTCCATTGTGAAGTGTGTGTTCTGACTCTAGATGTATAGGACTGAAATTCAAAACTGACTGAAGTATTCCATTTGTAACAGTAAACTAAAACAACTCCAAATTTAAAAATTATCTGTTAAAAACAACAGCATTTTTAAAGGGGGATAAAGATGATCAAGCATTGAATACAGGACAATTTTTTTAGAAAAGAAGATAAAACCTGGATTAGACTAAGTTGTATAAAATGATAGTTACTAGCAGTATGTAGCTATTTTAATTTAAATTAAATTAAAATTCATTTCCTCTCACACACTAGGCACATTTCAAATGTTCACAATCCACATGTGGCTAATGGCTACTATATTGCTCAACATAAATACAGAACATTTTCATTGTAGCAGAACATTCTGTTGAATAATGCTGATCTAGATGATGGTAAAATAATTTATGGGAGATTTCTCCCCAAAAGAAATAAAATATTATGAATTTAAAGAGGAAATCAACTGTTTGAAGGGTAAACACTACAGCTAAATGTTCTGTTGATCTGATGATGTTTATACAGGTGTGTTAGGACGCAAGGAGCAGAAAGAATGATAAAAACAGGAATTAGGACTTTAATATTCTAATCACTTCTCTCTGCTATTAATAAGGTCTAACCTTGGACTTGAGTATGTATGGCAACATTCAGCATTGTCCACTACCACTGTCACTATGACTGCTTTCTTCCAGCTAAAGAGAAATTGTCTATTGTAAGTCACTGGTGTTACAACTGTGCAGAGATGCCTATCCAAGCAAGAAGGATGGACTGATGACCACCAGTAGTGTGCCACATATGAGGAACACTCTTTTTTCAGCAGCAATGCTGGTAAACATTTAATAGCAGGCTCTGCATGACCAAAATTCCCTGATTTACAGAATTGTTTTTTATTTCTCTGGTATAAATTCACCTAACATGGCAGATGTCAAGCTACCAAAGTGAGGTAACTAATGCCGAGCTGTGAAGGTATGTGTGCAGCAGATTTGAGGGCAATGTGAGCAAGCTGCAGCTCACTGCTGACTTCTGCTACTCAGCCATTTCATTTCTCTCCACAAGTTGAGGCTTTTGAACTCTGAACAGCAAAAAAAATGGGATTTTTATACCAATCCTCCTGGACTAATTTAAGGCCTTCAATGAATTAAAACAAAAGAATGAAAAGCTATTAAAATCAAAATTAGAAACTCTCCAGACATCTCTCCAGCTTTAGTATAGAACACCAAACCATTAAGGATAACTCTACCTTCTTAAAGACAAGGTAGATATTCATAGTCATCTTCATCATTGTGGATGCATGAGGCTGAGGTGCACGTATGCGAATAAGCTACATAGGATACCAGGAACCATGTTGCTACTTAGCACCTCAGTATCAACTTTCTAAGAAAATAGAAAAGTCACTAAAGATTCTTTACTAAGCCTAATCCCACCACATGTACCTCTTCTGAGAACTTCAGCCTGGAATAGGGTCATAACTCCTCATCCTTGATCCTAATTAGATGCATCTTAATTTGCTTTCTACTTAACAGCATACGTATAGTTTTCCGGTACTCATGCATAATGTTTTTTTTTTAAGTCTGTTCCTCAATGTTTAGATAATGTTTAACAATCTTAGAGAAGGAAATCTTTAACCTGCATCGAACTGCTACAAGAAAATAAATAACAGAAACAACGACATAATCTATGTCTAGCTTATGCACATCTACGCAGTCCTCCTGGGTCTTTTAAGAGAGACCCAGAACTTTTTTCTCTGAAAAAGTATGTAGAAGCTGGCAACCATTTATGATTTAAATAATATTGGAGTAGAGGGTGAATAAAGATCTGACTCTGTAGATATGCAAAAGTTACAATTGGAACAATAATACACCCAATGAAAAGGAAAAATTACCCGTAATTAACAAATGACTGTTAAGTATATAACGAGCTCAATAAGCAACACATTTAGATAAGCAAAACAAGTTTTACCCAGAAATGTAAGTGCGAGAAAAATCTAAAAATTACAAAATATAATACTTATTAATCTTGACTTCCATCTTTTATTATATTTGCATTCTACTTATTCTGAACTGTTAACCAAGCTTCAGTGGTGCCTACAGTTCCTAGATATGTCCACAGAACCCTGCATCTTCCAATGTGCCTGTTTTAGATAGATTAATTCTGCTCCTATCTAACCTTCAGTAGTCTCATTCATCATTAATTACGTGGTCAGACATCCTTATGGTGACCATTGTAGCCCTGCATAGAGTAAATATGAAGTAAGCCTGTATCAACTGGGTTATTTCTTACTTAGGTTACAAATAATAATAAAGCCACATATACCCAGTAATGTATCTCAGAAGCCCCCTGAGGCCTGAGACTGTGGTTGATCCACAGATTCATTTCCAATGACTAAAGACTTGATAGACTGTCAATAACTATTGTTGAATGAGTGAACACTGAATCCTTCAGAAAATCTCTACTGCTTGTCACTTTGGGGGGAATACAATATTATTTGAAATAAGATTTTATTGAAATTAATATATTTACTAGAATGGGATAACCCTAATATTTTAATTCATCATGAAATTTCCAAAATTTGTCTGAGCATAGAAGTCACTTTATATACTCAGAGTATTCAGAAATTTACTCTAGGAAGCTGTGTTTATCAGGTGCCTCCAGTGCTTACTGCGACCTAGTGAGTTTAGCAGATATTTCTTTATCACACTTGCTCACTGTCACCAAGCCAAATGTATAAGACTTGAAAGAGGGAGGAAAAGCTCATCTGGAAGTGCTGCTCAGGCACAGTAGATATGGGTGAATTTTGACAATAGAGCAGAGTTCAACATCCAAAAGAGACCTGTGTGTCTACAAGGAGCAATGAGGCAGTTAGAGGTCAACAAGTACCCTGGATCAACTTGCCTCCTACATAGATTGTTAACGCTAAAATTTTATGCACTGTCTTCCAATCCCACAAAATTAATTCTCAACATTTTCTACCCTAATTCACTTCTTTATGTTTATATTATTTGTGGTGGCTAATATGTTGCTTTTTGTAGCCTAAATGCTTATAAATGGTCAACATGTAAGCAATGATCAAAATTTGCTCATGAATTTATGAATATCAGAACACTTGCCATGTCAGACCCAAAGCTTGAATCTAGAACAGTAACCACAATCTTTTCTGCTACAGAAGCTTTATCAGTTTCTGCTTACTACAGCTCAGATCATACCTTAGTTTTATCCAGCATCCTAACTACAGTCATATCCAACCAGAGTATCACATCTGCCCTCTTCTTTGCCATATCTATCAATATTTATTTCACTTAAGATCCATTGCTTTCCTGTAACAATTTAAAACAAGGTATCTTTCTAACAATTTTGCTTTGCTCAAGATTGTCTCTGAAAATGAAAATACTGAGAAAAATTGTTTTTGATAACTCTATAAAGAGTTGGGCAACTGTCTTTCCGTATCAGGCCTTAGGTATAGATGCCTTTAAAGGATTCTGAGATAGCAAGAGAACACCAGGTTTTGCTGTAATTACTAAAGGCACTGTTTGACAAAACTTTATTAAAGTTCAGCACTGTTTCAGATTCCTTTAGTCTCTAGACTGGTCATTCAGCATCTGAAGATAAACTTATCTGGGAATGTCAAAATAATACAGCAATAATTGCATCTAACTGATGCAGAATATAGGCATTCCAGGAAAAGCAGTTTAAGAATGAAAAGTCTACTAGAGGAGGGAGGCAATTTGGCCAAGGTTTAATTTTGCCTCACTGATTTCTCCGCAAGTGATTTTCTGCCTTACTGTTTTCAATGCTAGTAGGGTAACATTCCTGTCCTTTGCCAGAATCTCATCAAATGAAATGAGAAGACTTTTACCTGTTTGTTTATTGATTGGTTATATCAATTTCTTTCACTAATAGGCTATCTCAAACTACAGCTGGCTGCCTTTGATAATATAATCAGAAGTATGTTCCTGCCTGAAAATTAGAGAATGAATCAGATGACTTGCTGTGGTCCCCTGTCTGGCATGGGAGCTTCGTCAAATGTCACGCTGCTTAATATTTGCTTTTCAGAACAAGAAAGTAAAACGGTGCTTATTGAAAGAAATCATTTAACAGAAGTATAAAAGATATGTTAATCTAGGATAAGCTGAAATTACTATTCAACAGTTTGGTATTACCATAAGGATAAATGAAAACTATGGGAAAATTGTTTCAAGTGTTCTATTTTACCTTATAATAGATAACTAAAACAAGCTAATATTTAGTCATAAGCCAACATAAATATTAAAACAAGCTTGAAAGACATAATCTTTATCTTTGAATTACAGCAGCAAAGTTCACTGCTTCTTAAAAAATATTTACTTAAGAAGGGAGAAGAAAAAAAATCTATTTTAAATATCTGAAAGGAATCACTGGAAAATTTGAGGGCAGAGCTGGCTCAATGTGAAATTCCTGAAGAACTCTTTAAGGTCATTAACTGTGGTTTATTGGGTAAGCCTTCATAGAGAGAAATAATTTCAGCACATTAATATCAGGTTTCATTATCCCCAAGCTAAGACTGAAGATGAAGAGCTAAGCAAACAACTCAGATGATACCTTTATGGTCTTTCTGAGTGATGGAAAAATTCCCACAGAGTCAGTTAAAGTCTATTCAAATTGTTGCTTGAGGAACCAAGGAAAACATTTTGACTTCCCACCACTATTCCCTAGTTGTAGAGGCATTAAATTGAAAATCTGGTCTCAGGGGTAGAAAAAGTACTTAAATATATATATGTATATACACACGTACACATACACACACACCCACAAATACGTTATGTGTTATTTAGGAGCCCAAAAATGTATTCAGTGATCTTTGTAGCAGGTGTTATCCTTTAGCAAATCGACTGGGGTCCCACCAAAAGTTTAGATGTAAGGAGGAAGATGGGAAAGGTTTAATTTTTTACATTCCTCAAAGGGATCAGATTTAGATGAGTATCTCCTTCAAATCTATCTCCTCTTTTGTTCTTGTTTTCCTGTGATGAAAAAGAGAACTTAACAGGGTAATCAGAGGCACACACAAATCACTTATCAAGGGACTGTTGAAATTTATTGCAAGGCAGTACTGATAAATCTGGACAAAAGAATAATACTGTACTGATCTCCCACCTGAAACTGTATTCCAACATACCCCAAGCATGAAAGGCATTAAGGTGTAAGGTCTTATCCTTATACTTAATTTTGAAATATCAAAGTTTATTTTTTAAATAAGAATAAAATTATACCTTTTTAAAATTTTTTAATGGTGAAAGAGATATACATAGCTTTAAAAATAACATAATCTAAAAGGCTTTAGAATCATTAAGATCTTAATCCTACAGACTCCAACAGAATTTAGGGTATTTGATCTTTATGTTCTTTCTAAGTAGCATCTAATTTAGTAATGTGCTTAGAGTAGGAAGAAGTAGGCAGGAGAATCTGAAGGTAATATATGAAGCATATACTCACGCCTGAAATCCTTGCATTCTGTTTTGTCAAACTCTAAGGTTGAAGAGAAATGCCAGACCCAAGGTGCGTTCTGGTAAACCTCCAGACTGCCCTAAGTTCAGAAATACACCACAATGGCAATAGGAGAGGAGGAGAATCATGTTTCTAGTGAGTGTGATGAGCCCTCACTTTCTTAGGCATTATTGTCATGAGATGGTCTCTCTACACTGATCTTGAAAGCCTAGAATTGGCAGCTGTGTGTGTATAATCATAATCTTCAGAAATTATTTAGAGAATTAAAATATTTAATTCGTAATGCATAGATTAGATCCACCACTAACTTTCAGTATATCAGGCAGATGCAGAATCTCAGCAAACCGTGATTAATGTCTGTCACACCAAAAAGAATTTCACGAGCGAATGCTTGAAAGCCACTCAAAACACTGCACATCTGTTTTCTGTTAAAATCACATGCTTGCTTTTTGATTCTGCAGAAGCCATGACAGCTTTAGCTCTGCTTCCCAAGCTCATGAAAGTGCTTCTCATTGGCATGGAAGCTGCTGGCAATATTTCTGAGAAATAAGGTTCCCAGTCTTCTAGTTTCTGTGTTAGAAGAGAAATCATGAAAGGAAATGTTGTTGCCAAAATGCAATCTGACACTATTATGGTTATCATTAATATTAATATTTTCCTTTCAAAATATTGTTCTGAATTCTACATTGACTCTGTTTATTGCTCAGTTCTTTCTTCTCTGTGATTATAGCTCTTTCATCATTGCTGTTATTATTTTCTCAAATGCCTGGTAGCTCTGATTAAGCACTAACGGCCTCCAGGAGCTCTGTGTACATTGGTGGGGCTTATCTCCAGGCAGATGGGGCTTATTTCCAGGTGGTCTGTCTATGTTGGCATTGAGGCAGTCAGGTGGTTTTTATGCTGGGAACTACTAAATGCCAGTATCTTCTTCTAAGTTCATTTTCTCTGTAGCTGGGTCTTCCAGACTTCTCATTGAGCTGGATAGCCTGAATGACAGTATTAAGAATGGTGGGATCAGTACTTCAGCATTGAATATCTAGATCAAGGTTGTCCAACCTGCAGCCCATGAGCTGCATGTGGCCCAAGAAAGCTTTGAATGTGGCCCAACACAAATTCATACACTTTCTTAAAACATGAGATTTTTTGCCACTATTTTTTTTAGCTCATCAGCTATTATTAATGTATTTTATGTGTGGCCCATGACAATTCTTCTTCTTCCATTGTGGCCCAGGGAAGTCAAAAGATTACACATCCCCGATCTAGATGTTCATATAATTCCATTTTCAGTACCATGCCTCATTTCTGCCTTTTCTGCTTGAGTTTGGAGACTGTCTGCAGAGCTGGCTTCGTGGGTGTACCACCTAGGCAGTTGCACAAAGATGGGGCCTTCTAAGGATAAGGCCCCATACTTTATTTCTGTACTGTAGCCATGTTGAAATTCTTAACGGATAGCCCGAAAGCTCGCAGTGGACCTAATCTATGTTCCATAGTCCTTCCACATTTTTAAGAATGAATTTATTTGAATTAAACACGTTCCTATTTGAAATGTCTAGTGAGTTTTCTATTTTCCTGACAGAACTCAAAATATGCAGCCTTTTGAACAAGAGGACTCACATCTTTATTTTGCACTGGGCCCCACAAATCATGTAGCTGTCCTTTGCTCCGTTTCAGGCTGACTCCTGACTTCTGCAGGAACTGGAAATAGGTAGTTGCCATACTGTTCTAGAGATGGGAAATAGGATGGAGGAATGAAGAGCAGGATCCTAACTGTTCCATACATAGGCTTTCAAACAAGCAAACAAGTGGACTCCTCCTCCCCAGTATCTAACACCTCAAATTCTGGAGACTTTCTAAGAATTCCTGGGGAGTCCCCCACTATAAACACCGAGTCTGACCTTTTTTTGGTCACTAAGTCATTCATTGACTCCACTGGTTCTTACATCCTATGGTTAGGGCTACTGATATCTCCTAGTTCATTCAAGATTATGAACTAGGATGATGTATTTTTGTTTCTTTTTTGTCTTCTTTATTGTTTGGGGGGGTAATATTAGAAAGTAGAAGGGAGCAGAAAATTATTTGTGCTACCACCTTCAAACCAGAAACCCACATAATATTTTTAGAATGTTATCTAGAAACAGAAAATTTAAAAGTTTCTGTAAGCTGATCCTTACATTGAAATACATGGTTTTAAAATATGCAGCCAAAAGGTGAAGCCAACTTTTTTTCTTTGCATTTTAACTATGTCACTGGTTTGATATCTTCTAAATGTTACTTTCTGTTTTTTTATAAATTTTAATTTTATATTCCAGGATACATGTGCAGGATGTGTAGGTTTGTTACACAGGTAAACATGCACCATGATGGTTTGCTGCACCTATCAACCCATCACCTAGGTATTAAGCCCCGCATGCACTAGCTATTTATCCTGATGCTTTTCCTCCCCATGATACTCCCCAAAAGGCCCCAGTGGGTGTTGCTGCCCTCCCTCTGTCCAGGTATTCTCATTGTTCAGATCCTACCTGTAAGTGAGAACATGTGGTATTTGGTTTTCTATTCCTGCATTAGTTTGCTAAGAATAATGTCCTCCAGCTCCATCTTTGTCCCTGCAAAGGACATGATCTCGTTTCTTTTCAGGCTGCATAGTATTCCATGGTGTATATGTACCACATTTTTTATGCAGTCTATCACTAATGGGTATATACCCAGAGGAATATAAATTATACTATTATAAACGTACATGCACAAGTATGTTCATTGCAGCAGTATTCACAACAGTACAAATGTTATTTTCTAGACATTCTTTTTTTTTTTTTTTTTTTTTTTTGAGATGGAGTCTTGCTCTGTTGCCCAGGCTGGAGTGCACTGGCGCGATCTTGGCTCACTGCAAGCTCTGCCTCCTGGGTTCATGCCATTCTCCTGCCTCAGCCTCCCCAGTAGCTGGAACTACAGGTGCCCGCTACCACGCCTGGCTAATTTTTTTTTAAATATGTTTTAGTAGAGACGGCGTTTCACCATGTTAGCCAGGATGGTCTCGATCTCCTGACCTCGTGATCTGCCTGCCTCGGCCTCCCAAAGTGCTAGAATTACAGGCATGAACCACTGCACTCGGCCAATATTCTTATTTATTAAAGTCAAATAGATGACACCTTGTTGCAGAAAAGAAATATTTCTCTCACTAATCCAAGTGCCATTTGCTAGACTTTGTTCTTTCCAAACTAAAGACACTAGCCATTAGTGGCATGTAGTTTTTATTTTGTCACATACAGCTCATTCATTAAGAATGGGATTTAAAGTATTTATGATACACAAAACAAATAATTTAATAAAATAAAAATATAAAATTATGATCATGAAAACAATGTGGAAAACTTGGTAACTGTGAAAACTTAACGATTTCAACGACTGACCATTACATTAAGATCTTCATTTCCTGAGAGTCATAACAAAAGGAGAAACATTAAGCTATATAGTTATTATTAATCTTGAATCTCTATAACAGCAGATGATTTGTTCTTTAGTATATGCATCCATTTCTTCCCTAGTATGCTTAGTAGAAACCCTCAAATGCCCAAATGGAAAGGACTACCTAGTTCGCTCTATATAAAGTCATGGAGGGGTCTATTCCTCACAGGCTCTCTGCTTTTTCACACTGTCTGAGCCAGAAGCCAGCAGCTTGATGTAGGCAGTTGGTGTTCATCATGCCTTGGTCTAAAGATTGAGAGTTTTTTCTCTTCCTTTCCATATAAGCATGTATTTAACGAATTTGGACTTCTAATATACCAATAATATTTGGGTTAGTGACACACTTTCATCAATACTCCATGTATTTTCATCTATTTTATTATTTAATTAGTTATTTGTAACATGTAACAAGTATTCTTGAAACCATTATCCAAGTGAGGGCTAGAACTTTAACAATAATCTTCATCTTGCCACTGAAACCAGAGTGACCTCTCCAACTCACCCTTTATACTCCTCTGCAAACTGAATCATATATTTACTATTCCTTTGATTTTAACTTATTGAACTATTTCTCTTTAATATTATATTGCTAAGATTCAATCATGTTATCATATAGAACAGTAGTTTATTTTTACCAGTATATAATATTCCATTATGCAAATCTGTCTTCCCTTCTTTGTTCATTCATCTAATCAATATCTATTGAGCGTATATACTCTTTAAAGCATTATCAATGGAATAGGAAACAAACAATTATTTTCTAGCATCTCAAATCCCAGTCAGGTGACCAATGCTTTCATGCCTCCCAGTTTCTTGCCCTTTATATGGACAGAAACTTGTCTAGTAAACACTAAACTATTAGTATGTTCATGTACAATAGCCTAAAGCAGTTTAATATCAATAGTGGACTTTAGGTTATGGCCCCAGTGTAAAGATGGTGCTTCAGATCAGGGGAGATGTTTTTATTACCACTCAGATCTTACATCGTAGAACATCTATGCCATGTCCCTTTAACTAGCCCAGACCAGAGTAAAATCTTCCTCCTTATGAATGAACACAGAACTGTAGCTAAATTGTGATTGTGCTTATAAGATATAAGAAAGCACACAGGCCTTAAATAAATCCTCAATGCCGAAAAAGGACTTTGAATCTAGCACCCATCTTATAGGGTAGAATACAAAATTTCTGATAATATGGGTACATTTCAGAATTCATATAAAGTGAGAATGAGGGGATAACAGTATGTTCCTTTGAAACTGAATGCATCTTTCTTTTTCTCAAACTATGTAAGCAATCTTTTCATCCTCCCTCCTTTCAGACCACTCTACTGAAGAATTGTACTTTGCCTAAAAGGTAGCTCCCGAATATTTCATCAAAATTGTCCTTGCTTTTCTCCTCCTTCACTAGAGTTGTCTTTACTTCTGACTTTATCTGCTTGTATTATTTATGTTTTCAGTAATTCCCTGGTTCTCCTACACAACTCATCACCTGGTGTCTTCCCTCCCACCCTCGCCTCCATTAAACTGGCCTCCATACAGCAACACCTACTTCATTCTGAAAGTGTCTGTGGTAACACTCCAGCCCTGCCCTTGAGATTGCAGAAAGTGTTGGCTATGATGCATATGTATTTAAAACCTACCTAAATACATTTTAGCTTTCCAGGGTAGCAGTGATGTCAGGTGAACTACGTTACATATCTTTCATTCTTCACTACCATTGCTGAGCTCCTTTTCTTACTGTTATTTCCTGGCTCTTTCTTAAATCTTGCTTCTGATGCTTTTATGCAGGTCCTTTCAATTTTCTCCATCATCCCACTTTTATGCTCTCTTACCTTTTCTAGTTCTGCTTTCTCTTTCCCTGAAAACCTATTTCTTCAGGCTGTTTTCTTTTTACACCATCAGTAGGAGTGGTTTTTTTTTTTTCATTTTACCTTGTTATGTAAACACTACTTTATTAACAAAGTTTTCTTTAAAAAGTCAACACACTGGCCAGGCGCGGTGGCTCACGCCTGGAATCCCAGCACTTTGGGAGGCCGAGGCAGGCGGATCACGAGGTCAGGAGATCGAGACCATCCTGGCTAACACGGTGAAACCCCGTCTCTACTGAAAATACAAAAAAATTAGCTGGGCGTGGTGGCAGGCGCCTCTAATCCCAGCTACTCTGGAGGCTGAGGCAGGAGAATGGCATGAACCTGGGAGGCGGAGCTTGCAGTGAGCTGAGATCGCGCCACCGCACTCCAGCCTGGGCGACAGAGCGAGACTTCGTCCAAAAAAAAAAAAAAAAAAGTGAACACACCAACAATGAATATATTCTTCTGAAGGAGTATATAGAGACACAAAAAATCTCAACATCATTTGAGAAATTTGTCAAAGGTATAGATTGAATTTCTATTATCTGTGTTGGAGATAATAAAGAAATGATTCAAGTCACTATGATCCTTATATGAAAGTATTGCATATGTCTTTTTAAGATAAGGAATTTCATTTAAAATTACAGTAACATATTTTCTAATGAAAAAATGTAATGTAAGAATATATCTTTATAATTGAATCTTTATTGTAGGTAACTACAAATAAAATTAAAATTTTTAGAGTTATTTTTTATATCAGTACATGTTCATTTAAATATACTCTAACTCTAAGAAAAGGTACTCAATCCAAGTACCCTCAGAGCATGAGGAAGATAAAACTGATATAAGAATACAGCAAAGTATATATATATATATGAATTAACATATTCTTCCATAATACTGTAGACATTTTGGGTGATTGAAGGCTGCAAGCCTAAAACAGAACAGTTATGTATCCATATTTTGATTTTTGACAAAATCCTTTTGGTTATTTGTATGTGACCATGTGTATTCATTATTTTCTTTGTATAATTTTCCAACGCTCTTTAAAGTCAAGATTATCTTCTTATCCCTTGATAAATTAATGTTCAAATATATTTCATGAAGTGGTTTTACTACTTTAAGATTATCTCAATCAGGTCCAATTTTGTTCATCCTATAGATTGTGATTTTTTGTGTGTATCTAAGAATCCTTTGATGTCAAGCCTAAGAGTGTAGCTAGCACATCATTTCAAGAATTAGCAATGTATGAGTGACTCAGTTTTTCTTTATCTTTGCCAACATTTAATGGTGTCTTTTATTTTTTTTTTAATGTTAACCATTCTAATAAGCGTATAGTGATAATCTCATTTCAGTTTTAATTTGCATTTCTTTAAAGGCTAATCATGTTGGACACCTTTTTATGTACTTGTTTGTCATATGTAGAACTTTTTAATAAAATAAATGTTCAGGACTTTTGCCCATTTTCTAATTGGATTTTTTTTTATTTACTTTGGAGTTTTGAGATTTCTCTATAAATTCAAAACATGTATTAAAAATAATAGTATCATTTTCCTAAAAATTTTAGTTGTATATTTGTTATATAAAATATAACAAATATTTTATATTGTTTATAACCTGTTTTCAATTACCCCTTGTATAAGGTGTAGTGCTCACGCTGAGATTCATCTCCTTTTTTTCCTTTGATTTTTGTCTATGGATGTCTAATTGCTCCAGTTCCATTTGTTGTAAAAGCTATCCTCCCTCCACTGAATTGGATTTGCACCACTTCAAAAATTTCAAGGCGTATTTGTGTGGGTTTATTTCTGTGTTCTCAATTCTGTTCCATTTATCTTCATATCTGTCACTTAGCTAATGCCATATTGTTTTAATCAATCCAACTATATAGTAAGCCCTAACATTGGGTAAGGTGATTCCTCTCACTTAATTCTTCTTCACCAGAATTGTCTTAGCTGTTCTAGGTCCTTTGTTTTTCTATTTTAACTTTAGAATAAGTTGTTTCTGTTTGAAGAAAAACCTTGCTAATATTTTCATAAGAGTTGAATTAAGTTTATAAGTATTTGTGAGAGATCCTGTGGAGTGAATGAAAATACAAGTTATAGACTGGAAGAAAATATGTGCAAACTACATATCCAACAAGTGACTCATATTTAGAATATATAGAGAACTCTCAAAACTCCAAAGTAAAAAAAAAAAAAAATCAACTAGAAACTGGGCGAAAGTCCTGAAAAGACATTTTATTTAAAAGGGTCTACATACGACAAACAAGTACATGAAAAGATGTCCAACATGACTAGCCTTTAGGGAAATGCAAATTAAAGCCAAAATGAGGTATCACTGTATGCTGATTAGAATAGCTAAAATTAAAACACAAAATGACACCATTAAATGTTGGCAAAGATGTAGAAAAACTGAGTCACTCATATGTTGCTAATAAGACTGTGAATTGGTATGGCCACTATGAAAAAGAGTATGGGAGTTTTTTTTTTTACAAACTAAATATGCACTTACCATTATGACCCAGCAATTGCACTTTGCGTATTTATCTCAGAGAAATGAAAATGTATGCTCACAGAAATACTTGTAAACTAACGTTCCCAGCAGCTTTATCATCGCAAAAAATAAACCACCCAAGTCTCCTTCAACAGGTGAATGAACAAGGTGAGGTACACTAATATCAAGGAATATTACTCAGCAATAAAATGGAATAAACTGTTGATATGCACAACAATTTGCATGTATCTCAAGGAAATTATACTCAGTGAAAAAGCCAATTTTAAAAGGTTATAATATTATATGATTCCTTATAATTCCATATTAATATAACATATATTCCAACATTATATGATTCCATATGATTTATGAGACTTTTTTTTGAAATGTACAGAACGTATAGAGAAGGGCAGATTGGTCATTGCCAGGGATTAGAGAGGGGGGAAAGAGGGAGGTAGCTGTGGCCATAAAAGAATAACATGAGGGATCCTTGTGATAGAACTGTTCTGTATCTTGGCTGTAGTGATTTTAATTACATAAATCTATACATGTAATAAAATTGCATAAAACTAAATACACAAAATACACACACAAATGAGTGCATATAAAAGTTGTGAAATATGAGTAAGGTTGGTAGACTGCATCAATGTTAATTTCCTGGTTGTAATGCTGTACTATAGTTATGCAAGATGATACTATTGGGGTAAACTGAGTGAAGAGTACAGGGAATCACTATTCTTTCTTACAACTGCATGTGAAGCTACAATTATCTCAAAATTAAATGTTGATGAATTATAGTAGAGAGGGAAGATAGAAAAGTACTTATTTTTTAATAGACTAGAATTTATTTTATATTTAGTATAATACAAAAACTTATAGCTAAACTTGTCTCATTCCAACATTCACTCATGACAAAAACTCTTGGCAAAGAAGTAATGGAAGGAAACTTTCTTAATTGTAGATTTTCACCAAAAATGTTCATAAATTTATTTTCTGATAAATAAGTACCATTATGTTTTAGTTGAGAAACAAGACGAGGATATCAGCTGTTTTAAGGACTACTCAACACTGTACTCAACGATTTTGTATTGGCTAGACTCTAGAAAACAAAATTAAAAGCGAAAGAACAATAAAGAAATAGAAGCTTTTTCTCATTTCCAGATTATGAGGTTACTTATGTTGAAAACCCAAGTGAACTAAAGGTAAAATATGTAATCATTGATTTTAAAATTCAGCAATATCATTGCGTACAAAATCAACTGCAAAACATAAAACATTCTTATATCCAAGTAATTAACAAAGAAAATAGAGTAGAAAATGATACTGTTCTCTGTATCAACAAAAACACAAAGGTACCTAGAAATATATCTATAAAGAAACACACAGGCCATTTCATGGAAACATTATAAAGATTTTTGAAGGACAGAAAAGAAACTTTGAAGAAACATATATAAGATGATATGTATTTCTCAAATTAATGTATAAATGAAGTGTTATTTTGATAAAAATCTTAACAATTATTTATGGAATTTAGAAGTGGATTTTTAAATTAGTACAACAGCATAAAACACAGAGGATTGTCAAAATAATCCTGAAGTTGAGGAGCAATCTGGGGCAATTGTCCAACCAGATATCAAGGCCTACTTACTATAAACTGTGTTAATTAAGAGAGTATGGTACTGGCGTAGGCAGGAACAAGCACACTTCTAGAACACATGGGGAAGCCCAGAAATAGACCCATGCATCAATAAAAACTCAACTTGTGAAGAAGTGGCAAAAGTTGATATGTGGCACAGGTGGCATTACAAGATATGTGGAAAAGATAAACTAGTTTCAATACATTGCACTGGGACAGTTGGTTAGCCATATGAAAATAAATAGAACTATATTCCAACCTCACACTACAGGCAAAAATAACTTTCAGTGAATTACAAACTTAAATATGAGAAGCAAAACTTTACAACTTTCAGAAGAAATACAAGAGCGTATTTTTATACTTTTTGGATAGGAAAAGCTTCTTAAACAAGATACAAAGGTTATAAATTCTACAGGAGAAAAACGTAAGTAAATCTAACTGCCTTAAAACTTAAAACATATTCTACAAAAAACATTGCCAATAAAAATTTAAAAGACAAAGCCTTGGCCTGGGAGAAGATATTTGTCAGCTTTTAACTGTCAAAGGATTAGCATTCAGAATGTTTGAAGGACTCCTAAAACCAATAAGAGAAAAACAAATAATCACTAATTAAAATTTGAAAATTTGAAAATGCATGTAAGAAGAGTCCATTTACACAAGAGAGAATACAAAAGGAAAAAACGTAAAACCTCATGAAAAATCAGAGATGTGCAATTTTATACACACACACACACACACACACACACAAACACACACACATATAACTGTGTGGATATAGTCAAAATAGTCATGAGCTGCGTAATGATGTTTTGGCCAACAGAACACAATGCAATGGTGGTCCCCTAAGATTATAATGAAGCTGAAAAATTTTTATCACCTAGTTGTGTCATAGTGCAATGCATTACTCACATGTTTGTGGTGATGCTGGTGGAAACAAACTTACTGTGCTACCAGTTGTATAAATGTCTAATACATACAATTGTACACTTATTAAAAATATGTTAACTGTAAGATAGTTTCAGGTGGGTCCTTCTGGAGGTGTTCCAAAAAAGGGCATTGTTATGATAGGAGATGACAGCTCCGTGCATGTTATTGCCCCTGAAGACATTCCAGTGGGATAAGATGTGGAGGTAGAAGACAGTGACATTGATGGTCCTGACCCTGTGCAGGCCTAGGCTAATGTGTGTGTTTGTGTTTTAGTTTGTAACGAAAGAGTATAAAAAGTTAAAAAAGAAAGGCCAGGCACGGTGGCTCACGCCTGTAATCCCAGCACTTTGGGAGGCCGAGGCGGGTGGATCACCTGAGGTCAGGAGTTCTAGACTAGCCTGGCCAACGTGGTGAAACCCCATCTCTACAAAAATACAAAAATTAGCCGAGCTTGGTGGCATACGCCTGTAATCCCAGCTACTCAGGAGGCTGAGGCAAGAGAATCGCTTGAACCTGGGAGGCAGAGGTTGCAGTGAGCCGAGATCATGCCATTGCACTCCAGCCTGGGTGACAAGAGTGAGACCCCATCTCAAAAAAAAAAAAAAAAATAGTTACAGTAAGCTAAGTTTTATTACTTTTAAAGAAAAAAAATTATACAAATTTAGTTCAGCCTACACGTACATAAAGTCTACAGTTGACTACAGTAATGTCCTAGGCCTTCATATTCACTGACCAGTCACTCACTGACTCACCCAGAGCAACTTCCAGTCCTGCAAGCTCTGTTCATAGTAAGTATTCCATACAGGTGTACCATTTTTTAATCTTGTTTATCATATTTTACTGTATTTATGTTTAAATATGTTTAGATACACGAATACTTATAATTATGTTACAATTGCCCACAGTATTAAGTGCAATAGCATACTGGACTTTAGCACTATCTGTAACATTTTAATCTGTGCAAAATTTCTAAATAACAAATCAAAATACTAAGATTTGTTAAAGCATCTAAAGGCACAATGAAGTGGATATGACAAACCATCAAAAGAAGAGATCAGCTAGGGAGGTAGAATCCAAATATAAGCATCTTAGCATGAAACCTGGAAAATATGAAATGGAAAGTACGCCAGAAAAGATCCCCTGAGGCACGTAAAAAGTACTACAGGATCTTTATGTAAGTTACATATGACATCTGTTAAGTGATGGTTCCCTTTGCCCTCACACTGACAGAGATAAGCCGCCAGAACACCTTGCATGAAACCATACATTGTCATTTTCTCAGGCATAGCAGCTGAGAATGCCTGGGAAACTGCTAGATTCGGATTGATGATTGCTGCCTGCAAGCAACCCTTTGCTTAATTGGGGGCAGAAACAGTGTGATACCTTTTCTCCTTATCATACGGGTCACCAACCCTCCTATAACAAAAGACAGATTAACAGGAGAAAAACATAATGAATTTATTTAATCATAATTTTATGGGACATGAGATACCTGCAGAATGAAGACCCAAAGATAGAGGGAAAACAACCCACATTTATCCTTAGGTTTGATGAAGAATGGACAGTAATGTAGATAAATGTGACTGGACCAAAGGTATAATCAAATGAGAATAGACTGAGTGGGAAAATCCATCAAGGCCTGTCTTCAGATTCTTCCTGGCCTCTCTGTGCAGCATTTCTTCCTCCTGGGTATGGGGTACAACCCTTTCTGGAGTGGGGGACCTTTTGGCCTACTGTCATGCAAGATACATCAGATAATTTCTTTATAACCAGCCCTTGCACAGACAAGTGAAGGAAGGTTAGAGTAATATGTTAGGTTTTATGGCTGGCTTTGGGGGACAGATGTTCTAGTTTCCATGACCCTCCTTAGGGACAGGAATTCTGATTTCTATGGCCCAACTTAAGGAAGAGAGATTCTAGTTTCTATGGCTAGCCTTAAAGGAGAATGAGGGGTAAGAGACATGAGAGCAGGAGAAGATCAGAGACAAACTTTGCTTCTGAGGCCTCCATATGGGGTGTCATTCTCTGATCCCCAGGACTTATATGAAAAATGTAATAGCCTGTCCCATGTGGCAGCTAGGAAACTGGGAATAACAAAACATCAATTACCCCATGACAAAAACCTTGACAAGTAGGGAGGCCAATTTACCCTATAGTCACTAGAGTTGTCCTGTTCTGTCTCAGATCATTTGAATTCAGACAGAAAGACAGGAAATTTTAGAAAACCTATACAAAATTCACCAAGCTCATTACGATACTCCCCTTGCAAAGCGCCTGCATGAACTACTCTGGCTCTATGGGTATCAGCTTGAAGGCCTGAGTTATTTGCATAGTGTGGCAAGGTCTGAGAAATATTAGATTCAAACTACCTCTTGCCTCCCTCTTCTCCAAGTAATATCTTCCTGCAGTGCACTTGGTGAAAGCCTTTCCTGGAGAGATTAATGAGGTTAGGAGATGAGTTAAGTCATTTATTTTTCCATTTCATCATGAAAGGGTTCAAAGTTACCACTTTCAATAAGCAGCCAATTGATCACATGACCACTAAGCATTTCTGAGTCTCTCTCAGTATATCTGAATTTATTCGTAAGTACAGAAAACATTATAAAAAGCCTTGGATGAGGCTACATGAAATTCAATAGGCCTGATGCCTTTCTTTTTATTTATTTATTTATTTATTTTATTATACTTTAAGTTTTAGGGTACATGTGCACATTGTGCAGGTTAGTTACATATGTATACATGTGCCACGCTGGTGCGCTGCACCCACTAACTCGTCATCTAGCATTAGGTATATCTCCCGATGCTATCCCTCCCCCCATCCCCCAACCCCACAACAGTCCCCAGAGTGTGATATTCCCCTTCCTGTGTCCATTTGATCTCATTGTTCAATTCCCACCTATGAGTGAGAATATGTGGTGTTTGGTTTTTTGTTCTTGTGATAGTTTACTGAGAATGATGATTTCCAATTTCATCCATGTCCCTACAAAGGACATGAACTCATCATTTTTTATGGCTGCATAGTATTCCATGGTGTATATGTGCCACATTTTCTTGATCCAGTCTATCATTGCTGGACATTTGGGTTGGTTCCAAGTCTTTGCTATTGTGAATAATGCCGCAATAAACATACGTGTGCATGTGTCTTTAGAGCAGCATGATTTATAGTCCTTTGGGTATATACCCAGTAATGGGATGGCTGGGTCAAATGGTATTTCCAGTTCTAGATCCCTGAGGAATTGCCACACTGACTTCCACAATGGTTGAACTAGTTTACAGTCCCACCAACAGTGTAAAAGTGTTCCTATTTCTCCATATCCTCTCCAGCACCTGTTGTTTCCTGACTTTTTAATGACTGCCATTCTAACTGGTGTGAGATGGTATCTCATTGTGGTTTTGATTTGCATTTCTCTGATGGCCAGTGATGATGAGCATTTTTTCATGTGTTTTTTTGCTACATAAATGTCTTCTTTTGAGAAGTGTCTGTTCATGTCCTTTGCCCACTTTTTGATGGGGTTGTTTGTTTGTTTCTTGTAAATTTGTTTGAGTTCATTGTAGATTCTGGATATTAGCCCTTTGTCAGATGAGTAGGTTGCGAAAATTTTCTCCCATTTTGTAGGTTGCCTGTTCACTCTGATGGTAGTTTCTTTTGCTGTGCAGAAGCTCTTTAGTTTAATTAGATCCCATTTGTCAATTTTGTCTTTGGTTGCCATTGCTTTTGGTGTTTTAGACATGAAGTCCTTGCCCATGCCTATGTCCTGAATGGTAATGCCTAGGTTTTCTTCTAGGGTTTTTATGGTTTTAGGTCTAACATTTAACTCTTTAATCCATCTTGACAACAGACAAACAGAGAGCCAAATCATGAGTGAACTCCCATTCACAATTGCTTCAAAGAGAATAAAATACCTAGGAATCCAACTTACAAGGGATGTGAAGGACCTCTTCAAGGAGAACTACAAACCACTGCTCAAGGAAATAAAAGAGGAGACAAACAAATGGAAGAACATTCCATGCTCATGGGTAGGAAGAATCAGTATCGTGAAAATGGCCATACTACCCAAGGTAATTTACAGATTCAATGCCATCCCCATCAAGCTACCAATGACTTTCTTCACACAATTGGAAAAAACTACTTTAAAGTTCATATGGAACCAAAAAAGAGCCTGCATTGCCAAGTCAATCCTAAGCCAAAAGAACAAAGCTGGAGGCATCACACTACCTGACTTCAAACTATACTACAAGGCTACAGTAACCAAAACAGCATGGTACTGGTACCAAAACAGAGATATAGATCAATGGAACAGAACAGAGCCCTCAGAAATAACGCCGCATATCTACAACTATCTGATCTTTGACAAACCTGAGAAAAACAAGCAATGGGGAAAGGATTCCCTATTTAATAAATGGTGCTGGGAAAACTGGCTAGCCATATGTAGAAAGCTGAAATTGGATCCCTTCCTTACACCTTATACAAAAATCAATTCAAGATGGCCTGATGCCTTTCTTAAAAGCATTCCTATGTGTCTAACCAGCATGTGCATTCTGCAGGGTAACCTGTAATACTCTATAGGAAATACTGACATTCATGAAGCAGAAGTCCATTTTGCCTCCTCAAAGGGGCTGGCTTCAAGACTTCAGTCATGTACAGAGAATGGAAATACCAAGAAAATGTTAAGCAGAGATTACTTTTGCTCTCACAATGCCTTCAATTCTATATCTAAACATTTCTAATTTTGTCTCAATAGGTATAATTTAAATTGGTTTTTCAGAAAATATTTTAAGGAAATTTACAGACACTTTGTCATTTTCAGTACATTTTCTACTCTTCTCAATATTTAACTTAGCCATTAAATGTTGCTGATGCAAAGGTCAAATAGTCTTGAGGACCCAGCCTGCTTTCCCAATGAAAATTTCTTTTACATTTTTTTCTCCCTTACATAATCTCTACTTCACAATCAGGCTGTGAAATTCCCACTTCTTTTTTCAATGTCTTTTCAATCTTCCCCAAAAGAAAGCATGTTTTACTGACAGAAGCCTCTTTAAGATTGTTGGTTGCATACCTGGAAGTCTCTTGTCCTTTGGTTTCATAGGAATAGGAAAAACCAGTTACAAGGATGATCATTTTCCTCATACAAATGGGAAAATTCACATTTAGAATTAGAAAATCTTTAATCAGTATAAATTCTCAGTCATCACCCATTTCCATTAACCATGGGCCAGAGAGAAGGTTGTATTATCTAATAAGTCATTTGTTTCTATAACAGTTTTGACCTGTCCTATGACTATAGTTTCCCTAGAGGTTGTCTGAATTGATACAGTTCAATTTTAGGTCTTGAGTTGGTCTCTCATACTTTGTCATCTGTGTGTGCACAGCTACGGCAGATGCCGAGCTCTACCTGGGAGGTAGCAAAGCCAAAATTCCCCGATGATTAAATAAGATACTGTTAACATCCCTAATTCTTAAATAATATGCCAATATCTCTTCCTTGTCTAAGCCATAAACTCAGGAATGAACGTCCCCCTTATTTCTCCAAAACCACCCAGGAATACACAAAATAAAAGCTTTTTGCCTGTGAGATAATCAGTCTGGGGTGGGTATAGAATCTAGTATTGAGCATTTTAAGAATACCAGCACTAGAGAGAGTGAATAGTAAACTATTAATAGTCTTTTTAAAAAAATCTTGAAGCAGCAGATGATGGTTATAAAAATAATTTGAGAAAATCTTAGTTTATGCTCAGTAAAAAAATCTGGTCTTTCCTCAACGGAATATTAGGAACTTACTTTGGAGTTCCAAAATTTTAGATTTTGCTTTATATTGATTAATTACTATAAACTGGTTATTGGTTTATGTCTATACTTTATTAATATAGCCAATTCTCTGCCTTACACGTGAGAAACTAAACTGGATTGCTGCTGTTGCCTTAAGAGGAAGTTCAGTAGACATCATTGGGTATGGAAAAATGTCTGTCTTTCTTGTGTGCAATCTGAAGGAAATGGGAATTTTCTCTTATTCCCAGCAAAGGAATTTCTAGTTTTATGCTCTGTGGCACATTGTAGGTGTAAAATTTGAAATATTTAACATGGATTTACATTATTTTGTTGTAAGGTCTTTGGTCTTTAAATTGCCCCATAACACATATTGTAATCTCTGTCTGTGAGAATAGACAGGTAAGTATCTTACTTCATAGCAAAAGAACAAACATTTGGAATATATGCTAATGCACATGCACACACAGTGTTTACAAAGTCACCACTAGAGAACAGCCCCATACATACACACATAATCACTAACACTTTCAATTAAGTTGATGTTACCTTTTTAAGTCAAAGATATATGGGCATGCCATGATAAAAGAATGATAGTAAAAATTTGGAACACCCAAGTCTCAAATTTGGGTTTCAATTCCTTGATATCCTGTAAATTCTCTTTTTATCTGCTAAATTCAAGAATTGTAAAGTGAGCCAACAACAAATTTCTCATCCAGACCTGCCCTCCCATATTACCAATTCTGTTCCTAAAAGACATGAGAGTAAGGCTCTGTTTCTTAAAAATTGGTATTTAAAAGCCAGACATTTCTTGAGAGTCTCTTACATCTGACTTCCTATGAACAAAATCCTACCAACGTCCTTGTCCTTGTTCACATAGTTCAGAAAAATCATTCTCTTTTTTCTGGAAATATCACTAAGCCATCTTTCCCAGATTCCCTTGCAGTTTGGTATGTGACTAAGTCCTTGCCAAACTCAGATTATAATGAAAAGTGATTTGTGTGCCTGGCACATAAAACCCCTCATGGGCTCCTCCAGTTTCTTTCTATGTCTTCCAGTGGATACTGATGATCATAAGGCTTTAAGGGATAATGGAACCACAGTGTGGAATGGGTCCCTGAATGACCACATGCAGAAGAACCAACCCAACCTGAAGACACTCCTGGAACTATTAAGTAAGAAAGAAGTACATTTATTTTGTGTAATGTCACAGAAATGTCTAAATCCATCTGCTAACACAACCAGGTCTACTCTAATGAGCGTAATTAGAGTTGAGAAGCGTTCTTAGAATAACTTACAGGACTGTCTTTGGGCCAGTTCTATTTCCGGCACAAGACTCTCCTGTTTTTCCTTAAGAGGATAATGTATCTATTTGCCAAATATAATAACAAACCTTTTCTATGTTTCAGTCTGAAAATCAGCTGATGACTCATTTTTGGAGCTTCACATACCCGAGATATTGAACCATTTAATATAACATATATAAAAATTATTATACACATATATTATAATCTATATATTACATATTATTTTTATATTATATAATTTATATATAAAATATACATATAAAATGCATATTTATATGTATATACATATACAGAGAGAGAGAGACAATAAGAAAGATCGCAAAATGGAAACTTTCTCTTGGCAAGTCAAAATGAAAAGTGTAGCAAACTCACATGGGAAAATATACCAAATTCAGTAGGGAAAAAAACTATGTTAAATAGTTTACATGAGAACAGAAATTCAATTAGAGTTTCTAAATTAATTTCTCTCACTGGTATTTATGTTGAAGCTACAGTCATTCTATTATTTCCTTGTATGCCTTAATTGCAAGATTAGCAAGTCATTATTCACTCCTATTAAGAGTCTAAAGAGAGGGTGGTCTCTAGTCTTCAGCTGCAAAGATTCTAAATGTACTCATTAGGGAGCTGGAAGTACATGCAAAGAACCTAAAGATCCTAGGGGGAGTCGTCACCCCCAGAAGTAACATTCAAAGACTTAAATACGGTCTGTCTCACTGACATTCTCCAACACAGGTCTCTTATTCTGCTCCTTTCAGTTTCTCACAAAACTGATATCCTCTATTCTGTTGAAACATTACTTCTCCAAGATCAAAGAGGATGGGAGTCCTAAGCATACATATTTTCTTCTCAGGTCATCCAAACCCCATTCTTCCTTTTTACAAGAACAAAATTCTTCTCACCAACTTTCTCGAGCTGCTATAGTTTCTGCCTTCTTTATGAAGGCTTTACTCTTTCTAGAGATGCCACAGATAAAAACATTCCATACTCAAAACCACAGCATTTCTCTATCCCTCTCCCACTGTATTTACCTAATTCATCTACTGACTCTGGTAGAAGATAAATTCACACGTTCTCTTCTCTCACATATCTGTGTATCCCCTCTCAATGCTCACTCACAACTAATGACTTTGATTCCAATTCACTGGGAATATACAAGCAATAGGAAAAAGACTTCAATAGTCTTCCACCACCATATTTAACAACTTATCTGTACATGTGTCCATATACTCTGCTTCCTGCCTTTTGGTACAGATAAACTAATTAAAATGCATATCTCTATTTCAGAAAACTGAAATCATGATTGGGAAGATACAGTAAAGAACGTATCCAGTTGCAGTGTACGTTACTTGAATTAAAAAAGTATTTGTAAGAACTTTCTTCTCTCCATTTGTATATTAGATTTCAAATTTTCTCACCTAGTCAAGGAAATTACTCCCATAATTGACCCTGCTCTTTTATATCATCAGTTTTCCCTTTCTCCTGACCATCCTCATCAGCATATAAATATGCTGTAATTTCTCTCACCTCAGACCTCTTTACATTGACACATATCCTCTTGTATTCCAGTTACTGACTTGGATCTCTTTTTCCTTTATAAAACATTGCCTCAAAAAGAGCTAACCACACTCTTTCTCTAATTTCTCTTGTTATTTGAAACTCAGTACATTCTAGCTTTGCCCAACCTCCCCCACTCAATTAGATCTTTTTGTGTCAAGATGACCAAAGACCCCCAGTACTCCCAGCCAATTATCAGGCTTCATTTTACTTGACCTATCCAGAGCATTTGATATTGTCTTTCAACCCATCCCTTACACAATTTATTCACTTGTTTCCTGGGATGTGGCTATTTTGTTGGCATCCCTGCTACCTCACTAAAACTCCTCAGCATCTTTGGTAGGTGCCTGCTCATCTTCTAACCTCTAACTATTGGCATTTTCTAGGAATTCTTCAACTTCTTCTCTCTTCTATCTAGAGTCACCCCATGGAGGATCCTTGAGCCTTAGAGAAAGGAGAGTTTCTGCCCAGGGTGCTCTGAGCACTGGAGTCATCTAAGAATTATAGCTGGAATAATAATGTAAAAGTAAAAACAAATAGATGTAAAATAAGTAAAACAGCTTTCACTTTTCAAAACTAGGTATTTATATTCTCAAACTTTATTTCCACAGGAAAGCAGATGATTTCAGAACATACTTTGAGTGAAGAAATATAAAATTCCTATTAATTTTTATTTTTATTTTCTGGCTAAACATAAAGCACCATGTCCTTCTTTAGTAGGGTGTCTTATGTGTAGAATAGAGAGATGGGCCAATTGTAAACCCCACCTTCACCCATGGCAATCAATATAGTAGCAATGGTGAAAGAAGTATTGTGGTTATGTAAGAGAATGTAATTATTTTTAGGGAATATATGTTGAAGTATTTAAGGTTACACTATCCTACAAAGATGTTTAAATTGTTTAAAATTAGTGAGGAGCAACTAGGTGTCCATTGCATTGTTCTTTCAATTTCTTTATAGATTTGAACATTTTCAGAATGTTTTAAATGGGAGGGGGCATGTGAGAATAATAAGGATAAAGCAATAGCCTCTACTTTACTGCTTTCCCTCTACCTCTTCCTGGAAAAAATGTAAATAAAACTGTGACAATTATATTGCTTTCTACTTCAGTCCAACCTCAATGTTGTTATTCTAGGAATTAGTTTACTTTGGCTTTTTTGTCTTCTTTTATAACAATGTGTTCCTTATTATTTTCACCTATCACTTCTAAGGAAAACCAACATAGAAAACAGAAAATGTCTATTCATTGTGGAAAAAAGAAATGAATCTTTTACTTAAAAGACATCTAGGATTGGGAGGCTGAGGCAGGCAAATCACTTGAGGTCAGGAGTTCAAGACCAGCCTGGCAACATGGTGAAACCCCATCTTTACTAAAAACAGAAAATTAGTCAGGTGTGGTGGCACATGCCTGTAATCCCAGCTACTCAGGAGGCTGAGGAAGGAGAATCGCTGTAACCCAGGAGGCGGAGGTTGCAGTGAGCCAAGATCGTGCCATTGCACTCCAGCTTGGGCAACTGAGCAAGACTCCATCTCAAAAAAAAAAAAAAAAAAAGGGCATCTAGGAGCTAGGAGTGCTAGCTACTCGTGACTCCAGAAACAATATTTAATCTCTTCCCTTGCCGAGTTTTCATTCCTTTGTTTTGTGAGTGGTTTGGGGGAAGTGTGTATCACCGTGAAGTTCATGTGTAAAGAAGATACAGTAGTGGGTAGGACTAAGGAAGGAGAAAAAGAAGGTGCTAGAGAAGACTAACATATTAACAAGTATAGTCAGAGGGAAAGTGAATGAATTTGACATTTGGTAAGACTATTCATAAGCTTTAGTTTCTAAGACTACATATAGTCTCCTCAGTCATAAGGGTTCTTACTGTCCTAAACTGTTTTAATGTTCCTGAGGGAAAGGGGATATTAAAGGTTGTAAAGAGAAAGAGAAGGTAAAAAGATCTTGAGAGTGAAATAATATTGAGTATTGTTTAACAAAAAAAAAAAAAAAGAAAGAAAGGAGATGACGGTAAAGGATAGGAAAGAAATTCAGTAGTGACATTTTAAATAGTGAACAGTAAAAACTAAAACCACAATAACTTCCTCTTCCTTGGGTTAAAAAGGACTCGGACCAGGCATACTTTCCCATTCCTATTTTAAGTGATACTGAGACTAAGCAAAAATAACCTAATTGGAATGACTGTTCCTGGAAGTTAAGACCGTGAACCAACCAGGCAGCGTACTTACCAAGACTAACGGCTTACTCATGAAAACTAACTTTGAGGCCCTCACTTTTCTTCATCCATCTATCCAAAGCAATTCATTATGTCATAAGCTTTTGCTAGACCCAGTTTCCCCCCTTGAAAGATCCATCTTAAAGTGACACGTGATCAGTCCTAAATCTTATAGAGAAACCTTTCCAAATTTTCCCATTTTGAGACATTGCTACTACAAGTTTGGCAGAGTGATATTCTCCCTTACTACAGTTCAAGTGTGAGAAGTTGACAGTCAATACATGGAAGGAGTATATTAAAATTGTAGGAGTAGAGATGGCTTAGGGTTCTAAAAAGAAAAGACATTTGGGCGGGGCGCGGTGGCTCATACCTGTAATCCCAGCATTTTGGGAGGCCGATGCGGGCGGATCATTTGAGGTCAGGAGTTCGAGACCAGCCTGTCTAACATGGTGAAACTCCATCTCTACTAAAAAATACAAAAACCTGGCACAGTGGCTCCCACCTGCAATCCCAGCACTTTGGGAGGCCGAGGCGGGTAGATCATCTGAGGTCAGGAGTTCGAGACCAGCCTGGCCAACATGGTGAAATCCATCTCCACTAAAAATACAAAAAATTAGCCAGGCCTGGTGGTGGGCGCCTGTAATCCCAGTTACTCAGGAGGCTGAGGCAGGAGAATTGCTTGAACCTGGGAGGCGGAGGCCGGAGTGAGCCGACATCGTGCCTCTGCACTCCAGCCTGGGCAAAAGGAGCAAAAACTCATTCTCAAAAAATTAGAAAGAAAGAAAGAAAGAAAGATAGTTGGGAGTTTCTAAAAATATACACAGTCCTAATAGTAAAGAAAGCTTGAGACACTTTGAACAGAGAACTGCAAGAGACAAAATGTTTAGAATCCTTTCTTTCTGCGGAAAGTTGAAAAAATGCTAATTTCTTAAGATTCTGCATTAAAATTCTGTCAAAAGATTTCTCAAGAGCAGACTATTGGCCCACTTTCTCTTATAACCTCATGAGGTCTTACCATTTCTGAAAAGTGCTGAGGAGTCAACCTAGCACATTTTGGGGAAGTGAAGAAATACTTTAGTGGGACTCTCCAGGGTTCTTCCATCACCCTCCCTCTTCCGCCAGCTGCAGGGGCATTTTGCACACTGCAATTATCCCATTAACTCAACATCAAAACCTCTGAGATCATCATCTTCATACAAGGTGGAAGTCAGGATCCCAAAATATTAAATAGTTCATGGTTATTTTATATTAATGAAGGAATACCCTAATGAACAGCTAATAGTCAAGTCTTTATTTGCCAGTAACTGTAATACTAAAATATATTTTTAAACTATTACTTTTTTCTTTAAAGCGTAACTCCTAGATTCAATACTAACTTCTACCAGTGAAGAATGTTAGTTATTTTCAAATATCCAAGAAGTACTTTTAAATGTTATTCACAACGTAAGCTACAAGAAACATATTCCCAAATTGGAAATTAAGTCGATTATACTTTCTGATCATAATTTAATGAAACTAGCAATCAATAGCAGAATCACACAAACACACACACACACACCCCATGCAAACTGGAAACCTGAAAAACAAAAAGAAAAAAAAACTAATGAGTTGGAAAAATACAAATACAAACATAGATCATTTAGAATATAATTAAGATAAAACAGTATACATAAAAATTAATAAATGCAACTAAGTGTGTACTCAAAGGAAAGCTTAAAACTATTTATAGTATTTGAAAGAAAAAGTATTGAGGAAATTTACTAAGCATTTAATTCAAAATAAGAAGAAACATGAAATAAAGGAATAAGCATAAATTAATGTACTAAAACTTTAAGAAGCAATACAATGGATAAACACATAGATTAGTCAGATTAGTTCTTTGAAGAAACTGAAATAAGGAAGATCTCTGACAACCTAACCATATCCACAATTACACCTCCAGACCTTGGTCTCTCATAACAGCCTTGAAGTAACTAAGAACATTGGAAGAAAGAGAAAGAGAACTCTGAAAGAATGTTTCCTTCAAGACTCCCCAATACTGAGAGAAAAAAAGGAAAAAAAAGGAATATTTAGTCTCTAATTAGGTTCAGTAATAAATTTGTCTTTTCACTTTGAAGCAAGTTATCTAAATCGTGTATGTGTAACCTGAATAAAATCCTTCACAAAACTCTCACTTTTCCAACTGTTAAATTACTGTCTTCTTTCCCAATCCTTATTGCTCTCTCCATCTTTCAAGACACTAATATATATATATATATATATATATATATATATATATATATATATAAAATTCTTCTATAAATTAAAAAAAGTGCTACAAATTCAAAAGGTGACAATGCATGGATAATGAAAAGCAAATATCCCCACTACCATTGTCCCCAGCCACCCAAATTCTCTTTGCAGAAGAAACCAGGATTTCCAGTTTCTTGAATATATTTCCGTAGATATTTTATGCATACACAATTATATTCCTTTTTTATATGAGTAGTATAATTACCTGTTAGGTAGCAAACTTTTAGGCTTTTTTTTTTAACATTTTAAAACATAGTTGTCTCATTTAATCCGAAAAAAACAAAAGTTGCATTGTATGCAATTTCTATTGTGTAGTGACTGTACCATAGTGTATTTTAAGTAGACAACATGAGGGTTATTTCTGCTTTCAATGTTTGCTATTACAAAGCTCCAATTAATATGGATGAATCTAAAGCATGTTGCTATCAAGTGAGAACAAATGTAACAAATTCCTAGATATGTAATTGCTGGTTATGGTTATAAACGTTATTTTATTGTTGGTGAAGTTTTCTCTACTGAGGATGCACAGATAGAAGAGTTCCTGCTTTTCAAAACCTCTGTTAACACCTTTGCTTTTTGATCTTTGCCAACCTAAGTGAAAAATATTATTTCCCTTTAGTTTTAATTTGCATTTATCCTTATTACCAGTACAGCTATACTAAGTTTACAAGACATTTGAATTTATGTTTCTCTAAACTCTGTGTCATTATTTTTTTGGGTTTTAGGTCCTATGCTAATTAATTCACAAAATCATATATATTAAAGTAATTTGTTTGTGATAGGAGTTACTAATATTTTTAGCCTTTTGTTATTTATCTTCCTTTGTTTATGGTAGTTTCTCTTCCCATGCAGATTTTTAAAATATTCTTTATAATTAAATTTTTAATCTTTCCCTTTATGACTTCTGTGTTTGGTGTCAGAATAAAATTCTGTTCACAGTTTATACAAATATTTACCTAAGTGTTCACTTTAAAGACTTTGTGGCCTCTTTATGTGCTCCTCTGACTTCTATGGAGTTTACTTTGTAAAAGGGGTGAGATAGGGATCCAACTTTATTTTCATTTTCTAGAGAGCTACCTAGTTGTCCCAACAGCATAGAATAAATAATCCATCTTTTCTCTCCATGGATTTGCAATGCTACCTACATCACATAGCAAATTCCCACATATTTTGGGGTCCACTTCAGGACTTTATATTCTGTTCCAATTTAATTATATTCAGTATAATCATGTTTTATTTCCACTTTTCAGAATGTATTGAATTATTATAAAGGTGTTATCATGTTACGAGGATACTCTTCATACCTTTTTTTTTATAGAATTTCCCTATTATCGGTCAATTATTGTATATATATTTTATCACTGGCTTACTTAATAATTCTGTTGGTATCTTCATGGGGTTTCTGGACTCCAAACTTTCTTTCTTGTCAGTTCTATTAATGTCATGCCTTCTTTCTTTAAAACGTAATTCCTAGGTCAGATACTAACTTCTACCAGTGAAGAATATAAGTTACTTTCAAGTGTGAAGTAAGTATTTTTAAAAGTTAGTCCCAACATAAGCTACAAAAAATATATTCCCAAATTGGAAATTAGGAAAATCATACTTTCTGATCAGAATTTAATAAAACTAGCAATAAATAGCAGAATCACACACACACATACACACACACACACACACACACACACACACACACATATCATGCAAATTGGAAAGCTGAAAAACAGAAGGGAAAAACTAATTAGTTGGGGAAATAAAAATATACATATAGATAATTTAGACTATAAGATAAAACAGTGTTCAAAACAGTATAATTGGTGAACAGTTCAACTGATAAAACAGTTCGATTGATGTCATGCCTTCTTAATATGCATACACTGACAGACTTAATGATATCCACAGTGGGACAATCTTCATAAATAATAAGTTATTCTTTGTTTTTGTCTCAGCTATTTTAAAACATATATTTCTCAAGAATTTCTGGTGTCCCAGTTGAAAACCAAACAAAATATGACTGAATGCTTCATAAAAGAAATACAAATCACTAATAAACATTTGAAAAAATTTAATCTTGCCAGTGACCAAATAACTAGTATTACCATAACATAATTTGTTTTCCTTGTAAAATTGTCAGAGTAAAGAGAGGAGCTGCTTTTGTGTCACTATGGAAGTGTGAACTTTTGCATTTCTAGAAGGATATCAAATCCCTAAAATATCAGCATGACTTTTGGCCTATAATTTTAATTCTGTTAATTTATCCTGTAAAAATAATCAAAATGTGTACCAGGTTCTATGTACACAGATTTCAGTGTCTAAAGGTAACCAGTACACAGCAGGTCTAGCACATTTTAATTGGATAAATTTGAGTAAATATTTTTAGTGGCTTTGGAAAAAGATGACAGTAAAGCTTTAACAAAAAAAATCAGTACAAAATTGTATGTACAGCATAATCACAGAAGTCTGTGTGAGAAAACACATTAAAAAATGGATATGTACCTATACAACAAGTGGCTCTGAATTATGCTATTATTTGTGATTTTTATTTACTTTTTTCCTTTTATATTTTCAACATCTTTTGGCACAAAAAGCTATAATCATAAATAGGCAATACATATTACTAATAATGAAAAAAATATTTTCTGGTACTTACGAGTAATTACTATATGACCTATTGTATTATATATAGTTTTGTTTTGTTCTTTTGAGACAGCCTCACTCTGTCACCCAGGCTGGAGTGCAGTGGCACGGTCTCGGCTCATTGAAGCTTTGACCTCCCTGGCCCAGGTGATCCTCCCATCTCAATCTCCTAAGTAGCTAGGACTATAGGCATACACTACAATGCCCAGCTAATCTTCTGTAATTTTTTTTTTTTTTTGTAGAGATGGGGTTTCGCCCTATTGCCCAGACTGGTCTTGAACTCCTGGGTTCAAGTCATCCACCTGTCCCAGCCTCCCAAACTACTGGGATTACAGGTATAAACCACTGCTCCTAACATATCTAATATTTTTTAATATCTAGTTTGTCAGGATTGTAAATGTTCATCTACTTCTAATATTTCTCTATTAATTTGGATGTTAGTTGTATCTGTAATCAAAGATTACTATGTGTCTCTATCTACCTATCTCTATCACAAATTTTATATCTATCTATCTCTATCTATTTACCTATCTTCCTAGAATCCTACTTTGATTATTTGTAAGCAGAGGAAGATTTACTGTGAAGTTCATGAAGCTTAAGCTTCATAGCCCCAACACTTCCATGAAACCTTCCAAGGGCATATAAGGCAACCATGCAATGTAGTCACATGGTAACATAAATTCATAAGATTTTCTAAAGGAAGATAACTTACCTGTCATCAGTATAGTCTATTATCACTTTTCACTCAGACTTTCCCTTCATCACACATGGAGTGGATATAGGCATTTGGAGTACTTACCTGTTTGGAAGCTGAGTTGCAGCTATGTTTGGTTTGGGTTTAGTGGAATATACTTTTGTGATTTATGGTTGTTTCCATATATAATCTAGTTACTAACAGCTGTCTAAGGAAGAACAAGCCTCCAGGGTTGGAACACAAGGGTGCAGGGCCAGAAGCAATCCTACAATATGAATTATTCTGTGGCACCTGGTACTGGAACCACGTGGACAATAAAGGAGAAACAAAATGTGTGATTTATTGAGCCAGCATCTAGTGTAGTTTGCAGGAAATTTTTCTAAATCTTACAGAACATAAATAATAGAAATAAGAAGATATTATTCTTAATTTTACAATGGTACTAAATTTTCACACAATATTACATAATGAGTTGGGAAGCCTAAAAAAACTTTCATAAGCTATCAACCAGATTTTTAAAAAATTTCAATCAACTATGATATTCTAAAGATTGAACAATCTCTTAACTCTATGATAATAGATTGTTAATAGATGATATGATAATGATATGATATTCTAAAGAAAAGATATAATATTCTAAAGAAAAATCTATTATATCTATAATAGATTGTTAATATACGATATGATATATAATAGATATGATATTCTAAAGAAAAGATTGAACAATCTATTATCTTTATAGAAAATAATGTAAATAATTACATGAAGAAGACATCAAAGAGAATGCTATAAAATGTAAGAAAAAGTGTTACAGAGATGTGTCAGCCAATTAGTACAATCATTATTTTTCCTAGATCTTGTGATTTTTGTGATATTTGTGATATTAAATATTTTAAATATACTCTGATTATTTTCTACCTTCTAAAAAATATTTGCCATTGTACTTATTTTTGAATCTCAAATTTTGTATTTAGTATTTTTTCTTAAAGAGGGCTCTCAAATTTATGTAAGCTTCAAATCAATGCCTGGATTCACCTGTGTGGGTATCTGTGTGTAAATGTATTTTTTAAAAAGAAAAGCTATGAAAGGCATATCACATTTTTTTAAATGATCACCTCTTTGAGAATTGCAATAGAATGAGGTTTTGTGATGGAAGGCTTTCAGTTTTCATTTCACATAATTCACTTAAAATGAAATCCATAAATTATTTATTCCTAATTGTAAATTTAGTAAGTTAAATACAACATATTGCATGTCTGTGGATCATTTTGTTTTCTGTTTTTTATTTTATGCTAATATGAATTATTTTTACTTTTTCTTGTCATAAACAAAAATGTTCACATTAGATAAAAATATACGTTATTTGTTTCACCATTGGTTTTGTCTCCTTTCTCGCTACTCTTTTAGTTTCAATATAGATTGTCTTATTTTAAAAAATGCTTTTAGTACTTGCATGGTATTTTTTATAACAAGAAGTTAATTTGGAACTTGGAAAAGTAAAATCAATAGAAAAGAAGCCCAGCTCAATAACATGCTGGGGAGATAAAAATAAAACAAGTTCAGAAAATTGTAGAGAAGAGCTGACATATTTTGCATCTACACAACGTAAATACACTGGAACCACACTGAGCTTCTTCCCTTGTGTCCATGAATGAAGCCACTTTAGGATTACCGGTTTATTACACAGACATCTCTGGGTGACTGCATTGGGTAATACATGTTCGATCTATATAATTTTGGAAAGGTTTTCTACGGCATGCCCTACAACCAAATGCCCATTCCCCATAAAGAAATCATAGGGATTCTGCCAAAGTTCATCTCAAACTGACATTCTGAATACACAAACCTCTTCTGGCTAAATCCTGGCATTGGCAGGAGTTTAGGGTCACCGTGTGCTGTTTACCAGCACTTAAGAGCTCAGGGAGCAGTTCTGTCCTTGGGCAGCTTATAAATCTCAATGTCTCCAAACCTATTTCAGTCTGAGTCAGACTGAGGATCTTAAGATTTTTGAGAAGGACTTGTCCAAATCACAGGTATCCAGACATCGATGCAAAAATATTCTGAATAGGTTAAGGTTCAGAAACAATCATCAAAAGCATAGAAAATTATGCTAAGTGGAAAGTGGGAATCCTGTAAAATTCCTCTTGCAGTCATTTGTGCATATCAGAAAGGTCTAGAATGATGGATGAGACTTCTTTTTGCTCGTCTTAGAGTTGCAGCACTTGAAAGCCCCTCCCAGCCAACCCCACACCATTGGCAGAGCAGTTGAAAGTCATTACTTATTTTCTCTCTGTTCATGAAGTCCAGGTCACAAATTACAGCAAATGTGGACTATGGGTTAAGCTCATTTATTAATTTGTTTATGCACTCTTTCTTTCAACAAATACGTATTGAGTAGCTACTGTTTTTCAGGCACTGTGTAAATGCTGAGAAAATAGGCATACTTAGGATCCAATCCCTGCACTTAAGGACTTACTTTGTAAAAAGGAAGATAAATGTATAGATAACCACAGTAAAATGCCCTACGTTCTATAACAGAGAAATACACAAAATCCTGTAAGAGCACAAAGGAAGATGCAACTACCTCTGTTGGAGACATTCCTAAAGCAGAGAAAGTAACTTTTGAGCAGTTAGCTACAAGGATTTCTTCATCTGCTCACAGCCAGAGAGAAGGAATTTGAAAAGTGGGTTTAAATAACACTCACCCAGTTGTTTGCCTTGAGGTATAAATTAGTTAATTGTTAATGAGTACTTCAGTAAAGATAACACTTAAAATTCTGTGCTAAAGTAAACTTTAAACATCAAATAATATATAGAAAAAAATATTTGAGGGCAAAAGGCTTCTCTCCCTACTGACACTGTACCACATAGATTGATAATTCTGATGCCATCATCTCCCCATTTAGACATACATTTTCACTAATCTTAAGTGCCATAGTACTTTACCTATTTCGTTCTTTCATGTGGTATTTATTTTAAGCCTGAAATAAGCTATTTCTAGATAAAATTTTTAAATTTAAGTTTTATGTCTTTTTTTAAATCTTCTGAAACACCTTACCAGATGCCTGCATATAGAACTGTTTAATAAATATCGATTGAATAAAGAATACAGGAGATAATGCTGGAATTTATAAGTCATATTATTTATTAAATTTATGGTCTTTCTTTTCAGAATTGAGAGATTGATTGAAGAAGAAGTAACAAGTTCTAAAAAATGAGACAATCAGGAGGTGATGTGAGGAAGAGATGGTAACTGGAAGTATGATGGCCATGCTGAAAATGTTGACTGTCACAAGGAGAAAGATCCCATTTTATTTCCATGATTCCCTTGGAGCAACTCCAAGATCACCAAGATTTCTGCCTTAAATGTATTCTTATATCAAGTCTCACTTAAAATTTATTGTGTGTATGTGTGCAATTAATTGCAAGGATCTTTAGAGAACAGACTCCTTTGTCACTAGTCCCTAGGCACTGTGACAAAGAGAATATTAAAAGACTCAAACTGGCCAAGATCCAGCACAAAGTAGACAGACTAAAAAGATAAGGCAGGTAGTTAATCTTCTGGAAGGTGCTGCAGGTAAAGACAGGTTTGTTTGCCCAGCTTGCTGTCTCAACTCTACTTTTGTTTGATTTGTTATCTTACCCAGTGGGAAATCTATGTCTTGACATTCAATCACAAAGCATAGAAGGCCTCAGACACTAAATAAGGTTAGGCAACGAGAGAAAAACCCTTTAGTCAAACTTTGTGCGAGAACTGAAATCTGGGAAAAATTTGGCCCCATGTGTAAATGACTCTAAGTATATTTATTATGACTTGAGGAAAGGAAACACCAATGAATTGGCAATGAACCTTATTACAAATCAATCTTTTTTATCATCTTTCAATAACTCCAGAGAGATAGCAAGAAAATTGCACTTATTGCAAAAAATTATATTATATATATTACCATAAAGATGATATCGCAACTGCCAAAAACATGAAGTGCTACCAGGCAGATAGCATAGATACTACAGAATTCTCAACTGATTGAATGTTTTACATTATGTGCATTTACTTAGGTTGGTATAAATAAATGTGGTATTTTAATAGAATTAATATTACATCAGCTTGCAGGCAAGCATGAATATTTTTATCATCTTCTAAACTGCAGCCTACATGATTGGTATAATGGCATGATTTCCTTGAAAAATATACATGAGAAAGAAATTTATATGTTGTGTAGCAGATATTGTGGGGTTTTTCCTGACATCTGTTTTTCTGCCCACTATTTTTTAAAATGCACTTTAGGGGATTAATCTAAGTCAGAATAATCCTATGGGCTTTGATAAAATGTTTGGTTTAGGTTGCAGAGGCATGGAAAATATTCTGAACATAGGTACAGATTGCAAAATGGATAAATAACTAACTCCAAGACATGAAGACCCAAACAGTGGTTTCCTGGGTACTTCTAGAAGGGATGCTTACTTTTTCTTATAAGGGTTGAAGCAACTCTCTTTCTCTCAGCATCGTGGTGTATGGTTGGAAAGCCACAGGGAAAGAGCTAAGGATGAAAAGCAAAACTAAAGGAGAGAACAATCAAAGGATCACATACACATACAAAAAAAATTGAACTAAGGCCATTTAATTTTGCTTACTTTAAAGCTTGACCACCATTCAGACTTACAATAATGTGAATAAATAATTCTGCCACTGCAGCCAATCTTTCTTATATACATGCTTAATAGATAGCTACTTAAAATAACTTACACACGTTTTAGAGTTGCTTGAAAACTATCTGATCAAGACATAGTAATTGAAACCAATGAATACATTATATAAAGTAAAGGAAAGGAGAAGAGAGGAAAGGAGGGGAGAGGAGAGGAGGACAAGCGAGAAAGGAAGGAAGGAGAAAAGGGGAAGGGAGGTAGAGAGAGAGAGAAAAGTGCTGGGTCATATAGTAAGTGTACATTTAACTTTTTAAGAAACTACCCTACTCTATTCCAGAGTGATTGTACCATGTTGCATTTTTACTGGCAATTTATAAGAGATTCATTTTCTCTACAGCATTGGGTACTATCAGTTTTTTTTGTTTTGTTTTGTTTGGTCTTGAGACGGAGTCTCGCTCTGTCACCCAGGCTGGAGTGCAGTGGCGAAATCTCAGCTCACTGCAAGCTCTGCTTCCTGGGTTCACGCCATTCTCCTGCCTCAGCCTCCCGAGTAGCTGGAACTACAGGCACCTGCCACCACCCCCAGCTAATTTTTTTTTTTTTTTTTTTTTTTTTTTGTATTTTTAGTAGAGACGGGGTTTCGCCAGGCTTAGCCAGGATGGTCTCGATCTCCTGAACTCGTGATCCACCCGCCTCGGCCTCCCAAAGTGCTGGGATTACAGGCGTGAGCCACCACACCCGGCCCTATCAGTGGTTTTTAAAATTTTATTTTAGCTATTCTGATTAGTGAGTAATAATATATTTAAGTGGTTTTTAATTTGCATACTCCTAAAGACAAGCAATGTTGGATATCTTTTCACATGTTTATTCGCCATCCATATATCTTTTTTGATGAAGTGTCTGCACAACTATTGCTCATTTTCTAATTAGACTGTTTTCTTACTGTTGAGAGTAAAAGTCAAGGAAAGAAGCAAAATTAGAGAAACCAACGAGGTAAGTGAAATATAAGAAATTATAGAGACAGGAAGTGAAATAAGCTAAGATTTTCCCGCTCTTATCTAAAGGGAGAAATAAAACTAATAACTGCTAACGCTTACAATTAGATTCATCTCTCCAGGTACCGCTTTAAATAGTCTCTACCAGCAGTTCTTTTTTTTTTTTTTTTTTTTTTTTTAGACGGAGTCCCATACTGTCACCCGGGCTGGAGTGCAATGGCGCGATCTCAGTTCAATGCAACCTCCGCCTCCCAGGTTCATGCAACTCTCCTGCCTCAGCCTCCTGAGTAGCTGGGCTTACAGGTGCACACCACTACACCCAGCTAACTTTTTGTATTTTTAGTAGAGACAGGGTTTCACTATGTTGGCTAGACTGGTCTTGAACTTCTGACCTTGTGATTTGCCCTTCTCAGCCTCCGAAAGTGCTGGGATTACAGGCGTGATATCGGCAGTTCTTAAACTGTGGCTGAGGTAACCTTGGAAAATCCCCAAGACTCTCTTTGAGAAGTGGAAGTTCAAATCAATTTCTATAATAATAATATCATTTGACTTTTACTCTTACATGAGTAAATAACTCATTCAACAACTCTCAATAAATTAGGGATTGATGCTAAAAACTCTCAATAAATTAGGGATTGATGGGATGTATCTCAAAATAATAAGAGCTATCTATGACAAACCCACAGCCAATATACTGAATGGGCAAAAACTGGAAGCATTCCCTTTGAAAACTGGCACAAGACAGGGATGCCCTCTCTCACCACTCCTATTCAACATAGTGTTGGAAGTTCTGGCCAGGGCAGTTAGGCAGGAGAAGGAAATAAAGGGTATTCAATTAGGAAAAGAGGAAGTCAAATTGTCCCTGTTTGCAGATGACATGATTGTACATCTAGAAAACCCCATTGTCTCAGCCCAACATCTCCTTAAGCTGATAAGCAACTTCAGCAAAGTCTCAGGATACAAAATCAATGCACAAAAATCACAAGCATTCTTATACACCAATAACAGACAGAGAGCCAAATCATGAGTGAACTCCCATTCACAATTGCTTCAAAGATAATAAAATACCTAGGAATCCAACTTACAAGGGATGTGAAGGACCTCTTCAAGGAGAACTACAAACCACTGCTCAATGAAATGAAAGAGGATACAAACAAGTCATTCATGAGAGTTGGAATCAACTTCTTTTAAACTTCTTTTCATGTTGATATTTTAATCTCCTCCCATGAATCATTAAAGTTCTCAATGGCATCTAGAATGGTAAATTCTTTCCAGGTTTTTAATTTATTTTTTCCAAATTAATCAGAGAAATCACAACGTATGGTAGTTATAGCCTTATGAATGTATTTATTAAATAGTAAGACTTGAAATTCAAAATTATTCCTTGATCCAAGGGCTGCAGAATAGATGTTGTACTATCAGGCATGAAGCAACATTGATCTTCTTGTACATCTCCATCAGAGCACTTGGGAGACCAGGTACATTGTTAATGAGCAGTAATATTTTAAAAGGAATTTTTTTCTGAGCAGTAAATAGGTCTCAACAGTGGGCTTCAAATATTTAGTAAGCCATGCTGTAAACAGATATGCTGTCATCCAGGCTTTTTTTTTTTTTTCCATTTACAGACCACAGGCAGAGTAGATTTAATATAATTTATAAGGGCCCTATGATTTTCAGAATGGTAAATGAGCATTGGCTTCAACTTAAAACCACCAACTGCATTATCCCCTAAGAAGAGAATGAGCCTGTCCTTTGCAGCTGTAAGCCAAGCACTGACTTCTCCTTTCTAGCTAGGAAAGTCCTAGATGACATCATATTCTATTAGAAGGCTATTTCATCTATATTGAAAATATGTTGTTTAATGTAGACACCTTCATCAATGAGTTTAGCTAGATCTTCTGGATAACTTGTTGCAGCTTCTACCTTAGCACTTGCTGCTTCACCTTGCACTTTTATCTTATGGAAATGTCTTCTTTCATTAAACCTCATGAACTAACCTCCGCTAACTTCAAGCTTTTCTTCTGCAGCTTCCTCACCTCAATGAGCATTCGCAGAATTGAACAGTTAGATCCTTGCTCTGGATTAGGCTTTGGCTTACGGAAATGTGGCTGATTTGATCTTCTATCAGACCATTCAAACTTTCTTCATGCCAACAAGAGGGCTGTTTTGCTTTTTTATCATTCATCTGTTTACTGAGGTAGCACTTTTTTTTCTTAAGAATCTTTTCTTTGCATTCACAACTAGGCTGTTTGGCACAAAAGGCCAATTTTTTTTTTTTTTTTTTTTTTTTTTTTGAGATGGAGTCACACTCTGTCACCCAGGCTGGAGTGCAGTGCCGTGGTCTTGGCTCACTGCAACCTCCGCCTCCCAGGTTCAAGCGATTCTCCTGCCTCAGCCTCCTGAGTAGCTGCGACTACAGGTGCATGCCACCACACCCAGCTAATTTTTGTATTTTTAGGAGAGACAGGGTTTCACCATGTTTGCCAGGCTGGTGTTGAACTCCTGACATCGTGATCCACCTGCCTCAGCCTCCCAAAGTGCTGGGATTACAGGCATGAGCCACCACGCCCAGCCAAAAAGGCTGAGCTTTTGACTTAGCTTTTGACATGCCTTTCTCACTAAGCTTAATCACTTCTAGCTTTTGATTTAAAGTGAGAGACTTGTGACTCTTCCTTTCTCTTGAACACTTAGAGGCCATAGTAGGGTTATTAACTGACCTAATTTTAGTATTTGTGTCCCAGTGAATAGGGAGGCTGGAGGACAGGAAGATAGATAGGTAACAGCTGGTCATTGGAGCGGTCCAAAAACAGACAATATTTATTAAGTTTGTCATGTTATGGAGGTATGGTTTGTGGCACCCCAAAATTTTACAATAGTAACATCAAAGAACACAGATATTTTATAATAATAACATCGAAGATCACAGATCACTATAACAGATATAATAATAATAAACAGTGAAGTATTGAGAAGATTACCAAAATATGACACAGAGATGTGAAATGGGCCACATTGTTGAAAAAATCCCACCAATAGACTTGCCCAATGCAGGCTTGCCACAAACCTTCAATGTGTAAAAAACATAATATTTTTGAAGCACAATAAAGGTGAGGTGTAGTCAAACAAGGTATATGCCTGTATATACGAAATGGTTTGAAAAGTTTTCAGTTACAAAACTGAGGACCAAGCTGGGATTTTTTGCTCAAATTCTTGTCTAAGGGGTCTGGGGAGTCATGCCCTACAAACCATAAATTATCATCAGATGGGTTTTATCTAACGCTATATATTGTGACTTACTTTCCACCCTGACTGTGGCATAACATTATGAGACAACGATGAAAATCAAAATATTTTGCCCCAAAACATGTTTCTTTGCCATATCTTGAAACGGCCTTACAAAGCTGTCCTCTGTGGAGGAAAATCTGCATCTGTAAAGAATATCTATTAACATACCTAGATTTTTTTTCTTCTAGGCTCTCCCAATCCTAAAGAGATTAACTAAAAGTCTAGCACCTTTTAAAGATCTGGATAGGAAACATTTGTCATTTATTGTCTCTAAGGGCAGCCACTATAAAATTTTAAAAGAACCTTGGTCTCCACAATTTATCTTAACCTGAACATTTTCTTTCTATTGATCCCAGGTCTTTAGACAAACTCAACCAATTGTCAATCAGAAAATGCTTAAATTTGCCTATAGCCTGGAACCCTCCCCACCCCCAACTCCCCCAACTCCCACTTTGAGTTGTCTTGCCTTTCTGGACCAAACCAATGTATTTCTTAAATGTATTGATCGATGTTTTGTGCATAAAACCAAGCTGTGCCCCAACCACCTTGGGCACATGTTCTCAGGACCTCCTGAGGGCTGTGTCACAGGCCATAGCCACTCATATTTGGCTCAGAATAAATCTCTTCAAATATTTTACAGAGTTTGACTCTTTTCGTTAACAAAGGAAATTTATTTTTGAGTGTCTACGGGCTCTATTTTGTTTTTAAAATGTTAAACTAAACTTATAATATATTCTGGCATCCTTTTGCAGGGCTGAAGGTCATTGAAATCACATTATAGTTATTGTGAAGCCAGACAGGTAAAAGTGAAATGTCAAGTACTAAAAGGAAAGCAGGGAACTCGCTTTGTTTAGTCAATAAAAGTGATTGGACCTGATTATCTTTCTCGCCTCTTTCATTAGCCCTGGAGACACTTAGAGGTTATAACTTCAGCTGTTTCTAACAGAAGATCCAAAAAAACTTCTTTCTGAGTATTAATATTTTAACAAGCAGTTGATAAACCTAGCTTCCTAAGTGCATTTGTGAGAAAAATAAGAGAAACATGGACAGTGGCCAAACTCTTTTTTCCCTTTAGTTTGATACTGAAGCTTTTAATAATGACCCCGAGTCAAGAAAACACATGCCAATCTGCAACTATATACTCCACATGGGCCAGTCCTGGGTCTGCCTCTTTCAGTCATGACCTGTCCTCAGGAACTTGCTACTCAAAGTACCATACCTGAACTAGCAGCACCAGCAGCACCTGGGAGATTCTTAGAAAAAGCTTGAATCCTACCCAGAACTACTAAATTAGAATATGCATTTGAATAAGATTCCAGGGTGATTCTGACACATTTAGTTTGAGAAACACTGCTGTACCTTTCCCTTTCATTTACTCTCCACCAAACAACCTCACAGATCTCACCTGACTAATACCTTAGTAATGTTTAATATAATTTCTACTATAACCCAATATGTATATTCCCAAAACACTGCATGTTTTTCAAAATCATACTAAAGTAACAGGATCAATGAGAAAAACAGGATTGGTAAGACCATTCAAATTCTAGGCTACTTGGTAACTAGAGGCGCTAACAATGACCATAACTGGTACCTCCAGAGATAACTTGCCTAGGCAGACACTCAGCATGATTGGAGGCTGCTTCAAAGATATTAAATTTTTACAATAAACAAAAAAGTGGGAATGGTGACTTACAGGTGCAGAGACAATCCTAATGGAAGTGGTCCTGTGGACTGAAGAGGATGAATAACCTGCCAGAGGTAAAAAGCTGGGGTTTATCTTTCTGGAGATGGATCCCCAGGTACAAGAGCCATTTTTCATTGTCTAAAAATATAGCCTACAGAACTCCCATCTGTGTAGCCTCCAAGCTAATGGATTTTTCTTGCCCTGCAGAAGTTTCTAATACACTCTTTCTATGCCAGATCTCTTTGCCTAGGATTAGACATACAAGGACCAGCATAACTTCTTTTACGTTGACATCATTCCCATGTTTATAAATGACAGCAACTTCATAGCTGTTATAAAAACAGGTATTCTGATACTACAATAGATTTTTTTCTATAAGAGAAAAAACAAATGTCCCCATGAACTAATTATCACTAAAATATTAAGAATTCATTTTAGATTGAAAAAAGCGATGTATAGTATTCAGAAATGGTTTTAGGAATGAAATTTAAGATGTTATATATAAGATGTATTTTAGCAGAGGTTTATCTCAAAACCCCTCATACACAAGCAAACACTTACACCCTGCTGTCTCTTTTCTTCCTTCCCTCCTTTATTCTTTCTGCCTTTCTTCAACTATTATCATGGAGCATCTGCTATGTGCATGGCACTGTGCTGGATGCTATAGATAAAAAGCGTTTTATGATGGGAAGAACATTTTAAGAAAACTGTTTAGAGATCAACAGAATAGCCATAAGAAATTATCAAAGTTTTATATATAAATGTGTGTGTAACCCATATGTGTGTGTGTGTGTGTGTGTGTAAAATAAAATTCATACAACAACAAGTTACCCTGAATAGATCTTGATCTTCAAGGGGTCACCTCATGAGGGATTGCAAGTATTAGAGATGCTTACAATTAGAGATTTGATCAAGTAGGTTGTCCAGCAGTTCTCAGAGAAACTCCAGAGAGGATAGAGACTTAGAAAAGGTGTCCCAATTATGTGTTTAAAGGACTATTCTAAAATAAGAAATATTCAATGTTATAATGGGGCATAATGTTTGAAATGTAGAAAGATCAAAGTCAGCAGGCTTACAGAAGAAGGATTATCACCCAACAGAAAAACCTTACCCCATTTCTTCCATATATATTTCATCTTGCAGTTTCAGAGCATTTCCTAATAATTCACTCACATGAAAGGTAGGCAATGATCATTTAGGCCAGACACAAACTTCACCAATTGTTTGGTCTTCATGGGAATTCTGCCCTGGGTGAGGCAGAAGAATGGTGATGCAATTCATCACCCCATAGCTGCTTGGCTGTCAGAACCTCCCCTTTTGTGTGACACCATCACCATTATCTTTATCATCACTGTCATCACCAATCCGCAGCAAATACCTGTTCAAGCATTTATTATGTGTCTGACATTCACCATACTTAAGAGCTTGTCATACATTCTCTGATCTAAAACTCACAAGTTAAGATTATTTCAGCCCCATACACATGTGGGTGGGAGATGCCATACAGGGAACTGCAAGTGAGCGACTATTTTACCTCATGTCTAACTATAATCAGTTAGCAGGAAATTCTAATCCTTTTAGGTAGTCTAAATTCTGGCCTTTTGTTAGTCATTTTAGGTATTTTAAAATGAATGAATCTAAAGATATTTGTCCTAATTTTGAATTTATAATAGATGTACACCAAATTGATTAATATCTTATTGCTGATAGAATACTTTTCTATCTTTATGGGTGAACAGGAGGCTTTCCCTCAAGGATTTAAACTTGGTTATGCTGTTGAAATCATGGATAAACTTGATATCAGCTCTTGTAGGATGACAGGAATCAGGATGTACCTATATCTACCAGAAGCCCAAATTCAGCACGCATTTCTCTGTATATCTTGTCCATTTTACACCAGACAACAGTTTCTCTTCCTTGACCATGAATTCACATATATGCCCTTCAGTAAACTAGCACTTCTATTTCCTGGGCTACCAATGCACCTTACCTACTTCCTATTTAACTTAAATTACCAACATTGGTGCTACCACCTCATCTGCCAAAACTGAGGGAGTGTAGAAATTACATAGCTAAGTAATCATCATACACACACACAATCACACACTTGAGTTCTTCATTTGTCTGTGTGTGTTTGTCTATGTGGGTTTTTGGTATATATATATATACGTATATATACACATATATATATATACGTATATATACACATATATATACACATATATATGTGTATATATACACATATATATACGTATATATATATACACATATATATATATATGTATATATATATAATATGCATGTATAAAATACAATGTGAGAGAGAAAGGAAGAATTAGACCAAGAAGAATCAAGAATAAGGAAATGCAATTTAAGCTTTGTATCCAATATATTAACTTTTACCCATATAATGTTCAATAGCTTTGCATTATAGTTTTACATGATTTTATCTTAATCACCGAGATAAATCTCTTTCCAATTTTGTCCTCAATTTCTTTCTTTACTATGGAAACTAACTATTATGTTAATGCAAAAGTAACTGTGGTCTCAGACCATAAATTTTAAATTATTATAACTAGGCTCAAACACATTTTTATTAATAAAAATAGGAACCATTACAATCAACACATTTTTGCCAATAAGAAATGTTTGTTTATCCCTGTAGCATAAAAATCCGTGATTTGGGAATCAACGATCACTTAGAAAGCATTTTCTGCATCCTGATGGTTTTGGAAGCATTTTCCCCACAAAAGTTGTTGAGATGCTTGAAGAAGTGGTAGTTGGTTGGTGAGAGGTCAAGTGAATATGGCGTATGAGGCAAAATTTTGTAGCCCGATTTGTTCAACTTCTGAAGTATTGGTTATGCAATGTATGGTCCATCATTGTCGTGGAGAAGAATTGGACCCTTTCTGTTAACCAATACCGGCTGCAGGTGTTGCAGTTTTTGGTGCATCTCATCGATTTGCTGAGCATACTTCTCAGATGTAATGGTTTCTCAGGGATTCAAAAAGCTGTAGTGGATCAGACAGGTAGCCGACCACCAAAGAGTAACCATGACCATTTTTTTGATGCAAGTTTGGCTTTGGGAAGTGCTTTGGCACTTCTTCTCAGTCCAACCATTGAGCTGGTCATCGTCAGTTGCTGTATAAAATCCACTTTTTGTGCACGTCACAATCTGATCGGGAAATGGTTCATTGTTGTGTAGAGTAAGAGAAGACACTTCAAAACACTGATTTTGTTTATTTTCACTCAGCTGAGGAGGTACCCACTTATCGAGCTTTTTCACCTTTCCAATTTGTTTCAAATGCCAAACAACCCTAGAATGGTCGATGTTGAGTTCTTTGGTAACTTCTCCTGTATCAACTTCTGATAGCCAGCCACTATGCTCCTTATCTTCAAGGCTCTCTTCTCCTTTGCAAAACTTCTTGAACCACCACTGCACAGTATGTTCATTAGCAGTTCCTGGGCCAAATGCATTGTTGATGTCACAAGCTATGTCTGTTGCTATACGACCCATTTTGAACTCAAATAAGAAAATTGCCTGAATTTGCTTTTTGTCTAACATGATTTCCATCGTCTAAAATAAATATAAAATAGCAAGTAATAAGTCATTACCAAAAATCAAAGCAAGAAGTGTGCATTAAAATGATGTAGAACATACTCACATTTATTTAAGAATGTATTTCAGTATCAAATGGCAAATTTCAACAATGCAAAAACCACAATTATGTTTGCACCAAGCTAATATCTTTAAAAGTTACCAGGAAATACACATTCATTTGTATTCAGTCTAAGTTCTAATAAGATGTATTAGTCTTGGCATTTTTATATTTCATTAACAACTCTTTTCAGTTTTAATTTTTTCTAATGTGTGTTTTAAAATTTTAAGTTTTTCCAAATTTTTTTCACTTACTAAGAATAGAAAGATAATAGAGATTACTGTATAGATTTACCGACTTTCTACATATAGGACTTACCTATAGAATAGGTATTATACTTTTTCCTAAGAAAGCAAGTAAATATTTTCTACAAGTGTTCCTACAAATTAAATACAAAAATAGCTTTATAAATTATAAATTTTAATTTCTGAAATGTTGACAGAATACTTCATCTAGCAAATAATACTTCAATCATGATTGAATTCCAAAAGACAAGGTTTCTTAGTAACCCTCTAAACAATTTGAGAACAAATTTATTTAATGGAATCAACTTGGAAATTTTTCCCAAAAAAAGTAAAATTTACTAATTTAGAAAATAAAATAGAACACAATATGTTGTTAGATTTTTCCTAATTATCGTAAATCAAGTATCAGGAGAAAGCCTGGTCTTAATCTACACATTCTTACTATGCAAGATAAATATACATGATAAAGAATATAACAGTATCCTCCTTTTCTGTTTTTATCTACTTGTTTCACAGAAACAGACTCAGAGAGTAGGAGGAATTTAAGAGGTCAATTATTCCAACTTCCAGTTAATCCTTGATAAATGACCTCCACAGCATCCCCGAAGCAACAGCTTCTGCTTAAACATATTCAGTGAAAGAAAAATCATTACTCTCTTGGGTTGCTAATTTTTGTGGAATTTTCTTTGGAGGACAGCATTTAAATTCTGTGAGGACTCTACTCCAAGACCACAGATCGTTCTCTTAAATATGATCACATTAGATGAGATACAAGAAAAAGGAAAAATGTTTAACTTATAGAGTGTAAGCATGAATAGAAATGCTCTCTAGCCATCTATATTGGTAAGATACGAGATCTGATCAAGAGAGCTTAGTCTGGCTTGGCCATGGACATGTATACGTAAACTGTGTGTTGAAGTACTTTCATCTGTCAATTGCTTACTGTCATTTTCAGTTCATATAGACCACATTACAAATTTGTTATATTTCTCAAATATTTAATCTCAATTTCCTTCAAGGCAATAATATGTATGGCACGCAGATATTTTTCTTTTTCTTTTCTAAGTTCTGAGATACATGTGCAGGATGTGCTGGTTTGTTACATAGGTAAATGTGTGCCATGGTGGTTTACTGCACCTATCAACCCATCACCTAGGTATTAAGCCCTGCATGCATTAGCTATTTATCTTGTTGCTCTCCCTCCCCCTACACCCCCAGCAGGCCCCAGTGTGTGTTGCTCCCCTCCCTGTGTCCCTGTGTTCTTATTATTCAGCTCCCACTTATAAGTGAGAACATGTGGTTTTTGGTTTTCTGTTCCTGCATTAGTTTGCTGAGGATAATGGCTTCCAGCTCCATCCATGTTCCTGCAAAGGACATGATCTTGTTCCTTTTTATGGCTACAAAGAATTCCATGATGTATATATACCACATTTTCTTTTTCCAGTCTATCATTGATGCATTTGGGTTGATTCCATGTCTTTGCTATTGTGAATAGTGCTGCAAGGAATACATGCATACATGTAGCTTTATAATAGCATGATTTATATTTATATTCCTTTGAGTATATACACAGTAATGGGATTGCTGGGCCAAAGGGCATTTCTGTTGTGGGGATTTGAGAAATCGCCACACTGTCTTCCACAATGGTTGAACTAATTTACATTCCCACCAACAGTGTCAAAGCATTCCTATTTCTCCACAGCCTCGCCAGCATCTGTTGTTTTTTGACTTTTTAATAATCGCCATTGTGACGATTATTAAATCGTCAATAGATACCATATGGTATCTCATTGTAGTTTTGATTTGCATTCCTGTAATAATCAGTGATGTTGAGCTTTTTTATATATGTTTGTTGGCTGCATAAATGTCTTCTTTTGAGAAATGTCTATTCATGTCCTTTGCACACATTTTAATGTGCTAGTTTTTCTCTTGTAAATTTGTTTAAGTTCCTTGTAGATTCTGGATATTAGACCTTTGTCAGATGGATAGACTGCAAAAATTTTCTCCCATTCTGTAGGCTGTCTGATCACTCTGATGATAGTTTCTTTTTTGCACAGAAGCTCTTTAGTTTAATTAGATTCCATTGGTCAAATTTGCTTTTGTTGCAATTGCTTTGGATGTTTTTCTTTCCATTCTCTTATTTGAAAGCACCGGTTCTTGGTTCCTCAAATGTCATTATAGCAAGAGACCATATTTGCCTTGCCTCAGGTTCTCTTCCTTTCTCAAGATTCTATCATTGATGTTGTGATTATTCTCAGAACAAGGATCTTAACTATTTTAATGACTTCCTTCTTCCATAGGATAAGTCACAGCATTAACTGACTTATGAGTCATATCAAATGGAAATTTTGTTTATCTTCTCTCAGGTCTGACTTCTTCAGGCCAGTGTCTCTTAACTCCTAATGAACTGAAGTGTGTTTTCAGAAAGATTTCTCATGCCTTTTCTTAGAACTTTTAGGCTAATATTAATGAACTCCTTCTATCTCTGTATTTTCTGTTTAAACTCCCCCCACCAAAAAAATCTGGTTGTTTCAAACAGTTAATAATCAGGATATCACACTCTCATGAGGGAGATTTCTTAATACTTCATATGCCAGCCTCAAAATCATCCACTATCAGCTCAGATGTCAGCCCTGGTGCCAACACCTGTACCCAGCATGGTAATGTTCATGACTTGACCTATATATAAATGTAATGAGCCCCTCAGAATAAAGGGAAGGGCAAGTAACTGACCAGTGGTCAGCACAGCCCATTGAATATAACATATATACCAATAAAGCAAGTCAAGGAACTATCAGGCAACTTGTACATAATTATTATGTCACAAGAGCAACATGAAGGTAAGTGCTACGTTGAGAAAAAAAAAAGATTTTACATGGGAAAAATAACAGTACAGGAAAGAACAGGAGAGCACAGGCAAAGATATGAAAGCAGGAATGAGCAGTGCAAGTCTGGATGGCCAGAGGGATTTAGCTGGACTCATTAAATACTATGAGGCACTGCCTGGACCCCAGTCATTTAGCTGATGGCTCTTCTGTAAACTTCAGGCCTCCGCTTAAATAATGCTATATTCTCAGTCAGAGTGTTCATCCCTCACCACTCACTCTGAAAGAGAACCACACTTTTACTCTCTCTTATACCACCCTGGTTTTCTTTGTAACATTTATCAAATATTGCAATTATTGATTTATTTGTATATATTCTTATTTGGTATAGTGGTTAGTAAGTCTATTGCTGTGGAGAAAGATTTTCTCCGTTCAAATACTGCTTCTATTTCTTCTTAACTGAGTGATTTTTGGCAAGTTTCTCTGCATCTCATTTTCTCTTCCATACAATGGAAATAATAATATCTATCCTCATTGGGTCGTTGTGAAGATAAACTAAAATACAATCTTTACATATTTACAACTATAAACCCAGTGTCTAGTGTATTGCTTGGCACATATTAGGCACTCAAAGTTTGAATGTGATCAAGTTAGGGACAGCTTATAAGAACTACAGACACTTGAATTTCACTGTGATAAAATGAAACATGCAAATAACATTTCTTTATTGCAAGATACTCAAAATGACACTGTATTGGATATTGGACTGAATATTGATGGATTTCAAGACATGCTTTCCAAAAATATTTGAAGGTAAAATAATCTGAGAAAACTACAGAAGCAGGAAGGTCACTCTCAGACTTCTCCCATCCATCTCCCCCAAAGCAGGTCATAAAACCTAGAAAGGTCACTCCCTGCCCTTCTCCTGCCCTTCTCCCCTAAAGCTTTCCTATGACCCTCATTTGAGAGGTGGCCTTCCTATCCCCACAGGAAAGAAACATTCTTATCTCTGAAGAAACAGGGTCACAGAGAAGAATCTGAACAAATAAGCCTTGACAAGTTCCCCCTAGTTTTTTACCATTAGATTATACTTTTCTATCCAGTCATACCTCTCAATGACTACCTCTCCATCAAACCTAGCAAAAAAATACATAGGTTTGCCTGTTTTGGGGGGTTTTCATTTCTTTATGAAGGCTCCTGTGTCACATAGAACTTATATTAAATTAATTTGTATGTTTCTCTTATTGATCTGTCTTTTGTTACAGGGGCCTCAGCCATGAAGCTAAGATAGAAAGGAAAAATAATTTTTTTCCCAGCAGTATTATATTTAGCTGCTTCCAAGAAATAAAAGAGAATGTGCGGGGAGGATTATATACACTAAGCAATTGTTTCTCCCAAAGAGAAACACCAAACTAAGCAATTTCCAAGTAATGCTTATCATTAACTATTGATGATCAATGACATATTTACTAACACAAAATTAGTAGAATAATTAAAACAACACCACTTCATTTTGCGTTTTTCTACACACACACTTACACTTTCTAACAGACAAGGTACTCACTTATTCTTTCCTTCAAATTATAAATGCTTAATATTTCTAGTTTAAAGTATCTGAGGTATATGAGCACTTATGAGAAAAAAATAGCAAGTGTATAGTCAATATTACATTTCTAATTTAAAGGAACGGGGATTAGTTAAAATTAGAGATTATAAGATTACATTTTGTTTTAAATATCTTCATCATTTCTTTGATGAATGATGTTAGTAAAAATGCTAATTTAGTAGAGGTGTTAGGACATCTGTTTTCATGAATACGAAAGATTTGTAATTTCTGAGCCAGTTGGTGATGTGAAGTTGGTGTAATGTAGAAGCTTGAAGCATGCTTTAAAAAGTTTTTGAGAAATTTAAAATAATTCCCAAATATTTAGCTTTGAATATTTATTTGTTTATAATATTTTACAAATAGACCATAGAGATGGACATCAGTCCAAGCTCAATCCAAAATAACAGATATTCAAATTGGTTGTTTGCGAATCAATGAGACTTTATGGCTGGTTTAGTAGAAGCCGAAATTATGTTTGCTATTAGCCAAGACAGACTGAACAGTTCCCTCAGCTTCACTAAATTTTAAACAATCTTTTTCCTAATTCTAGACCACTGGTCATCCTTTCCTTAGAACATGTACTTTAGAAAACTTGCAATTCTTAAAATTTTCTTTGTCCCTTAAACATGTAAATGTTTTAAAAAGCTTACTGCCAGTTTCATAACACAGAAATGTCTTTCTCCAAGCCCTGAGAGCCATGTCTTGAAATGTAATCATCAAAAAAAGACAGCATCCCTACTTTCCAGATTCTGTGGGAGAGTGGGAGACTCTATCTAATTTTGATGAGAACCAATTAGCAAACACAGATGACTTAATCACAAAGAAAAACATTTGCAAGTTCAGGAATAAGTCAATGTGCAAGACACATACAATTTGTCAACTTTCCTTTCAGTAAAATCATTCAGTATTTTACCACAAGCTCACCCCAGTGCTTAGAAACCCTCCCACATTATTTTTTTCAGCACAGCACAGTTGAGTCCTAATTCTCTCCTCTATTGCAGTAACGAAAATAAAGTCTTCCTTGCTTAACTTAGTCCAGTACAGTTTATGCCTTCATACTGTGAAAAATATAGTCCCAAATAGACAAAAATGCATTACCTAAACTGCTGTTGTTACTATTGTCTATGGTGATCAGCTATAGCATACCTGGACTATTTAGATGACCCCTGGTACCCTTCTGTTAGGGAAAGCTTGTTTAAATAGACCAACTTAACTATGCCTCCTGAAAGGTGAGAGGCTTGACTGAACTGGAAGATAAAATCTTCACACCAGTTCTAGATCTCAGTATGGATTCTACCAGGGAGGAAAAATAGCAGCTCCCTTTCTTGAGTGGTGAGCCCAGAAAAGTAGATATTCTCAGTGGATCACATACCATAACATTATACTTTAGTCCAACATATTTCTAAATGAACAAAAATTCACAGAATGAGTCTAAATTACTTCATGCAGGACAAAAAAGAAAAATCCTCACTAGCCTGGACTTAAATAATCTTCACACAAGACCTGCATCTTCAAAGGTAAACACTATTATACAGAACTGTATTTCTAAGCAAAAACCTTTATGCAGCAACTCATCTCTTTGTATGTGGGTGATAATTTACTGACACTTAATAAATGGATAATATAGAAAATTGGACTCTGTGTGTTAATAACAAAAGACTACTCTGTCTTTTATTCTTTCTTATTCCTCAGACTATTAATTAACTAAAGCTACAGAATAGCCCTTGTTCTAGGAACTCCCTCTGCAGGTAGAAGAAATTTGTGAATATATTTAAAATATATGTAAATAGATTTTATATATATATATAAAAATAGATTTTATATATATATAAATACATTTCATATATATATAGATTTTATATATATATAGATTTTATATATATAAATAGATTTTATATATATAAATAGATTTTATATATATATAAATGAGGCAAATATATATTATACATAATGAGACGTTTGTCTCATTTGTATATGTGTGTGTGTGTGTGTGTGTATATATATATATATATATATATAATGTCTCAAATATATATATATAAATGAGACAAGTGAGGACAGAAAATTGTAAGCTTTTCCAAGTGCCCTGGCCTTAACTTAGCCATTATTGTTTAAAGCTACACGACCGTCTTAGTCTGTTTTGTGTTACGATAGCAGAATACCTGATATTGGGTAATTTATTAAGAAAAGAGGTTTATTTAGCTTATGGTTCTCAAGGCTGGGAAGTCCAACATTGGGCAGCCCACCTAGTGAGGACTTCATGTTACTTCACAGCATGGCAGGAAAGTGGAAGAGTGAGCAAACATGTGCAAAAACAGACCAAACACAAGTAGCAGCCTTGCTTCATAAGAACCCATTCTCATGGAAACTAATCCAGTCCTGTGGGAACCCACGCACTCCCAGGTGACTGCATTAATCTCTTCATGAGGTCAGATCTCTCAGTACCCAAACACATCTCAAAGGTCTTATAACCTCTCAACACATTACACTCTGTAAACTTAATCCTCAACACAAATTTTGGTGAGTATAAATGATACTTAAACCATAGCAATGCCTAAAAACAAATTATTAAAAGTATAACTACTGATGTTCTGTTAGTAACTAAAGATAGAAATCATGCAAAAGTAAATAATAAAAATTCAAGAGAAGTATTCTGAAAAAATTAAGCTTAAAGAACTTCATGTGAAAGAGAGTATGGTATGACCCAGCCAAAAACAGAATTATATTTAAAATTTTTAGCACTAGCTGGAGGCAGAATTTTAAGGTACAACAGTTTAGCTTCTATCTAACCTTCTTCTCTTTCTACTGATCCTGTTCTCTCCTCCTGCTGCATCACGGAAAGATACAGCCCTGGACTCACTGCCTGGTTACCTGCACTTCACTTTGAGCTGCTTATTGATTGAAAGCTCTCCAAAGCAAAAAATAAAAAATACAAAGTTTATCTTTCAGGTCTTTGAAGAACACTTTTATTTAGAGGGCACTCTTCCTCTGTACCTTAAATTTCAATAATTGGATCATTGCTGATTTCATCCATTTGTCAATAGATGTTTTATACAAAAATAAAAAGCTTACATGATTGATAATCATAAAACTTACAATCAACTGGTAAACCATAATGATTACCAATAATATACCCCAGAAAACTGTGAGATGCTTATAAAAATTAAAATGAGAGTAAAAAATTTTTAAACATACCTTAATGCCAAATAAACTTTTTTTTTCTTTTCTTTTTTGTTGCCCAGGCTGGAGTGCAGTGGCGTGATCTCGGCTCACTGCAACCTCTGCCTCTTGGGTTCAAGCAATTCTCCTGCCTCAGCCTCCCAAGTAGCTGGGACTACAAGCACACGTCGCCATGCCCGGCTAATTTTTTGTATTTTGGTAGAGACAGGGTTTCACCATGTTGCCCAGGCTGGTCTCAAACTCCTGAGTGCAGGCAGTTCACCTGCCTTGGCCTCTCAAAGTGCTGGGATTATAGGAGTGAGCCATCACACCTGGCCCCAAAGAAACTTTTAACTTTTTCCAGTTTGAAAATAAAAGTGCTACATTTCTTTTATGCTGAATCTTCCTCAGATTCAGGACTAGGGCATTTTCCTTGCATTTTAAAGACCTTAGAAAGACCTAAAAATAGGAAGAGGTACAAAATAAGATAGAAATTTGGCCTTAGGTTAATCACAATTTGAGGGACCACAGCAAAAGTTCTACGCTTTGAGGACAAGTAACAGTGAAATTCTAAGTGATGATTAGTGCTTCTTATTTAAAAAGGCAACAGGTATAAAATCCAACTTTGCCAATTTTTTTTTACTGTATTTTTATGGTTGGAAAAATTATGCTGTTTGGGAATTTTAAAGAAAGAAAAGGTAGGGGAGATACATATACTATCAAAAATATTTATCAGCTAACTTGATGGAAATTTTAACTAAAGCCAAGATTTATAAACATATACATAAAAATTAGCTGAGCAGTTATTTCTTAATTGCTTACTAAAAATATCATAAAGAAAGGCTTTTAAATAATAATTCATCATTACAGAATTGGCTGTCAGTGAATACAATAATCTCTTTCTGGAGAACAATGCATTTATTAAAAAGTATAATTTGCTGTTTCATTATAGCTTTTATCCACCTTGGATTTGAAATGCTAATCATTCATGGGTTCCTTCTGTTTTTAAATTTTAAAATTCACTACAAATTATACCAGATTGTAAACACCTGTATATTTCTGCATACATATGTATAGAAAAATCATTATTTTCTGCTCACATGTTTGAAAAAATATTACAACTATCACAGCAGTTCTGCTGATCCATCACTACTTTGATTTCCCTTTATGGTATTTTTTATGTTTTCATAATATAATAAAATATATGGTCCCAGCTTATCTAGCCTTCTTTTAGGGAGAAAGATAGTTCACCAAGTCAATTAAAGTTACTCCAGGATATGTATCCTTCAAAGTGTGAAAAAGTCTTTATCCAGATGCTAAAGTAAGCAAATGAATATTTAACATGATTTAACAGGTCCTTTTCACAGGATCCCTCCTACACAGTAATTCTCAGGCTAAAGAAAAAAAAAAGAAAGAGTTTCCTTGGAGACAATGCTGGGTAAACCAACCAACATTCTTAAGCTTTTATTTGGATATTTTTCAAATGTTTTAGAAAATTATCATAGGAGTCTATGCAGCCTACCTTATGAGAGCAAACTATTGACCAGCTCTCAAATGATTTTGCCAATTCACAGTAGCCTAAATGAAGGGCATTCATTCATTCATTTACTTATTCATATTAATCTCAAAACTCTTGATTTAAAAGAAAATTTAAGAGTAAAGAATATGTGCAGCAGGTAAAAATAGGCCTATTTTGGTGGGTAACAGCAGGAATCAAGCCATTCTGAAGGTCTCCTCTACTTAGAGGTGGACACTGACAACAGATGTTTAAACACAAACCTTGGAATGAAATAAATTATAATTCACACCGTCAATTTTTCTACCTGGTTTAAGAGAAAGAGAATAGGACCATGTATCACATTTCATTTTTCACCCCAGTAATACTTATTACCACTGTGACTTTGGGTCAACCATTTACCCCCTCTCTGTTAGCTTCTGCATCTGTAACACAGGATAATTTTGCCAACATTGGGTAATTCTGGCACATATTGACCTCATAAATGTTATTTTGCTCTAAAATTTTTAAAAAGTAATATCAATAATTTTATGGCATACTTCCATTTAAATCCTACAGCCTTCTGGGAGTTAGAGAGCAGTTGCTTCTATTCAGTACTATTAGGGTGAACTAAAATATCAGAAACATAATTTGCATAATGTCATGCATGAGGTATGGTGAATAGCACAGCCTGGATTTGAACCTGTTTCCTGAGATAAACCCAGAAAACTGCCAAGCTTCTGTTTCCTAGCTAAATGGCCATTCAGTGCTGCTACTGAGGTTTTGTAATTCATCCCAAATCCAAATTATTTGTCTAATTCTCTACTTTTGTTCATATAAAGTGAGTAACACATCACTCACCATTTTGGTACAGAGCTATTTTCTCTACATGACAGACACAACTATGATGACTCTTTTGGTTTCCTAATAGTTGAATAAATATTCACAGGTGTTCTCAGGAAAGCCCAGACAATTAAAGTCATCCAAATGCAAATACTTCTGGCTAGGGTGTTAAGGGTTCATTTAATAAAGTAAAATCCTCTGAGAAAGAAGAGAACTTTGTAGCACACAAAGGTATTGGGACATGGTGAGCAGGCAGTCACCTTCCCAGGAAGCCTGCCAGGAGCCCATCACAGGAGTTCCACATCACAGGGAACTTAGAGAAAGCCAGTAGAGGTCCAGCATTGTGCAGGGACACAATGACTTGGGAGCTCTCAAAGGCCCATGTCTGCTGTCAGTCTCTCTCACAGTACCCTATTAATTTCCTTCGCAGCACTTACTACTCTTTTCTTTCTTTAACCTTGCTTGTATATATCCCTTTTCCAGCTACCAACTAAGCTACTCTAAAAAGGCCAGTACTCACACCACATCTCTGCTTTTCACAACTGGTTCCCCAGTGCTTGCAACAGTCCTGGATACAGAAGCAGCACAAAAATATATATTTAGGCCTGGTATGGTGGCTCACGCCTGTAATCCCAGCACTTTGGGAGGCTGAGGTGGGTGGATGATTTGAGGTCAGGAGTTCAAGACCAGCCTGGCCAACATGGTGAAACCCCGCCTCTACTAAAAATACAAAAATTAGCCGGGCATGGTGGCAAGCACTTGTAGTCCCATTTACTCGGGAGGCTGAGGCAGGGTAATCGCTTGAATCCAGGAGGCAGAGGTTGCAGTGAGCCAAGATTGTGCCATTGCACTCCAGCCTGGATGACAAAGCGAGACTCTGTCTCAAAGAAAAAAAAAATACATATTTATTGAATACATGAATGGTGTTCAGAACAATGTTAGGAGTGAGATGCACCAGTCAGAAGGTGAACACTGCCGCAGGATTCTCAGCAATAACTTGAATGAGAGGCTATAGTCCTATATTTCTTGATGGGGAATATGAATACCATAAAAGACAGTCAAGAAACATAGAAAATGAAGGTTTGTGTTTGAAAATAATTCATTGTACTATATATAATTGTACTATAATAATTCATTGTACTATATATATATAACAATTCATTGTACTATGGCAATTATGTTTGTTTAAAAGTTTCAACTTGACTGTGTAGATGGGATAGCAGTATGATATCTTCATCATTTTCTCTGCCTTTTCATTAATGATCTATAATTTGACACATAAAAACATTCCATTCCATCAGAAAAAGAAAAGGTTACCAGTTATCTTTATCTGTGCAGGTAGATATTTGGAAGACATAAACAAGCTTAATTAATTCAAATTAAAACAGCCAGCCATATATAATGTATCAGGTATTGTCATTACTAGACAGCTACCAAATTTTTCTTTGTATTGCAATTTTCTGCTTCCCGTGACAATACCGTTGATACTAAAAACCTTTAACTATTGCCTAAATCACAAGTGGAAGTAATATGAATGCAAAATTCTTTCATCAGTGTCCTGCAAACCTAAAATGCCTACATTCTTAATCTAATGTTTTAAGAAATTCTTCCAACCACTGGAGTCCATACTTTGTCTCTCTTTGGTCGTAACTGAACAAACAAGATAGGGCAATTACAAGGTAAAAACTGCTAAAGAAACCAATCTGCCTCATCATTTTAATTTGACTCTTCCCTTTACAAATATTTAGTTAGTAAAGTGTTTTTCTCACCCCAAAACAGAGCCTGGAAATAAGCGCTCTTTTTAGTTAAGTTAATGGGCTCTTATCAGGAAAGAAAGATTTAGGAAATTCAATGGTGCTTCATGGACCATTCAGGAACGTTACATGTGAGAGTGGATTAGATGCTACTTCATTTGAATTACAGAGTAATTAGGTTTCTCTCTTTGGGAATAATTTCTCATATATGTTTAGAAATAATGATTTCAATGAGAAGGCCACATTTGCATGGAAGCCTCACACTGGCATTCAGACATTCATTCATTCATTGATGTATTGAGTGCCTACTATGTACCAAATATACTTAGGGCTGGGGTTTCATAGTTAAAACAAAGACATAGTTTCTATCCAAAAGGCTCTTACTATATAATAGAGAAATAGATCAAATAAACCAATAAATATAATGGAGTGTGCTACTTAGTAAACTGGGAATACACAAGGCATAAATGAGAACACATGGGAGGGTGACCTAACTTACCCAGGGCAGTGGGGTGTGAGGGTGTTCCCAAAATCTTCCGTGACAAACCGATACATTGGCTGAATCTGGAAAGCTAAGTTAATATAATTCAGGCAGAGATAGGAAGGTGAGACCTTCCAGGCACTGAGGGCAGCATGCTCAGAAAAATGGGAGCTGCTACTTCTGCCATAGATGATTGGTGCAGAGTAAGGAAGCTGTTGCCTGCTGCTGACTCTTGAAGGAAGCCACCATTAGGAAGATGCCAAATTAGAAAGCCACCACCTGCTGAATCTGGAAGCCATGTCTATAGCTATTGGCTCCAAAATCATGTTGTTTCTGCTATGATCTGCACATGCATAGTGAATGCCCCTTAACCCCAGGTTATTTCATCATGAGTCCAAGTCTTACTCAGGTGTACCGAATTTACATGTAGAACTGTACTTGCAAGGGAGTTTGAAAAATGTAGACTTTAGGTTTCTAGTTTTTGCAAAATGGATAGAGAATGAGCAATGAATGGGCCATGCTGATTTCTGTCATGGATTTTACTTAAAATCACAAGGCAAAATAATTATTTATCCATTTTAAATAGCATTTTATTTTTGAGATGGGGTCTCGCTCTGTCGCCCAGGCTGGAGTGTGGTGGTGCAATCTCGGCTCACTGCAACCTCCACCTCCCAGGTTCAAGCAATTCTTCTGCCTCAGTTTCCCTAGTAGCCAGGATTAAAGGCACCTGCCACTATGCCTGGCTAATTTTTGTATTTTTAGTAGAGATGGGATTTCACCATGTTGGTCAGGCTGGTCTTGAACTCCTGACTTCACATGATCCACCTACTTTGGCCTCTCAGAACGCTGGGATTACAGGCATGAGCCACCACCATGCCCAGCCTTAAATAGCTAATTTAAGACTGGACTATAATTCAAATATGGCAAATTCTCTTAAACATTATCAGTACTATAAAATGCTAAAAATTATACAGTTTTTAACATAAAAATAATATTCTGCTTTGATTTTCTTAAATATTCCTAGTCTTAATTCTGTATGTTTCCAGAGTTTAATAATACCTATTAGGGAGACATTTATTATCTCATTTTACCAAGGACATACTCTGGCCAATTTTTAATAATTGTTTGACCACGAATTCCAAGTTTTAAGGGGACAAGAATCCAATACTCCATGTGGCTGGCTGTCAAGCATATTATTACTTAATCTTACATTATGCAAGGGTCTATCACCCCACTCTGTGATCATCTCACAGGCTTAGCTTCATCTAATCCATTTATTGCTTTATTCTTTTCTGAATTACTTTTATATTTGTCCTATTATCACCAAAACTTTAAAGAGACTAAAATGACAGCCCATTATAGTATTAATAGCTCTCATTTCTTTGTCTGACCTGCAGTGAGCACTTCTAAGATAACTCTCTGACATTTCAGGAAGAATTCTGAGGAGTATCACTATTTCAGGAAAGGCAGAATTAGGGGACCCTGAAAATAGAGAAGAAATAAACATAGGAATAAAACTACAAGAATATAAAGCCATGAGAGGCAAGAGGAGAAGAGTTTGGTTAGATATGTTTGGACCAACAGAGTTACACAATGCCTAGGTTACACAATTTGGCCATTCATAGGTTAGTGGTGAGAGAAGCAGTTTCAGTAGAGTGTGTGAGGAGGGAGGCTGGCTTTGAAGAGAGAAAGAGAGTGACAGCTGAATGAAACATAATTTCGAGAGTATATTTTTATGTGGTTTGGTTTGGTTTGATTTGGTTTTCAATGGGGGATCACTGAACATAATTAAATGACAAATAACACACTCTGAAAACCAATCTTAATTCAAGGTGATGGATATGCTAATTACCTGATTGGATCATTACACATTATACATATTACCAAAATATCACTCTCTATCCCGTTACTATCAATAATTATTACATGTCAACTAAAAAGCTTAAAAAAAAGAACCAATCTCAATATCTATTCCAGTCTGGGAATGACCACACTAGTTATTTGGCATTTATATGCTTGGTGAACAAAAATAAACTGATTTGCTTCAGCTTTTAGGCTTCAGAAAACTCAGAAGCCTCAAAAAATGGGTGTTGTGATTACTTAGAGTCAGGGACTTGCTGTCTGTCCAACCAATCTGTTTGTTTGGCTGGTTGATTACTTTTTCACTTGTTTTTATTTTTTTCTTTTGAGTTCACAGAAAATTTTCAAAAATCAACTGTTCAATGTTAGGTATACATAACTAAAGGGAAGTCAGCTGATTTTAAGAACTCTGTGCTTAAAAGAATATCCTCCTATAAATATTGCTATCTTTCATCTAACTGAAATTTTGTACCTTTTGACCTAATTTCCACATCCCTCACACTGCAAGCCCCTGATAACCATGATTCTATTCTCTGCTAGTAATGCAGGATTTTTTGCTCCTTAGCTCAGCTAATCCAGGTTCTTGTCTCATGACCAGGAAGAATTAGGCACACAGACACCCTGAAGGGGGAAGAGGGCGGAATTTATTAAGTGAAAAGAAAGCTCTCAGCAAAGAGTGGGGGCCTTGCAAGCAGGTTTCCACCTCACAGATTGAATACCAGGACCACCACACATGAGCTGAAGAGGCCAGGATCCTCGTCTGCATAAGGCGTGAATTCCTGGTGACTCTACCCTTTCCCTCAGTGCATGTGGGCCTCTAGTCCACTGCAGGCATGCCCAGGAAAGCCCCCTGTGCAGGTTTCCTTATCTGCACAAAATATCTGATGTAAACACTTGTGGGGCGGGTCGGAGATTCTCCAGGGACCCTTCCCTATCTGCCTAAGCCTTTGTCTGCTTCTTGCCTCTATCACTACTATGAGTTTAACTTTTGTAGATTCCACATATAAGTGAGATCATTGTCTAGTAATTCTTTAGAGATCACATCAATGTCACACATACCCCTTGTGTGTTCAAGAATCTCTGGGGGTAATGTTGAATTGTTACCACTAAATATAAAACTGAATTTTTTGCTAGTGATGGTAGTAGATTAACAAAGTCTTGGCTTTGTAAGAAAATTCATAGAAAGTGGGATAGTTTTTAAGAGACATAATAGAATTCACAGCTGATAATGGGGGGGAAAGAGAGATCTCCAGAGGGACCATTAAGAACAGTTAAAGGATAAGGATGATAAAAATTCATCTATTTTAGATTTTTAGCATATTATGAATAATTTGTACACTCACTCTGGTTTGCATAGGAACTTGGATTCCAATATTATGCATGTTAATTTCCTTTTCCTAGAGAGTTAAGAAAGATAATGGAATATAAACATTTAAGAGATTATTTAAATGCTCATTCCATGTGTAGTTATTTTTTTGTTTATATGCATATTGTTTTGTAGCTGTCACCATTTTATTTAGAAAAATGAATGAGTCAACAAGAAAAAGATCTTAAGTTCCATATAAAGCTATACATTCTTAAAATCATATTTAAACCACACCATGATAGAATATCAGAAGTATTTACCTTAAATGTTTTTAAAAAGAGTATGTTAACATAAAACATAAGTGAAGTTAAACATTATGTATCTGAGACAAATTTGCAAAAAATTAGTCATTTTTGAATTAGTGGATAGTTCATGTGAGACAAAATGAAGTCATTAATATGTTACAAATAAATAGTCTTTAAAACTTTTAGAGATCTTAGATACTAAGTTTATTACTCTCATTTTAGTTCTGGAAAAAAAAAAAAAAAAAGAACTCCTGATGGGTTAAGTAATTCAACCAAAATTACCCAGCTAGTCAGTGTCACAGCTGAGACAAGAAGAGATGCCTGTTTATCTTAGGATTGCTGAAATATTTAAGTACTTAGTAAGATGAGTTGCCTATATTTATTCTAAGTTGACAAACCCTATATCTCAACTCTGGTTTTTTTTTTCCTTTTTTAATATTTTAATTCTAATATGGTTAAATTTTTGAAATCCTAGTAGGACCCCTTAAACCACTTTTGACAAAATTTGGAGGATGGGCAGGTAGAGAAGGAGGGAAAGAGACTAGAGATGGAGAGATGGAGACTGCAGGAAAGGAAAAGAAAGGAGCAGAGGAGACAGAGACAGACTCTCCCTCTCATCTCCTAACTAAAGGCAACTTCTCTTGAACACTAAACCCCAGGCCTCTCCACTAGTCAAGTATATGACTCAAGCAATCCTCTCTATTACCTTCTCTCCTGTAACACCAATATGTTCTTTATCATCAGTCTGTAGCATACATATTTCTCATCTAAAAAAGTAACAAACAAAACCCTATTGCCATAAGGTCTCCCAGTCAAAACACTTTTTTCTGCTCTCCTTTATAACAAAAATTTTTAAAGAAGTTTTCTACATTCACTAATGCCAACATGTCCTCTCCTCCAGTTCTCTCTTAAACCCAGGCTTTTGCCCCACTATTCCTCTGAAATTGCTTGCTCAAGGTCACCAGTGGCCTCCATGTTGCTAAATGCAAGTTTCCATTCTCAGTCACTTCACTAGACAAGCCAGTGTCTTTGGACACAGTTCACCACTCCTCCAAATGCTTTCTTCACTTGGTTTCCAGAACACCACCGTCTGCTGGATTTCCACCTGTATCACTGCTTTCAGTCTCCTTTGCTGGTGCCTCCTCATCTTTTTAACCTCTAAACATGGATGGAACACCCCTGATTTCAGTCCTTGGACAACTCAACTACTTATACTTGTTCATTTAAATATAAGATATGTACTGATTAATCCCAGATACCCCTAGACCTCACTGCTGAACTCCAGACTCATGTACCTAACTGCCTTCTTGATAACTACAACTGCACCTTTGGTAGGCATACCAAACTTAAAATATCCTAAAATAAATACCTAATCTTTATCCTCAAACCTCTCTCTCCTAAGTTTTTAGTCTCAGTAGATGGTAACTTCATTCTTCCAATTCTACAGGCCAAAAACCCTGAGGTTATCCTTTCTTTCTTTCTCTCACATACCACCTACGTTTCTTTAGCAAGTCTCACCACAGGTACTTTCAAGATATTTCTGATCCTACCTCACCTCCACAACAAAGGGCACGGTCCACTGTCATCCACTGTCATCACTAATCATCAGGTGAAGACTTGTATTATTGCAATAGCATCCTGGAGTTCTCCCTGATTTTACTCTTACCCCTCCCCCCAGCCCATATCTAATGTCTGTTCTTAACATGGCAGCCAGAGTCATCCTTTCAACATGTGAATCAGCTCATGTTACTTCTCTGGTTAAAAACCTCCAGTGGTTTTTCATCAAATTCAAAGCCAATTAGCCACAGTGGTTTCAAGGCTCTAATAATCTTGTCTCCGCTATTTCCTTAACATCATTTCCTACTGTCCTCCTCTCCCTCACTTGGCTCCCTAGACAGTAGTCGCCTTGCTATTCCTCAAACATTCCAGCCATGCTTAAGCCTAAAAATGTCTTCTCCTGTTTCCTTTGCCTGCAATGCCCTTTTTAGGTATGTCTACAGGCCTTGCTCTCTTACTTCCTTCATATCTTGGCTCAAATAACTGATACGGTTTGGATCTATGTTCCCACACAAATCTCATGTTGGATTGCAATCTCCAATGTTGGAGGTGGGGCCTGGTGTGAGGTGATTGGATCATGGAGGTATTTCTCATGAATGGCTTAGCACCATCCCTTTGGTGCTCTTCTCATGATAGTGAGTTCTTAAGCGATCTGGTTGTTTACAGATGTGTAGCACCTCCCTCCTTGCTCTCTCTCTTGCTGTTGCTGCTGCCATGTAAGAGGTCCCCGTCTGCCTCACACCATGATTGGAAGTCTCCTGAGACCTCCCAAAAAGCAGACAACACTAGGCTTCCTGTAAAGCCTGAAAAACTGTGAGCCAATTAAACCTCTTTTCTTCATAAATTACCCAGTCTCAGGCATTTCTATACAGCAATGTGAGAAAAGACTAATATAACATCCCCTCAGTGAGGCCTTCCCTGATCATCCTGTTTATAATTGCAAACATATCCCCAACTCAATGCACTCTATTCCCTCTAATCCTGTTTTATTTTTATCCATAGTGCTTATTACCAGTTAGCATATAAATTATGCTTATTTATTTTTATTATCTATTTGTTTCAAAAAGAGCAAATACTTTTATCCATTTAAAATGGCTATAATCCCAGCATTTAAAACCAGGCCAGGTACAGAGTGGACACATAATATCCCTATCTGACCTTATATTTGACAATTTCCCACTAAATGTGTAAAAATAACATAAAAATAAAATAAATATCTGAGGACCAAACAATAGACTACCATCTGGAAATATTCTCTTTGTGATGCTCATCTGAGTTTGTTTGATTTCTAAAATCCCTTGAGTTTCATCCACCACTGATTAAAGTTAATAAAGAACTAAAAACTACCACCAGTTAATGCAGAGTGTCATTATTCATTTATGCATAGTCACTTTTGCTTTATTTACGGCTAAGTAGAGATTCTACAATACATTTTAAAAAAATGAACAGGGTGAGCTATTTGTTTCTTACAGTGACCAGTACCAAGCTTTGGGTCTGGTCAAGGCGCTATTAAGACTGAAATGGTATAGTGTCATACACCCCAAATATAGGCATATTCTAAAAATACTATATTGGGAAAATGAGGTTAAAAGGCAAAACAAAATTCTGCATTTTCCCATTATTATCTCATATAAATTTTTGAAATATCAAATGCATTTTTTAAAACAAATTCAGCATTCTTGCTTTGCTGTTCCCTTAAAGCACTTGCTTATTCTGTAATTCAACCTGGAGTGCAGCAGAAAAAAAAGGTTACTGAACGAAGTCACTATTCATGCAAATGAATTAAATATATACATTTATATTAACTATTCATGCTAATGAATTTTATATATAGATATTCTATATACATATATATTAGGCTGAGTCAGTAAATAAATATGAATAAATTTGAAAAAAAATGCTGTATTTTTCTTCTCATCTTCATACCCTGAAAAAGACTCAGAAGACCCTAAGTACCATGTATACTCTGACTCCCAAATTTCTCTTTTCATCTCCAAAGTCTCTCTTCTTGGGCTTCAGTGTAATATATGCAACTGCCCAGGTGACATACCTGGCTTGGCTTATCAAATTTATCAATACATTTATCAAATTTATAATACCTACTTGGCTTATCAAATTTATCTTGTCCAACACTGACCTCTTTATTTTATACCCCTCATAAACCTCTAAACCTACTCCTCCATCCAGGCTTCTCTATTTCATAGTATCATCAATATTTACCTAGTTACTCAGGTCAAAAATTTTAAGCTTCCCTTCACTTCTATTTTTATCTCATATCTATTTTTTCAGCAAAGAATATACACTTTCACATGTGTCAAGTATGATGGTTAATTTTATGTGTCAGCTGGACTGGGCTAAGAGATGCCAAGATTGCTGGTAAATCACTGTTTCCAGGTGTATCTGTGAGGACATTTCCAGAAGAGATGAGCAGTTGAAGCAGCAGACTGCGTAAAGATCAACCTTCACCATCCACGTTGTGTGCATCATCCAATTGACTGAAGGCCCACACAGAACAAAAAGCTGAATTCTCTCTCTTCTTGAGCTGGACATCCATCTTCCTCCCTCGGCATCAGAGCTCCTAGTCCTTCAGACTCTGAGACTTAATCTGCAGTCCCCGGTTCTCAGGCCTTTGGACTCAGACTGAATTATACCAGTGGCTTTCCTGGTTGTCCAGGTTATAGATGGCAGAATATGGGGTTTCTGATCCTCCATCATTGCATAAGCCAATTCCCATAATAAATAAATTAATTAATGAATAAACCTCCTCTTGGTTCTGTTTCTCTGGAGAACTCTAGCTAATGTGCCAAGCCCCTCTACCTCCATTATTACCACCCTACTCTAAGATTCATGTATGGGTATTGCAACAGTCTCCGTGATAGTCTCCTGGCTTCTACTCCTCAACACAGCAGCCTGAGACTACCTTTTACATGTAGATGAAACTCTCTTTAAAACCTCCAATAACTTCCCAGCACACTCAGAATAAACTTCAAACTTTCCCAGCAAATCCTCCTTGGTCTGGCCTCTGTCCAGCTTTCTGGCCTCACCTTCCTCCCTTCCCCTCCTTGTTCACTCCACTTGAGTCTAACTAGTATTTTTTGACTGCTCCTGCAGAGTCAGGCTTGTTGTTTAGTGGTGGTTTGCATTGGCTCTTGCCTCAGCCTGTAGTGCTCATACTCAGAACCTGTTTGCAACTCACTCTCACTTCCTTAAGTCTCTGCCCAAATGTCAAAGATGGCCTTAACATTCTCCTCAGCTTGATTAAACTTTGCTCAGACTTCTTGGCTATAGGTCCCTGGCCTCCCTTTTCTTACAGCATTTACTTTAGAAAACTCACAATAATAAATTCCTTCTCTGTCCCCTTTTAAGATATAAATCTCCCAGCCTCTTTCCAGTTTTACAAGCCAGAAATATGTTTCTCAAAAACGTAGGAGTCATCCCAGTCTCTGTGAGAGTGTAGGAGCCTAACTTCGATAAGAGACAATTAGCAAAAACAAATGGCCAAGTCATTCGTCCATTAACCCCTATGTCCTCCAGTGCTTTTCCACTAGCTCACCACCGTTCTTTAAAATTCTCCTTCCTTTTGTGTTGGCAAAGGTGAATTTGATCTCTTTCCCCTATTTCCATATCTTTGACCCTATCGCAGTAGTCTCAAACTCTTCCTTTCCTATATAATCTTCTCTAGTGAAATTTTTGACACCTTCTTAGAAAGTCTTCTCTGACATTCAGGCCTAAAATAGCCTATCCTCACCACTCTCCCCGTACTTTAATCACTCTTTATACTTTCTCCTACTTTATTTTCCTTCATTGCACTTATCACTAACTGACATTTTATTACACATTTTAAAATATATATTAGTTGGTCTCTTCACTAAAATATGAGCTTCCTGAGTCCGGTGATTTTGTTTTTACTTAATCACCATCGTATCTTCAGTGCCTGCAACTGTACATGAAATGTCATATAGGCTCACAATAACTGTGTACTCATGGGAAAAAGGAAGGCAGGAAGAAAGGAAGGAAAGAAGGGAGGGAAGGAGGGAGGGAAGAAAGAGGGAGGAAAGCAGGCGGGAAGGCAGGCAGGAAGAGAAGGAGGGAGGAAGGGTAGAATTAGGAAATTTAAAATACTGAGTATAGAAGGAAAAATGTAAAAGAAAATTTCATATAACCCCCCCTTTTTTTTTTTTTTTTTGGACACAGAGTCTCACTCGGTCACCCAGACTGGAGTACAGTGGCATGATCTTGGCTCACTCTAACCTCCAACTCCTGGGTCCAAGCCATTCTCCTGCCTCAACTTTCAGAGTAGCTTGGGACTACAGGCTTGCACCAAAATGCCCAGCTAATTTTTGTATTTTTAGCAGAAATGGTGTTTTGCCATGTTGGCCGGGCTGATCTTGAACTCCTGACCTCAGGTGATCCGCCTGCCTCGGCCTCCCAAAGTGCTGGGATTAAAGGCATGAGCCACCGTGCCTGGCCTAACCCTGCATTTTACACTCTCTGAAAGCTTTCAGCATTTTGTATTGCTTATATATTCTAATTCTACAGAGTTCTCATCCCTTATAACAGGTTTTAATGTAGTTTATTTCCCCATGCTCACTACCCTCCCCCATTTGAAGCTTTGAGAGCAAGGCCAGGAAGGATGCAATGTCTCCCAAAGTAGCCCAGTCTTTAAGGCAAAAAAGCAGTCTTCTCCATTCCTTCTCTGTGAGCGACACACAAAGCCATTCATTCATGGCACTTTGTCTTGTCAACCACTCCCTCAATTTCCAGATAGACTAGGAAAGGAAAACCCACTTCTCAGTTAGCCATTTGATAGGGCTTGGCTGTGTCTCCACCCAAATCTCAAATTGTCACTCTCATAATTCCCACGTGTCCTGGAAGGAACCTGGTAGAATGGAATGGATCATGAGGATGGGTCTTTTCCATGCTGTTCTCCTGATAGTGATTAAGTGTCATGAGACCTGATGGTTTTATAAAAGGGAGTTTCCCTGCACATGCTCTCTGTCTGTTGCCTGCTGCCATGTAAGCTGTGTCTTTCTTCCCCTTTGCTTTCTGCCATGATTGTGAAGCCTCACCAGCCATGTGGAACTGTAAAGGAATTAAACCTCTTTTTTTTTTTATAACTTACCCAGTCTTAGTTATGTCTTTATTAGCAGCATGAGAACAGACTAATACACAATTCATGACACTGGATCTCAGGGGCATAGTAAAGTTAATTTGTCCTTTCATTCAACAAACATCATGGAGTCATGGGCATACGAATATCCACAAAAGCTGATGTACCTTCCCTGCCCTCACAGAGCTGTCAGAGAGCTTCCATTCTCAGGATGAAGATATATCAACAGTGATGCAACAATCTAAAAAGAGGCTTATGAGAGGGAAATTAAGGGGAGCAACAGAGGAGCCTAATCAAGTACAAGAATGAGAGAAGACTGAGACCTAAAAGATAAGTGTGAGGAAGCCAGAAGAGTAAGAGCATGTTACAGGAAAATGGGAACATAGGCCAAAAAGTAGAGGTAAAGATAGGAGAACCTAGAGGGATTTACTTCAGTACAGAGAAAAGGGGATTGACTGAGAGATAAGGAAGAGAGGTAAGTGGGGAACAGATACTACAGGGCATTGCAAACCAGTGTTAAGGAGTTTGAGTTTTGGAAGGCAATAGTAACATTGAGAATTATAAAGATACCAGTCTTTCAGTAAGATCATGCTGGCTGCAATGTAGAGTATACGTTAGGAGAGTCTAAAACTTGACAAAAAAAAAGATCATTTTAGGAATCTAGGCAGGATGGTGGCATGAATTGGAGAGTGTGATGGAAAGATGTGAATGCATGAGTTAATTATGGTAGGATTTGGATTTTAAATGTAAGAGAACATAGTAGAGGAAGAAGTTACAGTTGATTTCCAGGTTACTATCAGGTTTCCATTCACTGGGATGAGAAAGGATGAGGACTGGAAAAAGATATGAATCTCACTTGTTTTGTTCAGGGCATTTAATCATGGCCCATGTCCTCTTGCTCCCCACCAAGGTACGTAAACTCTCAAATTCCAGGATTACATAAGTTTGCAAGCTACTGTGTTCAGACTCAGTCCAAGCTGCCAATTATATTTTATAAGCTGCCTCCCAGTCATCTATTATTGATATCAAAGAAAGAGTTGCAGTTTTGAAACCTGCAATTGATGGGTGGGACCCTCCTGGTTGCACCATCAATTTCAGGCATATAGAGTTACCCTTTGAAATTGAACTTTGAAAAGAGGCCATGGACCCTCTGCCTTGTTAGCCTCTTGGTGGTATAGATTTCAAGATGCAGTTTATAATTGCATTTCACACTTGATTTTTTTTCTTCTACTTTTCTTTCTCTGATGATGTGGATCTTAGAAATGCTGTGGATGGAGAAAAAAGAAATAAGCTCCCATGGAGAGAAGACTAAAAGGTGTCAGTAACTCTTTTCTCAAAGAAGAATGCACAGCAGGGAGTTGTGCTTTTTCTCTGCCTATAGCTGGCCAGGCAACTACATCATACTTGACGGATACCTTTTAGACTCATTATTTCCTCTTTGGTATGCTAGATATTTTATTCATATTGAAGGGCTCACAATGGGCAAAGGTTAGAAAACAGGAAGGGTAAGAGTAATTGAATGTTTCATTTAGAACACAGATAGGTCAAAAGGGCTGAAAAGCGGAAACATGCTTTCATGCTGAGTCAACTTCCATAACCCAGAGGAAGTTGTTACTGAGGGACTTCTGATCAAACAAAGCTATCAGAGCTTGAGGTTTTAGAGGATGCTTATTTACATTAAAGTAATGATGACTGTCTGAATGATGTCTGCATAAAACAGAAAGAGCAAATCCAAATAAAAGTCATCAGGTCACTGTGAGTCCTTTAGATCACAGGCAGGATTGCTGGGCTGAGAAGATCCATCTCCAATACAAACACTCAACAAAGGAGTAGCCAGCAAAAATTCCCTTTGTGTCTCATTTTTATACACACATACAAAATATTAGAAATTCATTTTAAGGATGGAAAGCAGAGAGAACAAGATAAAAATACTAGCATGTATTAGATATCTAGAATTGAGTATGGATTTCTGGGATTTTAAATTTCTCAGTTTTTTTTTCTATTCATTTTAGGATTTAAGCTACAGTAACGGGAATGTGGCTATGCTTGCTGGTGCCATATGAAAGAATTTGTAAACTTGAAGAAAATTAAATTATTTTATTATAGTAACATAACAGCTCAAAAGCCCTAAGAAAATATACTAAATTTGCTCATCCCATTCCAGCTTAAAATGATTTCTTGTACTAGTTGTTCTCAAACAAAAATATGCTGGTGAAAAAAAAATTTGGATCTGTAATCGAACTGACTCCTATATATTTTTAATCTACATTTGAAAAACAATCTTGAAACCCTGAATAACAAGAAATAATTTCAGATGGCCCCAAATTGAAACAGGTTATTTTACAAATCCCCAAGATCTACACACTATTAAATAAAATAGTGACTAAATGTTTCTCTTATCTGCTAACTCTATTTCTCGCATGAACCATCATAATCATGTCCAACATGAATGCTCTCAGACTCACCATAGCTGCTGATGTATTTCCCTGATGTCATCACCCCAGGAATTATATATATCATATAATATATATAGCTCTTTCACAGAAGACTTGGAAACCCAGCATTTTATCTTCTTCTTCGAATGTGCTGATTTCACCTCATATTCAGTTTTTATTTAACATACAGATATCCACCTTATTTTCCAGGTAAGGAATGTTAGGGTGGGCAAAGCAGAGAGAGTAAAGAAGTCTAACGTCTGAATTATCTCATCTCTAGAGTAAGTTCTAGAGTAAATATTCACCTTATATTTATGATAGAGACATTTACCTAATTTTACAGATGAGGAACCTGGACACAGGCAAGTTAGAAAACAGAAGTCTAAATTTCCATCCTAGTACTCACAGCTGGATCACCTCAACTAATTCTGTTTGTATAAATCTCTGATTCTTAAGGAAAGCCTAGCTATTCTCACTGGTTAATGTCCAGACTGAGGGTGAAGCTATTTTCCCTAGCAACTGGCAGTTCTCTCTTTCTCTTCTATGCTTTCCTAACATAAACAGGTGTAAGAGGAGTGTGTGTATGTGTGTGTAACTATCTATCCTCTATACTGTTCTCTCCTTCTCTAGGTCCTTCAGTTCACTTAAATCTCTCTACCTCATGAGATTGAATAAAAAGCACCTACCCTCAACAATGGCCTTTCAATTCAGTTATCCATCTACATTCTTGAGCATTTTTTACCCAGTCACTTCTTTGAACGTAATTCTCTTTAACCCATCCACAGCATCTACTTTAATGTTCAGTAAATTTTTAGTGAATTGCTATCTATGGTAAAAAATAACCTTTATAAAACCCATATTTATGTAGCTCCTTTTTTTAAATTTTATTTATTTTATTTTATTTTATTTGAGATGGAGTCTCACTCTGTCACCCAGGCTAGAGTGCAGTGGTGCAATCTCAGCTCACTGTAACCTCTGCCTCCCAGGTTCAAGCAATTCTCTTCCTCAGCCTCTCCAGTAGCTAGGATTACAGGCGCCCACCACTGTGCCCGGCTAACTTTTTTGTATTTTTGTTACGGGAAGTCAGGGACCCTGAACAGAGGGACCAGCTGGAGCCATGGCAGAGGAACGTAAATGTGAAGAGTTCATCTTAATATGGACATTTATCAGTTCCCAAATAAAGCTTTTATAATTTCTTATGCCTGTCTTTAATTTAATCTCTTAATCCTGTTATCTTGGTAAACTGAGGATGTACATCACCTCAGGACCACTGTGGTAATTGTGTTAACTGTACAAATTGATTGTAAAACGTGTATTTGAACAATATGAAATCAGTGCACCTTGAAAAAGAACAGAATAACGATTTTTGTGGAAAATGGAAGACAACCATAAGGTGTGACTGCCTGTGGGGTCGGGCAAAAACAGCCAATTTTTCTTCTTGCAGAGAGCCTATAAGTGGATGTGCAAGTAGGAAAGATATTGCTAAATTCTTTGCCTAGCAAGGAGTATTAACACCCTGTGGAAGGAATGCATTCCTGGGGGGTGGTCTATAAATGGCCGCTCTGGGAGTGTCTGTCTTATGCAGTTGAGATAAGGACTAAAATATGCCCTGGTCTCCTGCAGTACTCTCAGGCATAAGCCTAATAATAGGGTGGGGAAAAGCTCCGCCCTGGTAAATTTGTGGTCAGACTGGTTCTCTGCTCTCAAACCCTGTTTTCTGTTAAGATGTTTATCAAGACAATACGTGCACCACTGAACATAGACCCTTGTCAGTGGTTCTGCTTTTGCCCTTTGCCGTGCGATCTTTGTTGGACCCTTATCAGTGGTTCTGCTTTTGCCCTTTGTCCTGTTCCCTCAGAAGCATGGGATCTTTGTTAGACCCTTATTATTGGTTCTGCTTTTTGCCCTTTGAAGCATGTGATCTTTGTACCTACTGCCTTTTCTTATACCCCCTCCCCTTTTGAAATCCTTAATAAAAACTTGCTAGTCTGAGACTCAGGTGGGCATCACAGTCCTACCGATATGTGATGTCACCCCTGGCGGCCCAGCTGTAAAATTCCTCTCTTTATACTGTCTCTATTTCTCAGCCAGCTAACACTTACAGAAAATAGAAAGAACCTATGTTGAAATATTGGGGGTGGGTTCCCCCAATATCTTTTTAGTAGAGACAAGGTTTCACCATGTTGGCCAAGCTGGTCTTGAACTCCTTACCTTGTGATCCACTGACCTCGGCCTCCCAAAGTGCTAGGATTACAGGCGTGAGCCACTGTGCCCAGCTATCTCCTTTATTAATAAAAACTGACATGACTAAAATAGACATGTCTGAGAATCAAGGAACTCACCATAATGATTACTGTAAAAACTAAGCAAATCAGTCATTTCCTAAGGAATGGATTTTCAGAAAATTAGCCTTATTTGTGTTTAGCATCACTTAGCCAACATGTGTTAATTCAGCCTGTAATTTCAGGTACATTATGTTCTAGTGCTTGTTTTCTGGAACATAGAAGAAAGCCTTTATTCAGATGATTGAGAGTGTTGCAAATGATAATTTAGTTTTGAGAAAACCATGTTCATACACCAGGTGAACTGAATAAAGAAGTTCAAAGGAAAGAAAGGAAGGAAAGAGGGGAAAGAAGGAAGAAAGGGAGGGAGGGAGGGAGAGAGGAAGGGAGGGAGAGAGGGAAGGGAGGGAAAAAGAAGACCTATTTAAACCTTAAAAAGGACCAAGAGGGTTAAATTGAAAATGCCATTACAAAAATTTGAAAGTAAGAAAAATCTGTTAAAGTAATCTGGTTCAGTAAAACAGACGAGTTTCAATAAAAGAGAAATGTTTTTGGACATTTTTGGTGGCCAGAGATATACTCAGATTAATCAACACCCATGAAGTCTTAATATAAATTATTTTGCAGAAAAAATGTATGAAGAGATGGTTCTAAAAGTTTGTGAAGATAAATTATCTGGCCAACTTGGAAGTGAAACAGAAGCACAAATATGAACAATTTGGCCAATGAGTTAAGTTGCATGGATGGAATTTTAGATAATCTGTGTATTAGTAAACTTTTCTATATCATTTGAACACAAATGCTAAATATTCTGATTTGATCATTAACACAGTGTGTGTGTATATATATAATATACATATATATAATCTTACTGTACCCTATAAATATGTACAATTATGATGTGTCAAGTAAATAATTAAAAAGCAATAAAAAGCAATGTGAGGCTAATACAACAATATCAGGCAAGTATAGAAGAATTGCAAGATATTAAACCATTTAAGTGAAAGAGAATAATAACATACTTTGAAGGTTATAGATACTGGTTCTTTAAATTATATTTAGTCTTACAATGTTTAAGGAAAGGAAAGATTTGGGAACACAAGATGTGAGGAGATAATCAACTACATATATGATCACAAAGAAAATATAACTTATAAATGTTTTTATGATCTCAAAAGGTATTAACTCTTATGGATATGCCTTCTGCCATTCAATATTTTGATGGATACTAACATTTCTATCAGTATTTCTATAATCTTCATAATCCCATCAGGAAATTGTCTCCTGAATGTATCCTCACTTATCCCCATTATGCACTACTTTAAACATAAGCTAAATATACAGGATTTTTAAGGTAGCCTATTGAAATAATTTCTAATTTCTCATGGACTAAATTACACCCTTGATTAATTTGTAAAAAGTGAGTTTAACTGTATTATTTTTAAGGTTTTAATGCTTTGATATAAAAGTATCACAATATCTAGCTATAGTCACACTGAAATTTTTCAATTGCAATATATACTGACCATTAGAAACTGTTTTAATTATAGTCCACTGAGTGTTCATCTTTTTTGTGACTTTGGAAAATTGAAGATTTCTTCAAAGAGAGAAGATGTTTGTTCTTTTACTAAAGTTCAGTTTGGCTATATTCTTAGAAATCTCTTGTGTCTTGCATAGGATTTGAATCGGGTTGCTCATGAAATTCTGTGACTGATATGAAGCTAACCAGTGTCAAACACTAGAACTAATCCATCACATACAGTTGTCATAGCACAAAGAATGTCAATTATCTCCCACAAAGTAACTGAGATGGCAAAATCGATCCAAGAATGTGCAGCAAATTATCTTCTAAATATAGCATGGAAAGCTCAAGTCTGTGGCATTCTCAATAGTTGCTTCTCTACAGAAAAGTAAAGTCACAGTCTGTTAGACAACATACCAGACACAGAAATTTGAGGACCTGAGTAAAAACCTTAAAAATTGGGAAAATTCCAATGTATCTCATACAGAAGAACCCAAGTACAATATAGAGGCGAAGAAAAACAATCTCACTTATAAGCTAACCTCATTTTCTGGTTGGTCCACTGAAGTAAGTTTTACCTTAGTTTTTCAATTGGAGAGAGAAAGGAATGATATCCACCAGCAGGATGATTTTATTATTACTATTACTATTATTATTATTATTATTATTGAGACAGGGTCTCACTCTGTTACCCAGGCTGCAGTACAGTGGCACAATCATAGCTAACAGCTGCTTTGACCTCCTGAGCCCAAGCGATCTTCTCAGGCTCAAGTGATCCTCCCACATCAGCCTCCTGAGTATGGGACCACCATGCCTAGCTAACTTTTTTTTTTTTTTTTGGACAGATGAGGTCTCACAATGTTGCCCCAGCTGGTCTTGAACTCCTATGCTCAAGCGATCCTCCTGCTTCAGCCCTTGTGGGGCTGGAATTACAGGCGTGAGCCACCATGCCCAGCCTTTTATTTCTGATTTATATTGAAACTGTGGGATTTATATGAATGAATGATGAAAAAAACTTGAATATAGCTTTAAGTGATGCTTCACGTAATTATGATCAATGCTCTAGGTTAATATATAAAAGAATAGGAAGATAGTTATTTGTTAAATAATCACTAAAGGGCAGATGTTTATGACTTCTATTTTAGAATTTGGTCAATTTAGTCTGAATAAAACAAGGTTGGTAACATCATTTATTTGATAATGTTTATTGAGCACTTACTATGTCAAATGCTGTGCTAATCAATGGTATACAGTCATGAACAAGCCAGAAATGACTACTACGCTCATGGAGCTCACACTCTAGTGAAACAAAATATAACTCTTAAGACAAAATATATTTCTATTATGGAGTTTTTCCCTTTTCTTGGGGGGGGGAGGTTATTACATGCCTGCTTCATTTTGTTGAGATGCCTTCCTAACTATATTAATGATAAAAGAACTTTTTCTGATGAAGTATATTCACACCTAAGCATATTGCAATTATTTTGCAATACCAAATAGCAAAAACAGGAAGTAATTGAATGAAAGCCTCCTTTTAACACAGAAGACTAAAGGATTTTATTAACAGTTTAGAGTAGAAGGCAAGCTTGTGTTTAATTCTACTTAGGTTTTAATGATCTCCATAAGAGCCTTGACATTAGAAATGAGACCCTAAAAGATCCATTGTGGATTATCAAAATGTATAAATTAGAAATTCAATGAATATGTTCAGTAAAAGTCAGGGCCAAGGCGGGTGGATCACCTCAGGTCAGGAGTTTGAGACCAGCATGACCAACATAGTGAAACTCCATCTCTACTAAAAATACAAACATTAGCTAGGCATGGTGGCAGGCACCTGCAATTCCAGCTACTTGGCAATCTGAGGCAGGAGAATCACTTGAACCTAGAGGCAGAGGTTGCAGTGAGCCGAGATCACGCCATTACATACCAGCCTGAGCCACAAGAGCAAAACTCCATCTCAAAAAAAAAAAGTCATGGGAACTACATTTCAAATACATTTTATTCATTTATCTTGACAGGTGGATAGTTAAGATAAGTTTGGTAGTATTGCATTACTAATCTTGTAGTACACTTCAGAAAATAGGTGATTTCTTTCATAGAAAATGGATAGCATTGCTGAGCAATTAAATGGGCATAACAGGGTTTTCAGATGAGCAAAATAAGAATTATTGAATCTTTATTAAACATTTATGTTCTTTTTAAATCTGCCAATAAATGACCAAGAGATACTGAACAGGTTGACTTTTCCTGGCTGTGTGGAAGAAAGAAACTAGATAACTGGTAACTGGCTATTCCATGCCAATGAGACACAAGTCAGTCAAAAAGTCATGACATTGCTGAATTATATGATGTATAGGGAGTGGGAGTGGAAGGAGACACAGTCTTTGAGCCTCCTCAGAAATTATTGTCTAAACCATTTTTAAGTAACAGAGCAACTGAATTGTACCCCAAGGGAGCAGTAGACCCAGATGCATTAATCTTTCAGGCTTAAATTAATGTTCTTAAGAACTGTGTTTAATGAATAAACAGGATCTTGTTGTCAGTGACCATTTAAGAAATTGACAAACAACCTCTTGACTGTATGCTGCTAGGCCCTTGTAGAACCTAAAAAGTTGCCTCCATGAAATCCTGTTACCCAATACTCTATCCCATTGAGAAGCAAAGTTACAGAAGGTACATGTGTGACCTTGGTATTTTGAACACTGCCAAGAGCAATATTCTCTTAAATTTTCTCCTTCTAATTAGCACAAGCTGTCTCTTGCTTTTTATCTCTCTACATTTAAGTGGAAATATGAGTCAAAAAAAGACAAATTGTTCTTTGCTCCTTTCCTAGTTGCCACCAAGACAAATGATACTCCTATAGGTTATGGGAACACTTCAAGTAGCTAAGAGCCCTTTATTACTTTTTACTAGTGCCATGTGTAATAAAGAAATGAATTAGAGGTATAGCACATCACTTAGATAATGAGCACCTACTGAATTTGAATCATTACATGTATCTTAGTCAACCATTCCATTGTTCATTCCTTTATTCTTATATATATTTAAGTAAAAGTGGTCATAGAGAAAAATATATCTATATGGACGCGGAGAGGAGGACTGTGGGTGGGTGTGTTGGGGTGGCTGTATACTCTGACAGGCAATTTGGTGGTGCAGATGCGTAAAGATACTGCTGAAAGTAATATAAGTAATGCTAACCCTTAAGGAGCATATTTACAATTAAATAATTTATATGTGTGTGTCTGTGTATATATATTTCATTCATATATATAGTATAAATGAACCATATATACATATTAATCTGAAGTATAAATTACGTGTGTATGTGTATATATGTATGTCTATATTATGTGCATTTTTAAATTTGTGTTCATACATATATATGTATGTATGAATGTGAATTAAAAAAAGATTTCCAAAGACATCGGAACAGAAATTCTGCATATTAAGATGGAGCATGGGAAAGTAGTACTAGATCTGGGCCTTAAAGGATATGAGAATTCTTTGTCCTTATGACAGCTAAATTTATGAGAAGAATATACCCTACTACTCCCCAGCTCTTTTTTTTTCTTGAGACAGGGTCTTGCAATGTTGCCCAGGCTGTCTTTGAACTCCTGGGCTCAAGCAATTCTCCTCCTTCAGCCTCCCAAGTAGTTAGGATTATGGGCACACACCACCATGCCTGGCACCTAACTCTTTACTCTGCTCCAGAAAAAAATAAATGTTGGGATAGCACTCAACCATATTTTTTACAGATGAAAAACAAAAAAAAATAGACTGAATAACATACACAAATATAGATGATGGTGTGATCTATGGTGGGGGATGATATGATGGATGGTAGTTAAGAGCCTTTTATTCTTTCTGAAATGATTTTTTTTCTTCCAGTGAAATGTCTGTGTGGTAAATGACAAATTATTAACCATTTTCTACTCTGGATGGTAAGAATATAGATGTTTAATTTATAATTTCTTTATTTCAATTTTTTTAAAAAGCAGGATAATAGAATTTCTACAGTTAAATAGAAAGAGAATGGAGAAAGCTTACAAGACACTTTGAGAAAATGGTCAAAAATTCAGCAAGACCATCACGATATATGAAACTCAGTGCAACATGATGTGTACTTTTATTAATTAAGAAATCTTGATTTTCTTCAATAAGTAGAATATATCCCTATGAAGTTTCTTTTTAGATATAGAATAATAGAGGTTTAGCTTTAGGATACTTAGTCTAAAAAAATACTCAATTCCTGAAATCTACATATATTGTGTATTGATTTAACCCAATGCTCTAGCCTGGGGCACAGAACCGACAATGGAAAAGTAATGAGTCTGTTCAAATTGTTGAGTGAGATGGTAATAAGTGATTCAACTAAGTGTCAGCAGAAAAAACAGAGACTAAAGAGGCAAAATTGACTGACTGAGCATAGTAAAGTGTGAGGGTGGAGCCAAACTTAGCTCTGAGGTAGGTGGTGATATTGAGAGAAATCGGCAAATCAGATTTTTTAAGATGGGATATGTTACAGCTTATTTGTCTTCTGCTGAGAATAAACTAGTTAAGAGCAAAAATCTGGTGCTACAGGAGAGAGGCGCCCCTTAGGAGTAATGTCCTACGGTAGGCAGAGGAGATGAAAACCAGTGTTCCGGCTGTGCACGGTGGCTCATGCCTGTAATCCCAGCTCTTTGGGAGGCCGAGGTGGGCAGATCACCTGAGGTCAGGAGTTCAAGACCAGCCTGACCAACATGGAGAAACCCCGTCTCTACTAAAAATACAAAAAGTTAGCCAGGCGTGGTGGCATATGCCTGTAATCCCAGCTACTTGGGAGGCTGAGGCAGGAGAATCACTTTAACCTGGGAGGTGGAGGTTGCAGTGAGCCAAGATCGCACCATTGCACTCCAGCCTGGGCAACAAGAGCGAAACTCTGTCTCCAAAAAAAAAAAAAAAGAAAAAAAAGAAAGAAAAAGAGAAAAGAAAGAAAACCAGTGTTCCTGTCAAGCATCTAGTCTTAGATAAGGTCACTGAGAACCCTTCCATAGTTGCTAGAGGAAACACATGTAGATGGGTCCACTGGGTGGTGAAAGCATGTGAATGTTCCCTCCTGATTATTTCCATGTTCTCGGTGAAATAGCAAGCTGGTTAGCTCAAAGAGAAGAGATTTATAGAGATATATGTTTGAGAATGAAGAAGGTGGTATGAAATCGTTATCTAGAGGAGTAAGAGAAAGTTTATGAAAGAAATAAAACAGTTGCTGGACATAGCTAGGATCCAACTTGAGGATAACGTTCACTTCTTTAAGATAAGATTGGGAAGCATTGATGTACAGTTTTTTTCTAGACGTGTGTGTGCAAAGCAGGCTGACATGACCAGAGTTGGGTTTTGCCAGGCATATAATATGTAATGAAAGAAGAGCCAAGGGGTTGAGGATGTAAGCAAGAAATGAGCATAAAAATGAACTACAGAACCTAAATTTGGAGAAAGGAAGATGAAGATGGGAGAAAGCTGAGAAAATGTATGCAGCAAAAAGATGGTATGACCCAGTGGACTGAAGATTTCAGAAAGACCAATGACTCATGGGGAGAGAATAAAGGAACATGTTAGAAAGATAGGAAGGGTGGATTGCAGAGTGGAGTACTTAAAATTGAGATTATGGATGGAAAGCTATTACCAGGACTGACAAAGTCTAGGGCACAACTGTGAGAATGGGTAGCTGATATAAGGTGAAGGACAAGATTCTAGGGAAAAATAACAACGAGGAACTAAAAACTCAAGATATTAGCAGGATTTTCTGCATGAATATTAAAATCACCAAGAATTGTGTCAGAAGTAGTGATGGAGTAAATCATATAATAAAATCTTCAAGAAATGAATAAGGCTGGTCTGGGGATTAGTTAGATGACTACAACAAACTGGGTTAGTGGGTAATCTGTTGACATAAACTTCAAAAGAAATCAGGGGCTTGGAAGGAGGAAGGAAGAAGAAACAAAGGTCTGAAGGTAGCAAGAAGAATCAGGAAAGACAATTATCCTAACTCCAGACCAAGTAGTAAGAGAGACATGTGAGAGAAAACCACCACTGTCTGAGAAGACTCTAAGTGTCCTTAATGGAGAGCCAGATTTTAGTTAGAGAAACAGTGAAGGAAATCCTCTGAGGAGAGGTTGAGTAAAAAGGGGATTTTTTTTTTTAATGACTGACTGTGCTCCAGAGAGTGGAGAAGAATGAATTGGGAGCTGAGGAGGAATGGTAGATGGAGGCTAATTACAGGATATTCCAAGATGCTTGAGAATCAACATCCACATGATGAGATGACCTGGGTATCTTGGGTTTCTTGTGTGACTGGCAGAAATTCATATATAGAATATAAGGGGGTTAATATTGGCATTCTCTAGGGTGGTGGAAGTGTCTGTTGTATCGTGTGGGGAAGAAATCACCTTGACAGGAAAACATGGAGCTCAACACATCACTTATTCAGTCACAAATGACATTGAGGTCATTGAGGAGCACCAGGAGCACATAAGGATCTTTTGAATGTTCCCTGTCAGCTCCCTCATGATGATGAGCCAGAAAAACATCAATCTTCCTAGGAGATTGTGAGCCTCTATTAGCCCCTATAGAATCTTATGAAAGCCTGCTTGACATGTTAGAACATTAATCTGTAGTGAGCAGCTATAATTTTTTTCTACCAAACACTTTTCTTTGAGATGGAGTTCCGCTCTTGTTGCCCAGGGTTTAGTGCAATGGCACGATCTGGGCTCACTGCAACCTCCGCCCCCCAGGTTCAAGCAATTCTCCTTCCTCAGCCTCTCAAGCAGCTGGGATTACAGGCATTCACCACCACACTTGGCTAATTTTGTATTTTTAGTAGGGACAGGGTTTCACCCTGTTGGTCAGGCTGGTTTTGAACTCCTGACCTCAAGTGACCCACCCATCTTGGCCTCCCAAAGTGCTGAGATTACAGGAGTGAGCTACCATGCTCAGCCTACTAAACACTTTTCTAACAATTTTCCACCTTCAGTCAGTGTATAAAGCTGCCCTGGGAGTTATGTGTAGAGCATGAGCTCATCAAACTTGAACAAAAGAAAACAGGAAGGCTATGTCCTGGAGAAAAGTATTTGGGTCTATGAACAGAAAAAAGAGACCAGATATTAAACAGCACAGTGTTGCCCAAAATAAGATAAATAGACCAGGGCTAACTCACAGAAGTCAGAAGTAAGACAAATAGACAATGGCAGGACAGTGACACGAGAGCAGCATGCCTCAGTTGCTAGTATTGAGGAAAACAGACAAGCTGGAGATGGGAATTTCTAAATCTGTTTTGGAATCCTATAGTTTTGATACTTTAAACAGGGCCCTTTTCTTTTCTGCAGGCATACTGAAACAGGCAACTACAATCAAGCAGGGATCACTAATGACTCAAAAGACCCAGGGAATCATGAACTGGGCCTCCAAATTGTGCTAATTTGATCAACCACATATTGACAACCAATGAAAGCTTAGATGGCCGAATGTAATCTTTAAAAATAATTGAGCACACGAGCACAAATGGCCTCTTCTCTTTTTCCTCTCATCAAGGCCTTAATTGGATAAACTGACATGACTTGAAACTTGACTTACTTTGTAGAACAAACAAATTCAACCAGAATGTCATTATAAATAGGACAGAAACCACAGACTGGGACTCAGACAAAGGAAGGTATCATTCCACATCCTCGAGATCTCTACCCTTACTAGTGTACCTCCTACACTTCCAGTTCAAACAATATTCACAGTCCAGGTCCCTTGTCAGATCACCAGGTTGTAGTCTTACCTCCCATTTGAGATGTTCATGTTTGTGAGAGTCATCTCAGAAAAGCTCTTTTTGCAACATCATGTGTGTTAAGGTGAATATAACAACATTAACATTTGTATTTATTTCTGTTTATATTTTCAATTTAAACATCCAAATATTGTAGGTGTTTTCATTTTGTTTTTATGTCCATTTACATACGTATATAAAAATATATCACATTGCGTGACTAACCACTTCCTTCAGGCTCATGAGTATACATTTCCCAAAGACAAGTATTTTCAATTCCTTAATGTTACAAATATCCTGAATAGCTGTTATTCTGGAAATATGTTGTTGTATTATCATCAACAGCAGCATGGAGCATAATAGATATGACTTCGTATGCTTAATTTATATTTTTAGCAATTTTCTGGTAAGCATTCTGCATTTGAACCATATTTCTATTAGATGTAGAATATTTTCCCAGGTATCAATTCAGCTAGGCCATTAGTTCCTTAATGGTTCTTTTTAAAAACAGCATAACTAACTTTATGAAACTTTTTGAATGTTCCCTCAAAAAGTGTCCATATTCATTCATCTCATATTCAAAAAAAAAAACAATGGTTACCTTTGCAAATCTGCAAAATTACTGACATACAACATACTGGTCTTTCATTGCATTGAATCATGAATCACTTTTCTTTCTTAAGGATTTAGGGGAACCCAGTATATAAATATTTTTAAAGTGTTTCTTAGAAATTTCCCAGGTTTTCCAGTGATAATAAATTGTCCTTTGGAGTCAACTTAATTCCATCCATATGTCTTAAATAACATTAAAAAAAAACAAAAATACAACCTATTTAATCCTCTCATATCATAAAAAATTACCACACTATGTTCAATATAACCTGGGCATTTTCTTCTTACACCACATACAATAGTAGTAGCATGACATATTTTCACAAGGAAACAAGTAAATTTAAGTATATTTAATGTTCCTGTTTGCTTCATTTTATTATCAATTCAAAAATTGTCAAAGCATATGTTCAGAGAAGTAAGCCATTAAATAAAGAGGTTTTGACATTATTTTTCTTACATGTAAAATTTCAGATCACAATGTCAGAAAAGATAAAAGCATATACATTGATTATCCTTATATAACTTGGTCAACTTTTCCACAGTTAGGAGAGAGAAACCAAAAGAACACTGGGCTAGAATTGGGAGGCCTAGGTTCTGGTCAGTGTTCTGATACTTACTCGTTCTATGAACTTGTCAAGACATTTTAATTACCTGAGCCTCAGTATCCTTAATTGTAAGATGGGATACTAACAACTTACCTTACTTTCCCAACACAATTGTTGGGTTAAGAATCAATTTTTATAGACATGCAGACACATAATTTATTAATAAACCCTTTATAAGTTATAACATTAAATGGCAATGGAAATAATAGTAATTTTTTCTTGAGACAGTCTCACTCTGTTGCCCAGGCTGAAGTGCAGTGGTGCAATCACAGCTCACTGCAGCCTCGACCTCCCAGGCTTACTACTGTCTCAGTGTATTAGTCCATTTTCTCACTGTTATCAAGAACTGCCCGAGGCTGGGTAATTTATAAAGGAAAAAGGTTTGACTCACAGTTCCACATGGCTGGGGAGACCTCAGGAAACTTACAGTCATGGTGGAAGATGAAGGAAAAGCAAGCAGTTTCTTCACAAGAAAGCGGGTGAGAAAGAGTGAGTACGGAACTGCCAAACACTTTAAAAGCCATCAGATCTCGTGAGAACTTACTCACTACAATGAGAAAAGCATGGAGGAAACCACGCCTATGATCCAATCACCTCTCACCAGGCCCTTTCCTTGACACATGAAGATTACAATTCAATATGACATTCAGGTGGGAACACAGCACCAAATGATATCGCTTAGCCTCCTGAGTAGCTAGAACCACAGGTGTGCACCATCACACCCAGCTGATTTTAATTATTTGTAGAGCCAAGTTCTCCCTGTGTTACCCAGGTTGCTCTCAAACTTCTGGACCCAAGTGATCCTCCTGCCTCAGTTTCTCAAAGTGCTGGGTTATAGGCATGATCCAACATGCTCAGCCTCTATGGAAATAATTATTATCACTAAAATTATTATGTGCATAAGACACATGATGAATGCAGAAGGGGAGCTATTATTAAATACTTTCCATAACATTTACTCTAACAGCTAAAAGATATTTATTTGTGCATGAATTTACAAGATTATTTAAAAAGACAATGCATTAACATATATTTAATATACTCCAAACACTGCCCTTCAATATTCTTAGCCTTTTCTCCTGCTGTCCTCTCCCTACCCCACCGAAGTTTAAGAGATTTTAAAACTGGAAGCAAGTGCACAATATGTTGTCTGCTCTTTACCAATTAGGGGACAATTTATTAATTTCATTCTCACTTGCAAAAAAAAGTCTGACAATTAGAGTCCAATAAAGTGTGTAGTAGAGATTGTTTTATTTATCATCACTCTTTGTAAATTTTTCAAGTTTATTGAAACATTTAAAATAATTAGTAAGTGTTGTCAGAATTATAAGATTTAAGTACCTATAAGACTTTGTTACAATGTATAACATTTCTTACAAGTTGTTCACAAAGCTGTTAACAGGAGGTAGGGAGTGAATTTGATTCTGTGGAAATATCCAAGGCTAGAATAGGTATACCTGGGTCAGGGTTAGAGGTACTCAGGTCAGAGAGATCACTTCATTTGCATCAGCAGTGGCCAAAGAAGACTAGAGAGTCAATAATAATAGACGGTGTATTAGTTTCCCAGACCTGCAACAAACCACTGCGACAGTAGTGGCCTGAAACAACAGTAATTTATTCTCTCACAGTTCTAGAGGCCAGGTGTGTGAAATCAAAGTGTCAACAGGACCATGTTTCCTCTGAAGGCTAAGGGAGAATCTTTTCTTAAGTAACCCCACCCAATCTCTACTTTCATCTTCATGTGACCTTTTTCTCTGTGTTCCTGTCTATGTCCCCTTTAGTCTAAGCTGGCAGTGTTTCTGCTTATACAACATTCTTAAAAACCTTGTAGGTCCAACATGTATGTCAAGGGGATCACACTGTCAGATAAGAGGTTCTTCCACAGATCCTTCCTGGATAACCAATCTCTATTCCTGGTGTCTGCTGAAACGGTCAGTTGGATCCATAAGCCACACATCTAATCTATTCAGCAAAAGATTTTTAAGTCTCCTCTTTGGCCTTCTATTTAGAGTATGCTTTCCCAACAATAAATTTTCTAATTTTAGCATCTTTTGCATCTAGGTATGTGGAGAACCTTCCAAATTATCAAGTACTCCTTGCTGTTTGCTTAGTAGTTCCTTTTTCAGTTCATCTTTTTCCTGTTGAATTTTTAAAATTAATATCTATTTATTTATTTATTTTTGAGACGGAGTCTCGCTCTGTCACCCAGGCTGGAGTGCAGTGCGCTATCTCGGCTCACTGCAAGCTCTGCCTCCCGGGTTCACGCCATTCTCCTGCCTCAGCCTCCTGAGTAGCTGGGACTACAGGAGCCCGCCACCGTGCCCAGCCAATGTTTTGCATTTTTAGTAGAGATGGTATCACCGTGTTAGCCATGGTGGCCTCGATCTCCTGACCTCGTGATCTGCCCGCCTCAGCCTCCCAAAGTGCTGGGATTACAGGCATGAGTCACCACGCCCGGCCAATTTTTATTTTTAAGTTCCAGAGTACATGTGCAGGATGTGCAGGTTCATTATACAGGTAAACGTGTCATGGTGGTTTGCTGCACCTATCAATCCATCACCTAAGTATTAAGCCCAGCATGCATTAGTTATTTTTCCCAATGCTCTCCCTTCCACCAACCCTCTGCCCCAACAGGCCCCAGTGTGTATTGTTCCCCTCCCTGTATCCACATATTTTCATTGTTCAGCTCCCACTTATTAAGTGAGAACATGTAGTGTTTGGTTTTCTGTTCCTGCATTAATTTGCTGAGGATAATGGCTTCCAGATCCATCCATGTCTCTGTAAAGGACATGATCACATTCCTTTTTATGGCTGCATAGTATTCCACGATGTATATGTACCACATTTTCTTTATCCAGTCTATCACTGATGGACATTTGAGTTGATTCTATGTCTCTGCTATTGTGAATAGTGCTGCAATGAACATATGAGTGCATGTATCTTTGTAATAGGATGATTTATATTCTTTTGGGTATATACCCAGTAATGGGATTGCTGGGTCAAATGTTATTTAACAGATGGGATCTCATTAAACTAAAGAGCTTCTGCACAGGAAAAGAAAGTATCATCAGAGTGAACAGGCAACCTACAGAGGGGGAGAAATTTTTGCAATCTATCCACCTGACAAAAGTCTAACATCCAGAATCTACAAGGAATTTAAACAAACTTACAAGAAAAAAACAAACGACCTCATTAAAAAGTAGGCAAAGGACATGAAAAGATGCTTCTCAAAAGAAGACGTTCATGGGACCTACAAACATATGAAAAAAAGTTCAACATCGCTGATTATTACAGAAATGCAAATCAAAACCACAGTGAGGTACCATCTCATACCAGTCAGAATGGTGATTATTAAAACATCAAGAAACAACAGATGCTGGCCAGGTTGCAGAGAAATAGGAACACTTTTACACTGTTGGTGGGAATGTAATTTAGTTCAACCATTGTGGAAGACAGTGTGGTGATTCCTCGAAGATCTAGAATCCTCCTGAATTTTACTACAAGCAGCAAGGAGAAATTAGGCTGCACCTTCAACACTTTGCTTGAAAATCTCTTCGATTTACTATTCAAGTCCATTCCTTATAGGTTCTGTTTCCACCCAACAGTAGAATCCAATTGAACCAAATGTTCTGTCACTTTGTAAGAAGAATCACCTTTCTTCCTGTTTCTAATAACATGTGAGCCATTTCCGCCTGAGACATCACCAGAAGCACCTTTAATGTTCATATATCTGTCAATACTCTGTTCATAATGTATTCATTTAAAACAACAGAGGCTTTCTTTATTGTACTCATCACTTCCTTCTGAGCCCTCACCAAAATTTCCTTTAATGTCCATTCCTATCAACCATCTTTTCAATGCAATCTAGTTTATTTTCTTGTTATACCTATCAAAATTCTTTTGTCTTCTACCTAATATCCAATTCAAAAACCACTTTCAAATTTTTATGTATTTATACAGCAGCTCTCCACTTCCTGGAACCAAAATTTCTATTATTTTCCTAGGGCTGTTGTAACACAAACTTGGTGGCTTAAAACAACAGAAATAGAATCTCTCATAGTTCTGGAGGCCAGAAGTCCAAAATAAAAGTGTTGGCAAGGCCACACTTTCTATGAAGTCCCCAAGGGTGAATCCTTCCTTATTTCTCTCAGTTTGTGGTGTCTTGGAACATCCTTTGGTTTGGGACTACCTGACTATAATCCCTGCCTCTGTCTTTGCATGGCCTTTTTTTCAGTGTGTCTATGCCCTCTCTTCTTTTTCTAAAGACACCAGTCATTGGATTTCAAGCCACTATAAATCCAGGATGGTCTCATCTTACAGTCTTTAATAATATCTGTGAAGACCCTATTTCCAAATAAGTTTACATTCACCAGTATTAGGAGTTAGGATTTGAAGATATCTTTTTGGGGAATACTATTAAGTTTACTTACAGATAAAAACTCATGACTTTCACCCTTACTGTGCCCCAGTTATCTTGGGATTTCTGGTTTATCACCAGATAAATGTGGCAGAGATTGTCCCATCTCCTCATTGCAATAATGCTCATCATTTGGTGTAGGAAATCCTGGTCTAGAAATTCTGGGGAATCAGGCTTTCAAACTAGACAAGAGGAAAGTTACTCCTCCCAAGAAGAGTTTACTTGATCTTCTTCATAAAAGATTTTAACCCCATGAATGTGTGAAGAGTGCATTCTAGAGGTATGGAATAAAATGGGGTGGGGAGAGGAAAAGGAGCTGGTACCTATGCTACTTTCAAGTCAAACAAAGAAACTGTATAAATAGAAGCAGTGTCTATAAGTACCTTTTCATCTCAAGATCTCAAAAGAATGCAATTCAATTGCATTTTGATTGTCATCAATTATTACCCATCTGTCTGACAAGTCTAGTTTCTTTCCTAGTGCTTATCTAGTGAACTGAAACAAAAACAGTCGGTATTATCCAAGAGAAGGAGAAATACAAACAAGATGTTACAGAATAGTATTGAAAATGACACATTTTTCTGAAGTGAACCATTTTGTTTTATAATAGTTTTCAGTAAAGCTAGTATTGCTAGCATTAAGAGGCAGATAAAATGTTAAAGCTGATCAAATGTGCTTTCATGCCACATAACAGCACCCAGATTTTAAAATGGAAGAGAAAAGGGGCTTGCATCTGGTCAATTAAAAAGAATAACATTTAGCTCAAAAATGTCACCAGGAGTTTCATAGCTAGTGTAGTAATTTTAGAAGGCCACACAATTCACTGATTTCTGAAATTAATTAGAATAATCTAATCATTTTCCTGTAGATAAATTGATGAGGTGTGTCTGCTGCTAAACCCTCACCCTTTCACATAGATGTGTAAACACAAATGAAATAAGAGACGTTAAGCAGTTTATGGCATTTTTATACACAGGGGGAGTAGCTCTGTTTCAATCGAATATGTGATAGATTATTTCTTTTTAAAATTGAAAAGTCGATTTTTTTTAATTCTATAAAAGTGGTATAAGTTTACAGAAGAGAAAAATACTAATGATATAGGAGTTTAGAAAAAAATTCCACCCTCAATCCTCTTCCCAGATATTACCATTGACAATTATAATCGTCTTCATTCAAATCTTTGTATGCACATATCAGCTTTGTTTGTGTGTTTTTTTTTTAACTATTGTTGTTTTTAGTGAGGAGTGGCAGGGTTATTTGTACATTGTTTACATAAGTGATACTCTTCTGTAATCTCCCAAAAAGAGGCACATGGTTGAAATTACATAGAAGAAGTTGGTGAAACACAAAAACTAATAGTCAGCTCAGGATTTACCTACCTCATTAAGCTTTACCTGACTCTCACTTCTCTCTCTACTCTCTTCTGCCCATGTTGGGGAGGCACCTTCCTCATGCTTCCATAGTATCACACACATATATGCATCGTTATCATCGTATCCTTCCACACTTTTTAATTATTATATTTTGTATGTAGCATCTCCCACTAGAATCTAAGCATCCAAACAAGGTGCAGTACCTAAAAGAGCTCACTGCCATTTAGGGGCAGAGCAATCACAGAGCTGCAGAAGACATTATGAGAAGCCATACATACAGCATGCATTTTTAAATGACGTCAGCTTGCAAATTGATACTCTTTGATCACACTTGTTTAATCAATTGCAATTTCTTATAGTTATGATCACACTTAGTCTTCATTTTTCACTCTTTCTCTCAAATATATTACGAGAAACACAATAGTACATGTTCCTGATTTGCCAAGCTAGTAAATTCACCTTTAAAAGGAAATGAGTTGAAGTTGGCGTGACTGTTCTTACTAAAACCATGATTACGTTTTCCACACTACAGCAAAATCCCCAGTGCCTTGGATAGTCAGGGAGCAAAGAAAGGTGGCAGGCCCTGTAATCACAAGGCCCCTGCAAAACAGTTTTCTTTCAATCTAGAAGCAAGAAAAGCTAAGGTAGTTAATCCTTCTCCTGATCACAACACAGGGACATAAAGAAAAGGCATGCCTCAGTGACAGAAAGCTGCAGCGGGCATTTTTACAGAGTGTCTGAGCACTTCCATAATCTCTAGCCTGCCGTAGGGCTGTGCCATACTTATAGAAGCAGGGACTGCCCAGGAAGTTTGATGGAAGTAATGGAATTGCTGGGTTGAATGGTAGCTCTGTTTTAAGATCTTTACGAAATCTCCAAACTGCTTTCCAGAGTGGCCGGACTAATTTATATTTCCACCAACAGTGCATCAGCTTTCCCTTTTCTCTGCAGCCTTGCCAGCATCTGTTATTTTTTAATTAGGTGGACTTTGAGTAAATCAGATTGCCCTACATAATGTTAGCAGTCCTTAAACAATCAGTGGAAGGACTAAATGCTACACAAAGTACAGCATCTCCAAGCAAGAGGTACTTTTCCAGCAGACTACCTTTGGACCTTATCTGACTGTTAGCTATCCTAGGTCTCCAGCCTACCAATACACACTAAAGATTTTGAAGCTTGCCTGACTCCATAATCGCATGAGTGATCATGGAGGCTTAAAATAAATTGGGATGTGTGTGTGTGTGTGTGTGTGTGTGTGTGTGTGTGTGTACATCCTATTGGCTCTGTTTCACTGGATAATCCTAATAAAGGAGTCTAAAGAAGTACCTATGTCACATACACCTGCTTCCAATTAACAATTTAATAAAGTACACATAATGTATTCACATTCATACACATATATAGTCTTTCTTAAATAATTTTTTCTATTGTCAAGTTTATACATACAATATTGTTCAACATAAATACTTTAACCAAACGGGCCTTGATCACAAATGTAGTCACCAAGTTGCTTCCCAGGGTTGGTAGGCTCTCTGAGAGCTCCCAGTGAGTGCTGTCTTAAAAATGCTCTTTCTTTCCAGCTATATCTCATGTCACAACTGCTCCTGTATACCCTCTGTTCTTTTGTGTAGGTTTACAATTTATCTTTAGACATGGCAAGATTAGTATGTACATATTTTTATCCTAGAGAAAAGAAAAAAAAATCCAGATGCTTAGATTTTGTCTAGAGGCTTAGATTTTTAGACTTATAGGTTTTCCATGTTTATGTATTCCAGAGTTCTAAATTTTTAGGGGATCAATTGTACTAGATTTTCTGATGTCAAATCAGCATTACTGCCATCTGTCCTGAAACACCCTTGCTCAGAATTCCCTTCCCAGTGTAATTCCAGATTATAGTATATCAATCAGTGGCACTCACTTTGGAAGGCAGAAGAAAAAGAGAAATCCATTTTTGCTGTTAGCAGTTGCAGAATTACCCACATTGACACCTGTGTTAGTCAACTCTAGCTGCCATAACAAAATACCAGAGTGGGTGATTTAAACAACAGAAAAAATATTTTCTCATGTTTATGGATAGTAGCAGTCCAAAATAAAGGTGTCAGCATGTTTGGTTTCTTCTGAGGCCTCTGTTTTTGGCTTATAGATGACCACCTTCATAACGTTGCTTTGCATACCTTGTGTGTTGCTGAGTGTGAAGCTGGTTCACCATGCACCAGTTACCAATCTGTAGTTTCTACCATTTGTATGAATCTGATGAGAGATAATATTCACACATAAGGTAAGCAAAGCAACTTTATTACTCGTAGACAGCCAGGAACAACAGAAGGCTGGAATTTGTGGTGAGCCAGTCCCTCAAGCCTCCCGAAAGCTGTCCAAGATGGATGGACTCTTTCCTGTACATGCTCCCCTTTGCACTACAGTTGAGGGACCCTGAAAGCAATACACTCTGGGTTTTATACCCTAGATATCACTTGGCTTGCCGAGCAAAGGTGTTTCAGGATATCCTATTCTAAGAAGGATGCGCACAGAGCACAGGCCATTCCGGACATTTCTTCCTTATCTCAGGATCTTGTATTCCCAGCACATTATAGTAATTTTTGAGAACTACAAGTGAGGAAAAAAAAAAGGAGAGCTGTAGTCCATCAAGGGATGATCCTGCTGGGATATAGGATAGACATATGATCAACTTGAGGGGATACTCCTAAAATGTTTTTCCAAAGTACATGCAAAAATGTTACTCCTGCCAGGATTGTATGAGAATTTTTAAACGTTGCCTTCCTGGTGACTATTCCTTTCTCTTTTAACTACCACTTTATAATTTTCAGACAATTCAGCAACCCTTCTTCATCATGTCCATATCTTGGCACTAAAGTGGGCTCCAACTACGATGCCAGATGGGGACATTTTTTAACCAGCTGTGAAATATTTCATCAGTAGGAAATTGTTTTTAAAGAATGTTGATGTGATAAGTAGTGAATCATTAAGTAGCTACAGATAACTTAGAAACCAATAACTCAACTCATTATGATGCAAATTATTGAGATTTTATTTACTGACAATTTGCAATGTCCTGCTTGATTATTAATAGATTTTTCTCCTTTCTACATATTCTTGGGAATTGATTGATCTTTCTTTTATTAAAGAGTCCCATTCTTTAATTTAATTTTCTATTTTATTCCCAAAGAACAACTGCATTTCTCACTTAAGTATGTGTTACTGAATATATTATTTTGTCTGCAATTCTTAATTTAATAATAATTCTTATATATCCATAGCACTTTCGCATTACTAGGTTTAAAGGGAATTTTAATTATCATTGCACAGGGGTTATAACTGTCCTACGATGAAATTTGGTAATGTAGCAATCATAATAGTTACCATTTATTGAAAGCACAAGTGTCAGGCACTGTACTGGACATTTTACTTACACTATCCTGATTAATTATCATAACAGTCGTGAAATGTAGATAGTAAATCAATCAGAGGTTAATTTTTTTCTGGCCAATTTCTGTTCTTTATTCTTTTACAGACCTCGTTGCAGAACCTAGCACTGCTTTGAATTTTCCAGTAAAAAAAATCACCTCATCAAAAAAACTATTGAGCATATAGATTTTAGTAAAGGTGTCATTGAGGAGAGAGAAGAGAATTTGGCTACTTCACAGGCAGTTTCATTTGTCTCATCTTTTTTCCTGATCTGCCTGACTCAGTATATTACTGTTTCCCCCTCTCTTCTCTCTCAATCACCTTGATTATGAAACGTAGTGTCCTTTTTCCACTGGAATCCTGAGCCCCATTTTTGGATTTTTATCTATGATTCAGTAATCTAATCAAAATCTCTTCATATATATATATATATATATATATATATATATATATACTTATTTATTTAAATTCAACTTTTATTTTAGATACAGGGGTACATGTGCAGGTTTGTTACATGGGAATATTGAGTGATACTGAGGTTTGTAGCACAAATCCCGTCACCCTGGTAGTAAACATAGTACCCAATAGGTAGTTTTTTTAAACCACCCCTGACCTCTAGTAGTCCACAGTGTCTATTATTTCCATATTTATGTACACGAGTGCTTAATGTTTAGCCCCTACTTGTGAGAACACGTGGTATTTGGTTTTCTGTTCCTGTGTTCATTTGCTTAGGATAATGGCCTCTAGCTGCATCCATGTTGCTGCAAAGGACATGATTTCATTCTTTTTTTATGGATGTATAGTGTTCCATAGTGTATATGTACCACATTTTCTTTATCCAGTCTACCATTGATGGAAACCTGGGCTGATTCCATGCCTTTGCTATTGTGAATAGCACAGCAATCTTCTTACCAGCTACTGAAAAAATAAAAATTCTTCATCTTGTTAGCCATAAATTTCTAATTTAACTGTAAGTAAACTAAGTTTCAAAGATATAAAATTGCCTGCTTTAGGCTACCTATGTGTCAAACAGCTGCACCAGGAATCAAATCTAGGATGGTATGACATAGACCACCTCCAAATTTGCCTTCAGTTTTTTGTTTGTTTTTTAAGAGAGCCTCACTCTGCTACCCAGGCTGGAGTGCAATGGTGCAATCTCAGCTCACTGCAACCTCTGCCTCCCGAGTTCAAGCGATTCTCCTGCCTCAGCTTCCTGAATAGCTGGGATTACAGGCACGCGTGACCATGCCCGGCTGATTTTTGCATTTTTAGTAGAGACTGGGTTTCACCATGTTGGCCTGGCTGGCCTTGAACTCCTGACCTCAGGTGATCCGCCTACCTCAGCCTCCCAAAGTGCTGGGATTACAGGTATGAGCCACCATGCCCGGTCACCATTATATTTTTGTCTGTTTTAAAATAAGGACTTTCAAAACTCCAGAAAATTTTCTAAGCGTACAAGTTCTTGGTTGATTCACTTTCTAGTTCTTCTCCAATCCTGAATCACTGTGGAACAACTTGTTTATAAAGAGTGCATTTTATTCTAACCCTTACACCCAAGGCGAGACAGACATTGTGCACCAGTAGGCAGCTATCTAGGAAAGCTCAGAGTTGTCACTGCATGTTTAAGTGACCAGTTCTCAAGGTAAGTAGAGGTCAGAAGAGTTTCCAAACAGCAAGAAAAACAACCTTACAATAGAAGGAATAACCTAAAAGCCAGTGCTATATGTAGATGATATTGTCCACAGCTTTCAGGCTATGGTTCAGAGAGATCATAAATCCAGTCTTTCTCACTTTCTTCTTTAGGATACCTCAGTAAAGGAGATGAAGCATTCATTCCACAACTAAAGATTAGGATTAAACCTACATAACCTATGCCAGGTGGGATTCATTGGCTGATAATCATGGTCAAAATCGCCTAGTCCATAAACATAAAATTCCTGTTCCTTTCTGGAGAGTACACAGTATAAAAACTGGTAGTAAGATTGGACAGCTAAGTACCCAAGAGCCCTATTTGTTTTAGTGTCACATGGGTTAGAATAAATGTAAACTAAAAAATCATGGAGTGTGGGTGTTGGAAAGGACCTTAGGCCTCCACTAATTTAGGGATCCTGAATGAGTATGTATCCATATCAAGGTGGGGTGGATCCACATGTAGTATGGAAAAAGCTCACTTAAGATCACAAATTCTTAGCTACTGTTTTAATCATTCAAGCTTAGAAAGTAAAACTGTCTTGAACTAGAGTTTGGTAGAGCCAAATGGCATGATCTTCAGAACAGTGTACAATCTTACCAAATAAAGGCAAGGGTTTTTTTTTTTTTTAAAGATTAGGAAATAACAATATGTTTAATCACCCTCAGTTTTATAGATGAAAAGTTGAAGTTTATAAAAGTTAAAGAAGAATCAAAATAAAAACGTGGCTACTTCTTCAGCCTGTTAATTTCTATTATTATATAATAAATTATCCCAAGTGTTGCAGCTGGAAACATTGCACATTTATTTTCTCAGTTTTTTTTATGGACTGGCAATCTGGGCATGGCTTAGCTGGATTCTCTGCAAGTCTGTAATCAAAGTTATCAGCTAGGGCTCGGTTCTCCTTTGTAGACTTGACTGGGGAAAGATCTGTTTCCAGCTGCCTCCAGTTGTTTGCAGAATTCATCTCCTTGTGGTTGTAGGATGGAAGTCCCCATTTTCATGCTGGCTTTTTGGTGCTGAGGAGTGTTCCCAGCTCCTGAAGGCCACACGTAAGTTCTTGCCATACAGCCCTCTCACAACACAGCAGTATATTTCAACAGCCAGCAAGGGAGAAAAGTCTCTCTCCAGTCAGCTAAAATGGGCTCATAATGAAACATAATCAGGGAGTAGCACTCCATCACCTTTGCCTTATTGACTTGGTTGGAAAAAGTCACAGTTCTCTCCACCCCCACACATTCAAGGATGAGGAATACACAAAAGCTATAGGGCACTGGGGATTGACTTAGGGTACGTCTGTCAAGTCACAGATAATTTTAAGAGTTTAGAGAGAAATTGAGATCTTCTTCCTTCACATGCTACCTTGGACTACACTGCTAAGGTGGGCAAAAAATCATAACTCTTTCCTCTGTGGTTGTTACGACTGCTCTCTGAGCTGAGCAGAGACAAGTGGAGGGGAAAGAGATGCTCTCCAAGTGAAGAGGAAGATTGCCATTTGGAGAAGTAAACGCACTGAAAACAATACAGAAATGTAGGGGCATAAGCCACCTACGCACCACTCTAGGACATACCACTCTAGGACACACCACTCTACACACCACTCTAGGACAGATAAGCAATGAAATATGAAGATGTTTATGCCCCAGAGCTATTTCTAAGAATATAGGAACCATAGCAATGCATGAAACCACACACTGATAATGCAATTGATAAGGCAATTGATTTAACAACAGAATTGCTAACTATTATAAAACTGGAAATTCAGGCAAGTCTATTGCATATCTAACCACCTTTGATACATCTTCTGCACATGCTCCACTCTGGGAAAACATTATATACATATATATATATATAAAAATATATATATAAATATATATATATATATATACACACACACACACACCCACACACACAACATACACACACACAATGTAAAGTAACAATGCTCCATAAATTTATTGTTATAAAAAAGAAAATCCCTTTGATAGCCCTTCTCCTTCGTTAAAATATAATCTCTTTTCTTTCTAAAAATCTTTACCATTTTCTCTGCACATCTGGGTCCAAAATTACTTCCTCCATAAATCTTTATTTGCTAAACCCTGTTGAAAAATAAGCATGGAGTACTAATTGTCTAAGGAATTTAAAAATATGCCTGAAGCCATCCTGGTGGCTAAGAAAAGGCTCATTTGTGGCTTCATTTGCCTATGTATTAAAAAGCAACACTCCCCTAAAAAGTGAGACAGGCCTGTCATAGGTTAGAATTGAAGCTGAAATTCTCAGAAATATGAACAAGTCATATCCAAAATGGGCTGCCTATAGCAAAGAAGTGAGACAAGCAGTTGGAGGACAAAAGAAGAAAATGTTAGAATGTGTTTTTAAAATATAAAAATATAATCATTCCTAGTTTTGGATTAAAAGTGAAAGGTGTGCAACTCTTCCTTTCACGCGAACACTTCAGGGTCATTGTGGGGTTATAAATGGCCTAATTTCAATAATGTTGTTTCACAGAGGATAGGGAATTCAGAGGAGAGGGAGAGGGTAGTCAGTGGAGCAGTCAGAAGACACCCATTTATCGATTAAGTTTCATTACATTCACCACCTTGGATAGGCTCTGTTCATGATGCTCCAATCACAATAGTAACATCAAGCTCACTGATCACAGATCACCGTAACTGACATAATAATAATAAAAGTTTGAAACATTGCAAGAATTATCAAAATGTGTCACAAAGACACAAAGTGAGCACATGCTATCAGAAAAATTGTTCTCATAGACTTGCATGATGCACGGTTATTACAAACCTTCAAACTATAAAAAATGCAGTATCTGTGAAGCACAATAAAGTGAAGTACAATAAAATGAGCTATGCCTTTCTTCTTTTTGTTGCAATAGTCACAACTGGGCCCACAATATATCCAAGGTATTCCTATAATTAAGAAGACTTCTCAAAATATGGATCCATGTCCACCATTGCTAACGCTGTAACTAACTCTATATGAATATTACACCTGTAGGTATCAGTGCATGAGAATTTGATGCCATCTTTGATTTGTTCTTTTTGTCTTTTTAAGTATCTTTTTCATAAATGACAGTCATTTAATCTAATATGGAAATAAACTCAACTTAGGACCCCTTCTTTGATCCATTGTGTTACAAATTTTAAATTATGACATAAGCCAAAGTTTTCAACAATCAAAAGAAAATTTAATCACATTGTTCACTAAAACCTATCATTAATTAAAATAGTTTAGTGAAAGAAAAAAGTTTTTAAACAGCCAAAATTAAAATAAATCTATCCTAAACATTTTTATCATCTTCTGTATTTTTATCTGACAATAATATACATAATATGTCAGAATGTAGTAACGTATATAACTGACAAGTAAATATAGGTTTCGTAGAGCTTAGAACTCAAAATTTTGAAATCTCGTGGTTCAGAATCTTGCTTGTTACGTGAGCATCTACTTGTAAAGGGTATTTTTTGGCTTCCTTACATTACATAAACAGAATTTATTAAACTATGCTCCTCAATAAGTTAACCTTTCATTTGGAAAAAGAAGGCGGAATTTAATAAGTCAAACCAGTTTTGTTATTCTTTAATCTAGACATGTCAAGGCCACCAATATGCTAACATGTTGAGTGTATCTCCAAGTGGAGGATTGACCATGCTTCATTTCCTAGTTTTATTAGTCCAGAAACTCTATTTTCACAAGCAATCTCATGTAATTGGCATTCCAAATAACACATTCTAGAAGACACTGGAAAATACACTTTGATTTTACTTATTTGTTTATAGGAACTAATAAATATTTCTGTAGTTCTAATCCTTAGCTAAATGATAATGAAAGTAAACCCAAGCTATGTAGCTTCTCTGTCTACTTTGTAAATTAAATAACCTTTCCTCCAGTAAACCTCTCTTTACCTATGTTTAAACTGTTTAAACTCCTAATTGTTCCAATCTACCAAGTTCTTCCATCACTTTTTCTCTTCTCTGATTATGAGCCTCTTATCATCTCATTTTTAACACCTTTCTTTCTTCTACTACATTCAATTTATACCTGCATACTGTCCTGCTGCTTCATGACTAGACTATGGCTAAAGTATTTATTATCTAATAAAATAACTCATAATTATTTCTAGATGTTATGAACTTCTTTATAGTTGCTCTCAAGCCTCAGATCTAGAAAGACAGGCTAAACTAAAATCGGGAGATTAAAAATATATGGAAGCAGAGAGCAAGTAACTTTAGGTAAGAGTCCAAGATAGAGCCTATAATCAATCCAAACATGCCAGAAACATGTTTTACTGCGGAGCTGGTCGTACAGTGTGGGTAGGGCCTTAGGAACCTAAACACAAGTCTTGTTAAGAAAGATGCATTTTCATAAAGTCTGTAATAACATAACTCAGTGGAGTGAGTAATATTGTAATTTAAGCCAATATGGCAGTATCAAGTGCGAAAGCGGCTTCAGAGCCAAGCTTGGGTAGTGGGTTCCTTAAGGTTATTTCAAATCCTGATAAAGAGGCAGCTGCTTCATTGAATGTTTATGGCTGGCTTTGAATTTCCGCTCCAGAGCTCTGCCACCTGGATCTCACAGTCCATTTTTCAGTGAGTTCTCAATATATGATGGCCACAAGCCAGATGGGTCTGTCAGCTGTTGTGACTCAATAACAATCCAATGCTCTGCTGTTGTGGGATTGTGAGCTCTTAGGTGTGATGCATGGATGGAAGTTCCCAGGCCACAGTTCTGGAAAACCTCACACAAACTCAGAAAGGCTATGCCATCTGATGATCTAGCAAAGTAACAAGTTTTGCATCAACAGGACTAGCATGTTGTCTCAAAACTAGTGAATGAACAATGTTAATCATGGTACAAAATGCAATATTGTTCAAAGTTAAAAACATGTGTCGAAGTCCAACAGAAAATAACTGTTATTATGAATGTAGTTAAACCATTGTGGGTAAAATTTCAAAGCAACAAAAGCGTGTTCAGCTCCCTAATTCCCATAAATCCTTTGAAAATATACTCCTTACTCAATAATTTTGTAATATGAAATAAATAGCAAACTTGATTTATAGGCTTCTCTACATTTTTTGTTGTCAGCTATATCCCACTTTCTCAGCTGATGGGAATTAATTCATAGCAGAAACACTTGGTGTACATTTCTTGTGCTCGGTGGTGGGCTTTGATGTCAGAAGCTCTGAATTTTCACAGCTTTAGGGTTCTGTTCAGTTTGAGCCTGAACATTTATTTGAAAGAAACTTACACTGGATAAATTTATTTATTATTTTAGGAATAAATTTTGTTGTGTACATTTGAAGTTTACAACACGATGTTATGGGATACCTATAGATATTAAAATGGCTAACTACAGTGAAGCAAATTAGCATATCTATCATCTCACAGAGTTAATTTCTTTTATGTGACAGAAGCAGCTAAAATCTACTTGTTTAACAAAAAAATCCTGGTACAATACAACCTCATTAACTATAGTCCTCATGTTGTTCATTGTATTTCTAGACTGGTTCATTCTACACATCTGCTATTTTGCTATCCTTTAACCTATGTCTCTCCATTTCCTACCCCTCACCCCCACCCATGGTGACTGATGTTTTATTTTGTATCTCTGTATATTTTACATATATATATATATATTCAGTTCTGGGATACATGTGCAGAACTTGCAGGTTTGTTACATAGGTATACATGTGCCATGGTGGTCCACTGCACCCATCATCCCGTCATCTACATTAGGTATTTCTCCTAATGCTATCCCTCCCCTTTCCTCCCACCCCACAACAGGCCCCCGTGTGTGATGTTCGCCTCCCTGTGCCCACATGTTCTCATTGTTCATCTCCCAATTATGAGTGAGAACATGTGGTGTTTGATTTTCTGTTCCAGTGTTAGCTTGCTGAGAATGATGGTTTCCAGTTTCACCTATGTCCCTGCAAAGAACATGAACTCATTCTTTTTTATGGCTGCATAGTATTCCATGATGTATATGTGCCACATTTTCTTTATCCAGTCTATCGTTGATGGGCATTTGGGTCGGTTCAAAGTCTTTGCTATTGTGAATAGTGCTGCAATAAACATATGTGTGCATGTGTCCTTATAATATAATAATTTATAATCCTTTGGGTATATACCCAGTAATGGGATGGCTGGGTCAAATGGTATTTCTAGTTCTAGATCCCTGAAGATTCGCCACACTGTCTTCCACAATGGTTGAACTATTTTACACTCCCACCAACAGTGTAAAAGCGTTCCTATTTCTCCACATCGTCTCCAGCATCTGTTGTTTCCTGACATTGTAATGATTGCCATTCTAACTAGGGTGAGATGGTATCTCACTGTGGTTTTGATTTGCATTTCTCTAATGACCAGTGATGATTAGCTTTTTCCCATATGTTTGTTGGCTGCATAAACATCTTCTTTTGAAAAGTGTCTGTTCATATTATTTTGAGATACGTCCCCTCAATACCTAATTTATTGAGAGTTTTTAGCATGAAGCATTGTTGAATTTTGTCAAAGGCCTTTTCTGCGTCTACTGAGATAATCATGTGGTTTTTGTCTTTGGTTCTGTTTATATGCTGGATTACATTTATTGATTTGCGTATATTGAACCAGCCTTGCATCCCAGGAATGAAGCCCACTTGATCATGGTGGATAAGCTTTTTGATGTGCTGCTGGATTCAGTTTGCCAGTATTTTATTGAGGATTTTTGCATCAATGTTCATCAAGGATATTGGTCTAAAATTCTGAAGAGCTATCTATGACAAACCCATAGCCAATATCATACTGAATGGGCAAAAACTGGAAGCATTCCCTTTGAAAACTGGCACAAGACAGGGATGCCCTCTCTCACCACTTCTATTCAACATAGTGTTGGAAGTTCTGGCCTGGGCAATTAGGCAGGAGAAGGAAATAAAGGGTATTCAATTAGGAAAAGAGGAAGTCCAATTGTCCCTGTTTGCAGATGACATGATTGTGTATCTAGAAAACCCCATTGTCTCAGCCCAAAATCTCCTTAAGCTGATAAGCAATTTCAGCAAAGTCTCAGGATACAAAATCAATGTACAAAAATCACAAGCATTCTTATACACCAATAACAGACAAACAGAGAGCCAAATCATGAGTGAACTCCCACTCACAATTGCTTCAAAGAGAATAAAATACCTAGGAATCCAACTTACAAGGGATGTGAAGGACCTCTTCAAGGAGAACTACAAACCACTGCTCAACGAAATAAAAGATGATACAAAGAAATGCATGAACATTCCATGCTCATGGGTAGGAAGAATCAATATTGTGAAAATGGCCATACTGCCCAAGGTAATTTATACACTCAATGCCATCCCCATCAAGCTACCAATGACTTTCTTCACAGAATTGGAAAAAACTACTTTAAAGTTCATATGGAACCAAAAAAGAGCCTGCATTGCCAAGTCAATCATAAGCCAAAAGAAAAAAGCTGGAGACATCACGCTACCTGACTTCAAACTATACTACAAGGCTACAGTAACCAGAACAGCATGGTACTGCTACCAAAACAGAGATATAGGTCAATGGAACAGAACAGAGCCCTCAGAAATAACGCCGCATATCTACAACTATCTGATCTTTGACAAACCTGAGAAAAACAAGCAATGGGGAAAGGATTCCCTATTTAATAAATGGTGCTGGGAAAACTGGCTAGCCATATGTAGAAAGCTGAAACTGGATCCCTTCTTTACACCTTATACAAAAATTAATTCAAAATGGATTAAGGACTTAAATGTTAGACCTAAAACCATAAAAACCCTACAAGAAAACCTAGGCATTACCATTCAGGACATAGGCATGGGCAAGGACTTCATGTCTAAAACACCAAAAGCAATGGCAACAAAAGCCAAAATTGACAAATGGGATCTAATTAAACTAAAGAGCTTCTGCACAGCAAAAGAAACTACCATCAGAGTGAACAGGCAACCCACAAAATGGGAGAAAATTTTCGCAAGCTACTCATCTGACAAAGGGCTAATATCCAGAATCTACAATGAACTCAAACAAATTTACAAGAAAAAATCAAACAACCCAATCAAAAAGTGGGCAAAGGACATGAACAGACACTTCTCAAAAGAGTACATTTATGCAGCCAAAAAACACATGAAAAAATGCTCATCATCACTGGCCATCAGAGAAATGCAAATCAAAACCACAATGAGATACCATCTCACCCCAGTTAGAATGGCAATCATTAAAAAGTCAGGAAACAGCAAATGCTGGAGAGGATGTGGAGAAATAGGAACACTTTTACACTGTTGGTGGGACTGTAAACTAGTTCAACCCTTGTGGAAGTCACTGTGGCGATTCCTCAGGCATCTAGAACTAGAAATACCATTTGACCCAGCCATCCCATTACTGGGTATATACCCAAAGGACTGTAAATCATGCTGCTATAAAGACACATGTGCACGTATGTTTATTGTGGCACTATTCACAATAACAAAGACTTGGAACCAACCCAAATGTCCAACAATGATAGACTGGATTAAGAAAATGTGGCACATATACACCATGGAATACTATGCAGCCATAAAAAATGATGAGTTCATGTCCTTTGTAGGGACATGGATGAAATTGGAAATCACCATTCTCAGTAAACTATCGCAAGGACAAAAAACAAAACACTGCATGTTCTCACTCATAGGTGGGAATTGAACAATGAGAACACATGGACACAGGAAGGGGAACATCACACTCTGGAGACTGTTGTGGGGTAGGGGTAGGGGGTAGGGATAGCATTAGGAGATATACCTAATGCTAAACGACGAGTTAATGGGTGCAGCACATCAGCATGGCACATGTATACATATGTAACTAACCTGCACATTGTGCACATGTACCCTAAAACTTAAAGCATAATAATAATAACAAAATAAAAAAAGAAAAGTATCTGTTCATATCCTTTGCCCACTTTTTGATGGGGTTTTCTTTTTCTTGTAAATTTGTTTATGTTCCTTATAGATTCTGGATATTAGCCCTTTGTCAGATGGATAGATCGCAAAAATTTTACCCCATTTTGTAGGTTGCCTGTTCACTCTGGTGATAGTTTCTGTTGTTGTGCAAAAGCTCTTTAGTTTAATTAGATCCCATTTGTCAATTTTGGCTTTTGTTGCCATTGCTTTTGGTGTTTTAGTCATGAAGTCTTTGCCCAGGCCTATGTCCTGAATGGTATTGCCAAGGTTTTCTTCTAGGATTTTTATGGTTTTAGGTCCTATGTTTAAATCTTTAATCCATCTTGAGTTAAGTTTTGTATAAGGTGTAAGGAAGGGATCCAGTTTCAGTTTTCTGCATATGGCTGGCCAGTTTTCCCAACACCATTTATTCAATAGGGAATCCTTTCCCCATCGCTTGTTTTTGTCAGGTTTGTCAAAGATCAGATGGTTGTAGATGCGTGGTGTTATTTTTGAGGCCTCTGTTCTGTTCCATTGGTCCAAATGCCTGTTTTGTTTTGGTACCAGTACCATGCTGTTTCGGTTACTGTAGCCTTGTAGTATAGTTTGAAGTCAGATAGCGTGATGCCTCCAGCTTTATTCTTTTTGCCTAGCATTGTCTTGGCTATACGGGCTCTTTTTTGGTTTCATATGAAATTTAAAGTAGTTTTTTTCTAATTCTGTGAAGAAAGTCAATGGTAGCTTGATGGTGATCGCATTGAACCTATCAATTATTTTGGGCAGTCTGGCCATTTTCCCAATATTGATTCTTCCTATCCATGAGCATGGAAGATTTTTCCATTTGTGTGTGTCCTTTCTTATTTCCTTGAGCAGTGATTTGTAGTTCTCTTGAAGAGGTCCTTCACATCCATTGTAAGTGGTATTCCTAGGTATTTTATTCTCTTTGTAGCAATTGTGAATGGGAGTTTGCTCATGATTTGCCTCTCTGTTTGTCCATTATTGGTGTATAGGAATGCTTATGATTTTTGCACATTGATTTAGTATCCTGAGACTTTGCCGAAGTTGCTTATCAGCTTAAGGAGGTTTCGGGCTGAGACAATGGGGTTTTCTAAATATACAATCATGTCATCTGCAAACAGAGATAATTTAACTTTCTCTTTTCCTATTTGAATACCCTTCATTTCCTTCTCTTGCCTGATTGCCCTGGCCAGAACTGCCAATATTATGTTGAATAGGAGTGGTGAGAGAGGGCATCCTTGTCTTGTGCCGGTTTTCAAAGGAACGCTTCCAGCTTTTGCCCCTTCAGTATGATATTGGCTGTGGGTTTGTCATAAATAGCTCTTATTATTTTGAGATATGTTCCATCGATACCTAGTTTATTGAGAGTTTCTAGCATGAAGGGGGATTGAATTTTATCAGAGGCATTTTCTTCATCTATTGAGATAATCATGTGTTGTTTGTCATTGGTTCTGTTTATGTAATGGATTACATTTATTGACTTATGTATGTTAAACCAGCCTTGCATCCCAGGGATGAAGCCAACTTGATTTTGATGGATAAGCTTTTTAATATGCTGCTAGATTCATTTTTCCAGTTTTTTATTGAGGATTTTCGCATCGAGGTTCATCAGGGATATCTGCCTGAAATTTTCTTTTTTTGTTGTGTCTCTGCCACGTTTTGGTATCAGGATGATGCTGGCCTCATAAAATGAGTTATGGAGGAGTCCCTCTTTTTCTATTGTTTGGAATAGTTTCAGAAGGAATGGTACCAGCTCCTCTTTGTACCTCTGGTAGAATTTGCCTGTGAATCCATCCAGTCCTGGGCTTTTTATGGCTGGTAGGCTATTAATTACTGCCTCAATTTCAGAACTTGTTATTGGTCTATTCAGGGATTCAACTTTTCCTAGTTTACTCTTGGGAGGGTGTATGTGTCCAGAAATTTATCCATTTCTTCTAGATTTTCTATTTCTATTTCATTTGTGTAAAGGTGCTTATCGTATTCTCTGATGGTAGTTTGTATTTCTGTGGGATCAGTGGTGATCTTCCCTCTATCATTTGTTATTGTGTCTATTTGATTCTTCCCTCTTTTCTTCTTTATTATTCTGGCTAGTGGTCTATTTTGTTAATCTTTTCAAAAAACCAACTCCTGGACTCATTGTTTTTTTGACGGGTTTTTCTTGTCTCTATCTCCTTGAGTTCTGCTCTGATCTTAGTTATTTCTTGTCTTCTGCTAGCTTTTGAATTTGTTTCCTCTTGCTTCTCTAGTTCTTTTAATGGTGATGTTAGGGTGTAGATTTTAGATCTTTCCACTTTCTCCTGTGGGCATTTAGTGCTATAAAGTTCCCTCTACACACTGCTTTAGCTGTGTCCCAGATATTCTGCTATGTTGTGTTTTTGTTCTCATTGGTTTCAAAGGACTTATTTATTTCTGTCTTAATTCTGTTATTTACCTAGTAGTCATTCAGGAGCAGATTGTTCAGTTTCCATGTAGTTGTGCAGTTTTGAGGGAGTTTCTTAATCCTGAGTTCTAATTTGATTGCACAGGGGTCTGAGAGACTGTTATGATTTCTGTTCTTTTGCATTTGTTGAGGAGTGCTTTACTTCCATTATGTGGTCGATTTCAGAATAAGTGCTATGTGGTGCTGAGAAGAATGTATATTCTGTTGATTTGGGGTGGAGAGTTCTGTAGACGTCTATTAGGTCTGCTTGGTCCAGAGCTGAGTTCAAGTCCTGAATCTCCTTGATAATTTTCTGTCTCTTTGATCTGTCTAATATTGACAGTGGGGTGTTAAAGTCTTCCACTATTGTTTGGGAGTCTAAGTGTCTTTGCAGGTCTCTAAGAACTTGCTTTATGAATCTGTGTGCTCCTGTATCAGGTGCATATGTATTTAGGATAGTTTAACCCTTCTTGTTGCATTGATCCCTTTACCATTATGTAATGCCCTTCTTTGACTTTTTTATCTTTATTGGTTTAAAGTCTGTTATATTAGAGACTCCGCGCTTTTTTTTTCTTTCTTTTTTTTTTTTTTTTTTTTTTTTTTGCTTTCCATTTGCTTGGTAAATCTTCCTCCATCCCTTATTTTGAGCCTATGTGTGTCTTTGCACTTGAGATGGGTCTCCTGAATACACCACACCAATGGGTCTTGACTCTATCCAATTTGCCAGTTTGCGCTTTTTGATTGGGGCATTTAGCCTGTTTACATTTAAAGTTAATTTTATTATGTGTGAATTTGATATCAGCATTATGATGGTAGTGAGTTATTTTGCCCATTAGTTGATGCAGTTTCTTCATAGTGTCAATGGTCTTTACATTTTGGCTTGTTTTTGCAGTGGCTGGTACCGGTTTTTCCTTTCCATATTTAGTGCTTCCTTCAGGAGCTCTTCTAAGGCAGGCCTGGTGGTGACAAAATCCCTCAGCATTTGCTTGTCTGTAAAGGATTTTATTTCTCCTTCATTTGGCTGAATATGAAATTCTGGGTTGAAAATTATTTTCCTTAAGAAGGTTGAATATTGGCCCCCACTCTCTTCTGGCTTGCAGGGTTTCTGCTGAAAGATCTGCTGTTAGTCTGATGGGATTCCCTTTGTGGGTAACCCAACCCTTCTCTCCGGCTGCCCTTAACATTTTTTCCTTCATTTCTACTTTGGTGAATCTGACAATTATGTGTCTTGGGGTAGCTCTTCTCAAGGAGTATCTTTGTGGTGTTCTCTGTATTTCCTGAATTTGAATGTTGGCCAGTCTTTCTAGGCTGGGGAAGTTCTGCTGGATAATATCCTGAAGAGTGTTTTCCAACTTGGTTCCATTCTCCTCATCACTTTCAGGTACACCGATCAAATGTAGGTTTGGTCTTTTCACATAGTTCCATATCTCTTGGAGGACTTATTTGTTCCTTTTCATTCTTTTTTCTCTTATCTTGTCTTCACACTTTATTTCATTAAGTTGCTCTTCAATCTCTGATATCCCTTATTCCACTTGATCGATTTAGCTATTGATACTTGTGTATGCATCATGAAGTTTTCGTGCTGTGTTTTTCAGCTCCATCAGGTCATTTATGTCCTTCTCTAAACTGGTTATTCTAGTTAGCAACTCCTCTAACCTTTTGTCAAGGTTCTTAGCTTCCTTGCATCGTGTTAGAACATGCTCCGTTAGCTTGGAGGAGTTTGTTATTACCCACCTTCTGAAGTCTACTTCTGACAATTCGTCAAACTCACTCTCCGTCCACTTTTGTTCCCTTGCTGGTGAGGACTGTGGTCCTTTGGAGGAAATAAGGCATTCTGGTTTTTGGAATTTTCAGCCTTTTTGCACTGGTTTATCCTCATCTTCATGGATTTATCAAACTTTGGTCTTTGCTGTTGGTAACCTATGGATGAAGTTTTTGAGTGGTTGTCCTTTTTGTCAAGGTTGATGCTATTGCTTTCTGTTTCTTAGTTTTCCTTCTAACAGTCAGGCCCCTCTTCTGCAAGTCTGCTGGAGTTTGCTGGGGGTCCACTCCAGACCTTGTTTGCCTGGGTATCACCAGTGGAGGCTACAGAACAGCAATGATTGCTGCCTGATCCTTCCTGTGGAAGTTTCATCCCAGAGGGGCACCCACCACCTGCTAGCCAGAGCTCTCCTGTATGAGGTGTCTGTCAAACCCTGCTGGGAGATGTCTCCCTGTCAGGATGCACAGGGGTCAGGGACCCACTTAAGGAGGCAGTCTGTCCCATAGCAGAGCTCAAGCACTGTGCTGGGAGATCTGCTGCTCTCTTCAGAGTTGGCAGGCAGGAACGTTTAAGTCTACTGAAGCTTCACCCACAGCTGCCCCTTCCCCCAGGTGCTCTGTCCCAGGGAGATGGGAGTTTTATCTATAATCCCCTGACTGGGGCTGCTGACTTTCTCTCAGAGATGCCCTGCCCAGAGAAGAGGAATCTAGAAAGGCAGTTTGGCTACAGTGGCTTTGCGGTGCTGCAGTGGGCTCCGTCCAGTCCAAACTTCCCGGTGGCTTTGTTTACACTGTGAGAGGCAAACAGCCTACTCAAGGCTCAGTAATGGTGGATGCCCCTCCCCCCACCAAGCTCGAGCATCTCAGGTCCACTTCAGACTGCCGTGCTGGCAGCGAGAATTTCAAGTCAGTGGGTCTTAGCTTGCTGGGCTCGGTGTGGGTGGGATCTGCTGAGCAAGACCACTTGCTTCCCTGACTTCAGCCCCCTTTCCAGGGGAGTAAACGGTTCTGTCTTGCTGGTGTTCCAGGTGCCACTGGAGTACAAAATAAAACTCCTGCAGCTATCTCAGTGTCTGCCCAAACGGCTGCCCAGTTTTCTGCTTGAAACCCAGGGCCCTTGTGGTATAGGCACCCAAGAGAATCTCCTGGTCTGTGGGTTGTTAAGACCATGGGAAAAGCGTAGTATCTGAGCCTGATAGCACCATCCTTCATGGCACAGTCCCTCATGGCCTCCCTTAGCTAGGGGAGGTTGTTCCCTGACCCTTTGTGCTTCCCAGGTGAGGCAATGCCCCACCCTGCTTTTGTTCATCCTCGGTGGGCTGCATCCATTGTCTAACCAGTCCCAATGAGATGAACCAGGTACCTTAGTTGGAAATGCAGAAATCACCCGCCTTCTGCATTCGTCTCTGGGAGCTGCAGACCAGAGTTGTTCCTATTCAGCCATCATGCCCGGGAATCCATATTTGACCTTTTATTTTATTTTTAGATTCCACATGTGAGTGAGGCAATGTACTATTTTTCTTTCTGTGTCTGGTTTATTTCCCTTAGCATAATGTCACACAGGTCTATTCCTTTTTTAAGACTGAATAACATTTCATTGCACATATATATGTACATATAGAATGTGTATATATATATATATATATACAATTACAATAGCTATAATATAATAGCTATTAGCTATTATATTAGCTATATAGTGCCCCATTGTTATTGTTATTATCCATTCATCTGTTGACAGACGTTTAGGTTGTTTCCATATTTTGGCTATTCTGAATATTGCTGCAGTGAACACAGAAGTGCAGGGATGATGATTTCATCTCCTTTGGGTATATACCCCAAAAAAGGGATTGCTGGGTAATATGGTAGTTCTATTTTTTAATTTCTTAGGAACCTCCAGATCATCTTCCATAACATTTGTACCAAGCTACATTCCCACTAACAATGTATTAGGGTCTCCTTTTCTCTGCAACCTTGCCAACATTTATTATCTCTTGTCCTTTTGATAACAGCCATTCAAACAGGTGTGAGGTGATATCTCATAGTGGTTTTAATTTTCATTTCCTTGATGAATGGTGGTACGGAGCACCTTTTTAAATACAGTCATACATCACCTAATGATGTGGACACATTCTGAGAAATGCACTGTTAGGTAATTTTGTTGTTTTTTGAACACCATAGAGTGCACTTACACAAACCTGATGCCATATGCTACTACATATTTAGGTTACATGGTATAGCCTATTGTTTCTACACTATAAACCTGTATAGGATGTTATTGTAGTAAAATACTGTAATCAAATGTAACGTAAGGATAAGTGTTTGTATATCTAAACATAGAAAAGGTACAGTAAAAACATGGTATAAAAGATAATAAGTGGTACACCTATATAGAGCACTTACCATGAATGGAGCTTGCTGAACTAGAAGCTGATCTGGGTGAGTCACTGAGTGAGCAATGAGTGAATGTGAAGGACTAGGACATTACTGTACACTACTGTAGACTTTATAAACACTGTACACTTGGGCTACACTAAACTTATTTTTACATTTTCTTTCTTCAATTATAAACTTACCCTACTTACTGTAACATTTTTACTTTATAAACTTGTTAATGGTTTTTATCTGTTTGACTCTTTTATAATAACACTTAGCTTAAAACAAAAGCACATTGTACAGCTGTACAAAAATATTTTCTATTTTTATCCCTATGCTATTAGCTTTGTTCTATGTTAAAATTATTTTACTTTTTTACTTTTAAATTTTCTTGTTAAAAACGAAGACATAAACATACATATTAGGCTAGGCCTACTCAGGGTCAAGATCATCCATATCACTGTCTCCTGCCTCCACATCTTGTCCCACTGGAAGGCCTTCAGCATCAATAACACATATGCTCTCATCTCCCATGACAACAATGCCTTCTTCTGGGTACTTCCTGAAGGACCTGCCTGATACTGTTTTACAATTAACATTGTTTTTAATAAATAGAAAAAGTACACTCTAAAATAATAATTTATAGTATAGTAAACACATAAACCAGTAATGGTCATTTATTATCATTTTGCTTTTGTAGCCTGAGCTTTTGATGTGATATCCAAAAAGTCATTGTCAGGCAATGTCAAGGAGATTTCACGTGATGTTCTCTTCTAGGAGTTTTATGGTTTTATGATTTCAGGTCTAACACTTAGGCCTTTCATTCATTTTGAGTTGATTTTTACATAGGTGTAAAATTGTGTCCAATTTTATCATTTTGCATGTGGAAATCAAGTTTTCACAGCACCTTTTACTGAGGAAACTATCCTTTTCCCATTGTGTTCTCTTGGTGCCCTTGTTGAAAATCAGTCGATCATATATGTTTGAATTTATCTGTGGGCTTTCTATCCTGTTTCTTGGGTCTATGGTTCTGTTTTAATGCTAGTATCATACTATTTTGATTACTATAGCTTTGGAATATAACTTTAAATCAGGATGTGCGATGCTTGATGCTTCCAACTTTGTCTTTGTTTTATTTTGGCTAGTCTGGTTTTTTGTGGTTCTATATAAATTTTAAAATTGTTTCTCTATTTCTATTTCTATTGTTTTTGCTATCTCTATGAAGAATGCCATTGGAATTTTGATAGGGATTGTGTTACATCTGCATACTGATTTGGGGTAGCAGGACATTTTAACAATTTTACTTCTTCCAATCCATGAGCACATGTTATCTTTCCAATTTTTGTGTCTTCTTCAATTTCTTTCATTTAAGTTTTATAATTTTCATTATATAAATGTTTCACCCCTTTGGTATTTTTTATGCTATTCTAAATGAAATTGTTTTCTTGATTTTTTTTTTCAGCTACATTTCTATTGGTGTATAGAAATGCTAATGATTTTTGTATGTTCCTTTTGTATCCTGCAACTTTACTGAATATCTTTATTTGTCATAGTGTGGTTTTTTTGTGAAATATTTAGGGATTTCTACAATACAATTATGTCATCTGCAAATACAGATAATCTTATTTCTTTCTTCTCAGTCTGGATGCCTTTATTTTTTCTTCTTCTCTGATTGCTCTTGCAGTATTGTATTGTACTTGCAGTACTATATTGAATAGAAGTGGTAAAGGTGTGCATTCCTACCTTGAACTGGATCTTAGTAGAAAACTTTCACTTGTTCCCCACTGATATGATGTTATCTGTGGATATTTCATAAATGACCTTTGTTATGTTGAGAAACTTTCTGTATCTAAACTGTTAAGAGTTTTTATGAAGAAAGAATGCTGAACTTTTGTCAAATGCTTTTCTCTGTGTCACTTGAGATGATCACGTATTTTCTTGCATTCTGTTAATATGATAAATCACATTGATTTAATTTTATATCATATTGATTAATTTTTAAAAAAGCTTTGCATGGCAGAGATAAATCTCACTTGGCCATGATGTGTAATCTTCTTGATGTGTTCTTGAATTCGGTTTGCTAATATTTTATTGAAGATGTTTGCATCAAAGATCATCAGAGATATTGGCCTGTAGTTTTGTTCTCTTGTGGTATCTTTTTCTGGTTTAAGTAGCAAAGTGATGCTGGCTTCGAAAATGTGTTTGGAAGTATTTCTGCTAGCTCTATTTTTTGCATACATTTAAGAAGTACTGATGATGATGCTTCTTTGAATTTTTGGTAGAATTCAACCAAAAAGCCACCTGGTCTTGGGCTTATAGGTTTTAAACTCTTCCATCTCTTTATTTGTTATTGATTTACTCAAACTTTCTATTACTTCCTGACTCAAACTTGGTAGGTTATATTTTTCTAGAAATTTATCAATGTCGTCTAGTTTATTCTATTTGTTGGCATAGAATTGTTCATAATAGTCCCTTATGACCCTTTTTATTTCTGATATATCTGTTATAATGTCTCCACTTTCATTTCTAATTTTATTTTTTGAGTCTTCTCTCTTTTTTTTCTTAGTTGACAGATTTGATTATTTTGTTTAATTTCTCAAAAATCCAACTCTTGATTTTATTGATTTTTTTCTGTAGTTTTCTGTTTTCTATTTGATTTATTTTTTTCTCTGATCTTTATTATTTATTTCCTTCTACTAACTTTGGGTTTAGTTTGTTCTTTTTCTAGCCCCTTGAAGCATAATGTTGGGCTATGTTTTGGGGATATTTCTTCATTTTTAATGTAGGCACTTATTGCTATCAACTTCCCTCTTAGAATTGCTTTTGCTGTTGCTGTATCCCATAGGTTGGGATATGTTGTGCTTCCATTGCCATTTGTCTCAAGAAATTTTTTAAGTTTTCTCTTATTTTTTTTCTTTAACCTTGGTTTTTCAGAAGCATGTTGTTTAATTTCCACATATTTGTAAATTTTCCAAGATTCTTCCTGTTGCTGATTTCCACTATGAAACTACAATGGTACTATTCTGGTTGGAGACAATACTAGATATAATTTCAATATCTTTTAATTTGCTAAGACTTGTTTCGTGGCCTAACATATGGTGTATACTGAAGTACATCTCATGAATGTTAAAGAAGAATATATATTCTGCTACTGTCAGATGAAAAACTCTATATGTGTCTCTAAGGTCCAATTGGTGTAAAGTTCAGTTCCGTTCCAGAATTTCCTTGTGAACCTTCTGTCCAGCTGATCTATCCATTATTGAAAGTGGGATATTAAAGTACCCTAGTATTATTGTATTGCTATCTATTTCTTCCCTCATGTTCATTAAAATTCGCTTTATATATTTATGTGATTTTATGTTGAGTGCATCTACATTTATAATTATGAAAATTGTAAATATTGTGATTACAAATTATAAATTGTCTTCTTGATGAGTTGACTCCTTTATTATTAAATAATGACCCTTTTGTCTGTTATAACAGTTCTTGACTTAATGTCTATTTTAACTGATATAAATAAAACCACCTCAGCTTTTTTCTAGTTACTAGTGGCCTGTAATATCTTCTTCTATCTCACTTTCAAACTTTATTTATCCTTAAAACAAAAATGGTCTCTTGTAAGCACAATATAGTTGCATCTTCTTTTTTTAAATCCATTCAGCCACTTTTTTGTCTTCTAATAAGAGAGTTTAATCTATTTACATTTAAGTTTTTTAATGATAGGTAAGGATTTATTGCTGCCATTTTGTTGACATTGTTAGATCACTTTTCTTTCTTCCTCTCTTATTGTTCACCTTGGTGATTTGGTGATTTTCTGTAGTGCTAATTTTTATTTTTTTTTTTCTCTTTCTTGTTCGTGTATGTGCTGTAGTTTTTTGCTTTGTAGTTATCATGGGGTTTACATAAAATATCTTATACTTACAATAAGCTATTTTTAGCTGATAACAACTTAATTTGGGTCACATCAAATATTTTATCCTCCTCATTATGATTTATAATAGGGTTACCACAATTTGCATTCTTTTGTATTGTATATTCCTTAGCAACTTATGGTAACTATAGTTACTTATTTTTACCATTTTGACTTTTAACCTTCATACTAGAGATTTGAAAGATTTACCCACCACCATTTCTGTCACAGAGCATTTTGAATTTGATTATGAATTTACCTCTGCCAATGAGTTTTATTTCATACATTTTCATATTAGTAATTATCATGCTTTCATTTCTGGTTGAAACACTCCCTTAGGCATATCATGTAAGGCAGTTCTAGTGGTAATGAATTCCCTCAACTTTTGTTTGTCTAGGAAATACTTTATTTCTCCTTCATTTCTGTAGGACAGTTTTACTAGATAGAGTATTCTTGACTGGCAGATTTTTCTTTCAGCATTTTGAATATATCATCCCATTTTCTCCTGGCCTGAAAAGTTTCTGCTGAGAAATCTGTGGATAGACTAAAGGAGATTTTCTTCTCTGTCATTTAATGATATTCTCTTGTTGCTTTTAAATTTTTCTTTGTCTTTGACTTTTGACATTTTGATTATAATGTGCCTCAATATGGACCTCTTTGAGTTGAACCTGTTTGTGGTTTGAGCCAAATGGATCTGGATACCCAAATCGCTTCCAAGACTTGAGAAGTTTTCCATAATTATTTTGTTAAATAATGTTTCTGTGACCTTCACCATCTCTTTGTACTCTGGAATTCCCATAATGCAAATCTTTGTTTGCTTAATGGTATCCCATAAGTCCTATAGGCTTTCTTCACTCTTTTTTTAAACTTGTTTTTTTCCATGGATTAGTTGATTTCGAAAGACCTGTCTTCAAGTTCAAAGATTCTTCCTTCTCCTTTATGTAATTTACTGTGACTCTCAATCGTTTTTTTCTATTTCATTCATAGTGTTCCTCAGCTCCAAGATCTCTGTTGGTTCTTTTCTATAACATCTTTTTGTTGAATTTTTCATTTTTATTATGAATTGTTTTTCTAATTTCATTAAATTGTCTATCTGTATTCTCCTGTATCTTACTGAGTATCCTTAAAGCATTGTTTCAAATTCCTTTTCAAATAATTCATAGATTTTCATTTCTTTGAGGTTAGTTACTAGAGCATTATTGTGTTCCTTAAAGCAGGGAACAGCTGCAATTTGGGCTCCAAGATACAACAGGGCACAGTGGTAACTCGAGCAACAGGAGAAATTACACCACACAGTGGTGACTCTGGACACTGGAGTGGTAGGATACAGCACTGGCTCAAACTTTGTGATGCCAAGTGTGATGATAGAAAGGACCCAGGAATGGCAGGGTACAGCAGTGACTTGAACTCCAGAGGGTAAGAAGCAGTGTAATTATGGCCTAACTCAACCACTCAGACTTCAGTGGGATAGTCCAGATTCATGGAAGCAGGCCACTGCAGCTGTTCAGCCCAGACAGTGGGGTGGCACAGCTCATCCAAGGCTCTGTTTCCCTGAGTGTAAGGCACCACATCACTCAGGTGCCAGGGGGTACCTGGTCCAGCTCTTCTGGACCAGGCTCTGGATATCTGAGAGGTCTGATGCTATATGGGCTCAAGCGCCAGTGTCACAGCTACTCCCCTGGGCTGAAGCTCTGATTCAGAGAGGCAAGGTACTGGGTTGCTTCAAGTGCTGAGGGCACAGCTACTCTGAAAGGCACGTGCATCTGGTTTCCAGGGAACAAGGTTCCATATGGGCTTGAGTGTCAGGCTTTCAGCTGCTCTCAGGGCCAAAACTGCGATTCCCTGGGGGTGGGGAATCAGATTGGTTAAAGCTGAGGGGCCTTGACTGCTCCACAGGCTTAGGTACAGCTTTTCCACTAGATGAGAGCACCTGGTCTCCTAAGGGCAAGGCACAGCATGGGCTTCGATGCTGGGGTCATGGCTGCTTCCCTATGCTGAAGCTCTGATTCCTGCGGAACAGGGAACTGAATTGGTTTGGGCACTTGGAGCACAGTTTCTTTGCTGGGCCTGTGGTTTCAAGTAGCAGGTTGAGGTGCAGCAGCAACAGGGATGGGGGAGGTAGAGTGATTCCTGGGCAGTATAGCTGGAGAATGTGGTGCAGTACTGTGTGTCTATGTGAAGCCATAACAGCAGAATCTCTGGGATGGAGGGATGCAATGGCTACTAGTCCCTGGAGCAGGGTACACTCTAAGAGGGGCTGTGGTTTGAAAATGGAACCTTGCAGTAGGAGGTTGGAAAACAAGGAGCAGGGCACAATGTGGGCTCCTCCCCTGGAGTAATGCAGCTGTATGAACTCCAGGCAGCTCCCTAAACTGGACTCAGTGCCTGTGAGGACTGTAGGCTTCTCCAGTAGTGAAGACTGCAAATGCCTGTGGTGGTGATGAGGGTCTCTCAGGGCCTCTTGCTTACCTCTTCCTTAGAGAGAGAAGGCCCTCCTGGTTTCTGAGTTGATCCCAACTCGGGGAATGGGCTGGCAGAAGCAAGGTGTTTCAACCCCTTTTCTATGAAGCCATCCTGAGTTTCCATGCCACACAGAGTTTCTGCCACTCCCTTGCTATACTTCAGCACTCTCCTTTAGTCACTCTGGTCAAAATGTAGTTATTTGTTTACTGTTTTGGTCCATTTTTGTGAGGATGGGAATAAGCATTAAGCACCTTCAATCAACCATCTTATTCTTATTGGATAAATTTAAAATTACACATGGACATGATGTTACAAATTTAACCCCTGGGGAATTCTGATGCTGTCTTTAAAATAATAAGATACATAGCATTTTCTTTAATTTAATGTCTCCAATTATTAAATACTCCTGATTTCAGAGAGATTGATTTTTTATAAACATGCATCTTAGAATTGATGAAACTTTTAAATATAATGGCTACAGATCAAAAGTGACATAATTTTTTATAGTAGCCATAGCCATTCTGACTGGAGTGAGGTGCTATCTCGTAATTTTGATTTGCATTTCCCTGATGATTAGTGATGTTGAGTATTCTTTAATATATCTTGTATTAGTCCATTTTCACACTGCTGATAAAGACATACCCAAGACTGGGAAGAAAAAGAGGTTTAACAGACTTACAGTTCCACATGGCTCAGGAGGCCTCATAATCATGGTGGAAGGCATGTAGGAGCAAGTCACATCATACATGGATGGCTGCAAGCAGAAAAAGAGAGAGCTTGTGTAGGGAAACTCCCATTTTTAAACCCACCTGATCCTGTGAGTTTCATTCACTATCACAAGAACAGAGCAGGAAAGATCTGCCCCAATAATTCAATTAACTCCCATTGGTTCCTCTCATGACTCTTGGGAATTGGGGGAGTTACATTCAAGATGAGATTTGGGTGGGGACATAGCCAAACCATATCATATCTGTTGTCGATTTGCATGTCTTCTTTTAAGAAATATCTATTTTGATATTTTTTCTTATTTTTAATCTTTTGTTTTTGTTTTTGAGTTGTTTGAATTCCTTGTATATTTTAGACATTAAATTTGCCATACGTATAGCTTGCAAATGTAGTCTCCCATTCTGTTGGCTATCTCTTGCTCTGTTGATTATTTCCATTGTTGTGTAGAAGGTTTTCAGTTTGATGTAATCTTATTTGCCTATATTTGATTTTGTTTGTCTGTCCTTTTGAGGTTGTATATTAAAAAACATCTTTGCATAGACCAATCTCACAGAGCTTTTCCCTTATGTTTTCCTCTAGCACTTTTGTATTTCTGTGAAGGATGCCATCGGTATTTTGTTAGAGATTGTGTTAAATTAGTGTATTGCTTTGAGGTATATGGTCATTTTAAAAATATTAATTCTTCGAGTCCATGAACATGAGATATCTTTTCATTTTTTTGTGTGTTTTTTTCAATTAATTTTATTAATATTCTGTAATTTTCATTTTAGAGATCTTTTACCTGCTTGGTTAAGTAGCTACTATCAAAAAATCAAAAGATGACAAGTGTTGGTGAGGATGTAGAGAAAAAGGAACCTTTACATATTGCTAGTGGGGATATAAATTAGTACGTCCATTACAGAAAGCAGTATCAAAGTTCTTCAAAAAATTAAAAATAGAGCTACCCTATGATCCAGCAATCTCACTGCTGGGTAGAGAAAGAAGAAAAACAAGTATATCAAAGAGATATCTTCATTTTCATGTTTATCACAGCATTATTCACAATAGCCAAGATTTGGAATCAACCAAAATGTCTACCAATGGATGAATGGATTAAAAAATGTGGGGTATACATACATAGTGGAAGACTATCCAGCCAAAAATAAGAATGAAATCCTGTCATTTGTGGCAACATAGATAAACCTCGAGGACATTAAGTAAAATAAGCCATGTAAAGAAAGACATTGCATGATCTCATTCATGTATGAATGATAGAAAGTTATTTTCACATAAGTAAAGAGTAGAATAATGGTTACTATAGGATGAGGAAGAATGAGGTGAGGGGCAATGGTGAGAAACTGAGCAATAGGTATAAAGCTACAGCTAGATAGGAGGATTAAGTTCTGGCGTTCTATTGCAGAGTAGGATGGCTAAAATTAACAATAATGCATTAAACAATTCAAAATAGCTAGAAAAGGTCCTTCACATCCCTTGCAAGTTGGATTCCTAGGTATTTTATTCTCTTTGAAGCAATTGTGAATGGGAGTTCACTCATGATTTGGCTCTCTGTTTGTCTGTTATTGGTGTATAAGAATGCTTGTGATTTTTGCACATTGATTTTGTATCCTGAGACTTTGCTGGAGTTGCTTATCAGCTTAAGGAGATTTGGGGCTGAGACAATGGGGTTTTCTAGATATACAATCATGTCATCTGCAAACAGGGACAATTAGATTTCCTCTTTTCCTAATTGAATACTCTTTATTTCTTTCTCCTGCCGGATTGTCCTGGCCAGAACTTCCAACACTATGTTGAACAGGAGTGGTGAGAGAGGGCATCCCTGTCTTGTGCCAGTCTTCAAAGGGAATGCTTCCAGTTTTTGCCCATTCAGTATGATATTGGCTGTGGGTTTGTCATAAATAGCTCTTACTATTTTGAGATACATTCCATCAATACCTAATTTATTGAGAGTTTTTAGCATGAAGGGTTGTTGAATTTTGTCAAAGGCCTTTTCTGCATCTACTAAGATAATCATGTGGTTTTTGTCTTTGGTTCTGTTTATATGCTGGATTACATTTATTGATTTGCGTATGTTGAACCAGCCTTGCATCCCAGGGATGAAGCCCACTTGAACATGGTGGATAAGCTTTTTGATGTGCTGCTGGATTGGATTGCCAGTATTTTATTGAGGATTTTTGCTTTGATGTTCATTAGGAATATTGGTATAAAATTCTTTTTTTGTTGTGTCTCTGCCAGGCTTTGGTATCAGGATGATGCTGGCCTCGTAAAAGGAGTTAGGAAGGATTCCCTCTTTTTATATTGATTGGAATAGTTTCAGAAGGAATGGTATCAGCTCCTCCTTGCACCTCTGGTAGAATTCGGCTGTGAATCCGTCTGTTCCTGGACTTTTTTTGGTTGGTAAGCTATTAATTATTGCCTCAATATCAGAGCCTCTTACTGGTCTATTAACAGATTCAACTTCTTCCTGGTTTAGTCTTGGGAGGGTGTATGTGTCGAGGAATTTATCCATTTCTTCTAGATTTTCTAGTTTATTTGCATAGAGATGTTTATAGTATTCTCTGATGGTAGTTTGTATTTCTGTGGGATCGGTGGTGATATCCCCTTTATCATTTTTATTGCATCTATTTGATTCTTCTCTCTACAAACCACTGCTCAACGAAATAAAAGAGGACACAAACAAATGAAAGAACATTCCATGCTCATGGATAGGAAGAATCAATATTGTGAAAATGGCCATACTGCCCAAGGTAATTTATAGATTCAATGCCATCCCCATCAAGCTACCAATTACTTTCTTCACAGAATTGGAAAAAACTTCTTTAAAGTTCATATGGAACCAAAAAAGAGCCCACATTGCCAAGACTAACCTAAGCCAAAAGAACAAAGCTGGAGGCATCACACTACCTGACTTCAAACTATACTACAAGGCTACAGTAACCAAAACAGCATGGTACTGGTACCAAAACAGAGATATAGATCAATGGAACAGAACAGAGCCCTCAGAAATAATACCACACATCTACAACTATCTGATCTTTGACAAACCTGAGAAAAACAAGAAATGGGGAAAGGATTCCCTATTTAACAAATGGTGCTGGGAAAAGTGGCTAGCCACATGTAGAAAGCTGAAACTGGATCCCTTCCTTACACCTTATACAAAAATTAATTCAACATGGATTGAAGACTTAAATGTTAGACCTGAAACCATAAAAACCCTAGAAGAAAACCTAGGCAATACAATTCAGGACATAGGCATGGGCAAGGACTTCATGTCTAAAACACCAAAAGCAATGGCAACAAAAGCCAAAATTGTCAAATGGGATCTAATTAAACTAAAGAGCTTTCTGCACAGCAAAAGAAACTATCATCAGAGTGAACTGGCAACCTACAAAATGGGAGAAAATTTTTGCAATCTACTTATCTGACAAAGGGCTAATATCCAGAATCTACAAAGAACTCAAACAAATTTACAAGAAAAAAACAAACAACTCCATCAAAAAGTGGGCAAAGGATATGAACAGACACTTCTCAAAAGAAGACATTTATACAGCCAAAAGACACATGAAAAAATGCTCATCATCACTGGCCATCAGAGAAATGCAAATCAAAACCACAATGAGATACCATCTCACACCAGTTAGAATGGTGATCATTAAAAAGTCAGGAAACAACAGGTGCTGGAGAGGATGTGGAGAAATAGGAACACTTTTACACTGTTGGTGGGACTGTAAACTAGTTCAACTGTTGTGGAAGACAGTGTGGCGATTCCTCAAGGATCTGGAACTAGAAATACCATTTGACCCAGCCATCCCATTACTGTGTATATACCCAAAGGAATATAAATCATGCTGCTACAAAGACACATGCACATGTATATTTATTGCGGCACTACTCACAATAGCAAAGACTTGGAACCAAGCCAAATGTCCAACAATGATAGACTGGATTAAGAAAATGTGGCACATATACACCATGGAATACTATGCAGCCATAAAAAATGATGAGTTCATGTCCTTTGTAGGGACATGGATGAAGCTGGAAACCATCATTCTCAGCAAACTATTGCCAACGACCAAAAACCAAACACCGCATGTTCTCACTCATAGGTGGGAATTGAACAATGAGAACACTTGGACACAGGAAGGGGAACATTGCACACTGGGGCCTGTTGTGGGGTGGGGGGAGGGGAGAGGGATAGCATTAGGAGATATACCTAATGTAAATAACGAGTTAATAGGTGCAGCACACCAACATGGCACGTGTATACATATGTAACAAACCTGCACGTTGTGCACATGTACCCTAGAACTTAAAGTATAATAAAAAATATATATATATAAATTTAAAAAATAGCTAGAAAATACGTTTTTGAATTTTCTCATTATGAGAAAATTAAAAATGTTTAAGGTAATAGATATGCTAATTATCCTCATTTGATCATTACACAATGTATACATACATTGAAACATCACATTGTACCCCATAAATATGTGCAATTATGTGTCAATTATAAATTAAAGAAAAACTGATTTATAAGCTCTCTATTACATTATTTAAAACTAACATATTTTCCTCAGGATTATCTATCTATATGTCTTTTTATATCAAATATATATATATATATATATATATATGGTTTCTGTGTTCATCCCCTATACATGTTGCCTCTAAAACGTATCTCGATTCTGTCTACATCTCTTCTTATCCACTCTTATCACCTATACCTGAGTCATAAACCAGTACCATCTCTATCTTGAACTATTAGACTGGCTACCTAACTGGTCTCCCTGTTTCCATTTTGCCTCCACAACCCATCTACCATAAAGCAGAAAACCTTAATTGGATCCTTTCAATAATCTCCCATTACCCTCACAATTAAATCTAAATTCCTCTCGACAGCTTACAAAGCTCTGAACAAATTTACATTTGCTTGTTTCTCCCACCTTCAATTTGTCCCTCAGCCACTCTCACTCTCTGTATTTCTGCTTCATCATTTTAGCCTTTTCTTAGCTGATACATCAAGGTTTATCTCCTTAGAACTTTGACCCATGTGACTCCTTTTACTTAGAGGGCTTCTCCACCCAACCTTGTTGGTGGTTGTATTCTCTTGGTCATTGTATTCTCTTGGTCCTCAGTATCTTGGCTTAGATGTTACTTCCTCAACAAGATTGTCCCTGCCATCCAATTTAAAACAAGTTCTCTTCCAACATTCTGTCTCAGCCCTCTAATTTTCCCTCATAGCACCTTTTTTATAACTGTGAATAATGCTTTTATTTATTTACTTACTCCTTATGATCTATCTATATGGAGCTATATTTTACATACATATATATATAAATAAAATAGATAACTATACTACCTATATGGAGCTTATCTATATGCTCCATATAAGCAGGGCCCGAGGCGATTTTGTTTAGAACTCCCTACCTAGTACCTAAAAGAGTAGTTTCTCAATAAATATTTATAGATAAATGTATAGTTTTGGATGCTATCACTGCTCACATTTACCACATATATCCTTTTCTCTCACTATATTATACTCATTATTGAAAACCTATTTATCACAGCCAAGAATTGCACTAAAAATTTATATGCATATAGATACATTCCTTTTTTTAAACAGCTAATATGATACGACTTCTTTTTACTATGTACTACCTTGCAGTGAAGATGAGGCCCTATTCAACTTTAAGTGCACATGTGAAAAATGTAGGATAATTATGGTATAGCAACATTTGACTCTTTCATTTTCCTCCTGTGTAGTTTTGGATTAAGATCCATTTGGACTGCATTGGTACACTGCCATGGAAGACATGAGAATAGGAAGTAAATGTAAAGAATAAAAGCCCAGAAGTAGATGCTTTGTATTCTAATCTTAGCTCTATCATTATAAGGATTTAAGATTTTGGGAAAATAATCACATTTCTTTGGTTCTCAGTTTGTTCTTTCTAAAATAGGTTTAAAAAATGTTTTTCAAGTCTCAAAAAGTATTGAAATTCTGAGACTAGTTTCATGAACTTTTCAGTTTGCTAATAATAAAATAACGATTGTCATTGTAGTAAAGGCTAGCATTTATGGAAGATTCATAATGTGTCCAGCATGATCTCATTAATCCTCACAACTTTCAGTTGAGAGTTTTACTACTGGTAATTCTTTTACAAAGATAAGGAAGCACAGAGATGTTGAGTAACTTGCGCAAGTTTTCATATCTCTAAGGGATGGTCAAGCAAGTGGCCTCGTCTAGGACCCCATCTTCTTAATCACTGAACTATGGTACATCTTCTGTAATAGTAATTTTACTCGTAATTGTTCCCTGCCAAGGGTGTTCCTAGGATGCTCAGAATTAACTTACAGGCTTACTGGTGACCTGCGCTCTCAGAAGTGTCAATTACACGTATGTGTTTATCTTGTTATGTCTCTTCAGAGCCTCAATAAGGGGAGCCTAAGCCCACTTACATCTCTTCGGTTTGGTCTCTGTAGTAGTGGTTGGTTGGTTTATGGATAAACTAGATCACATCTGCCTGGCAGTCCTGCCCAGCAGGTCTGGTCCACCCCAGCTATTTCTCAGATGTCTTTATTGATTTTTGCATTGCTTTTGGCTTGTTTTCAGCACATCACTTTAGTGTCTTACTTGACAGCCCTCTGGCCTATTCACTGTTGAATTGTTGTTCAGGAATGTGGTCACTTGCCCTGCCTACACAATAGAGCTGACTTTCTACTGTGCTCTGATCAGCTTGACACTTTAAAGGGGTGATCATATGAATGTGGTAGAAGTTTCCATGGCCGTGATTCAGTAATACCTAGCAAAATGGGTCACAGATTGCATCGATATTAACCAACCTATTTAGTTCAACTAATAGGTATAATTGAGCATTTACTATCAGGCCACCACAGAATTAGGAATACAGTGATAGATAGATAGATAGATAGATAGATAGATAGATAGATAGATAGATAGATTGACAGATATATATATATATATCCCTTAAAGAATGTATAATATTTCATGGGAAAATGTTTATTTAATAAAGATCTTAAATAACTATTAGGATAGTATAAGTTCAAGTGCTGGAATGAATGTTATAAACAATGTGTGCAGTTGGAATTTTTAAAAAGCATATGGCCATAAACAGGAGTTGATGGTGAATGCTTAATGGAACATATAAGGATATTTGGCCTACTATAGGAAGTAGTTTAGCATAGGGTTAAAAGCATGAGTAGGCCTAGTCAGAAGACTAAATTAAAATCTGAATTCCTCTATTCACTAACTGAATGGGTTTGGACATGTTACCAAATTTCTATAGATTCCAATTTAATTACTTGTAAAATGAGAATGGTAGTATTTACCTTATAAAGTTGTAATCAAGAATAAGGTGAATAATATACATATACACAATTTAGTGGTGCAATATAGATTTTACTAATTTCCATTGGCTTATATTATAAAGAATGGATAGTATTTGCATGAGAGGATGGGCCGGGAAAGAATTTCAGAAAAGGGAATAGTATGGATATGGCCAGGAGCTGGGAATGAACATAACAGGTGCCCAGGAAGGAGATAAAACCTGCTTCACTGGAATCTGTAATAGTCGAGTACCCTTAGATTCTCAGATACTCTGTTCCACTATTTGATTTTGGACAAAGAACAACACTAATGCTGCTGTAATTTACCAAGAATTTCACTCTGTCTACAAAAAGAATTAAATACTATTCTTAGTTTGAAGCATTGATTTTTGTCTGTGTGGCACATTGCTCCATTACCATTCCTGTCAGTCTTCCAAAAGATGCTCTCACTTTCTTAATACAAGTTGTTATCTCCCTGTCAAATGATGCCTCAATGCAAGGAACATTCCCAAGTTACACCAATACAGATACAAGTTTTAGCTTTGGACCACTGATAGGCTAGTAACCCAAAGGCAGGAAAAACTGTAATTTGTCTCTGCCCTTTACCTGGTATATGGTGCTCTGAATAATTTCTTTTCATTTTCATGAGATTGTCTTTGTGTCCTTTACAGTGCATTTTATCAGCAGCTACAATGAGATGTGCAATGAGAGAGTTAGAATATATTTGAGCCTTTCCATAAAGGCACGGATGAGAAACAGCAGGCTTGCTGCATAAAAGGCAGAGCTGAACTGCAACAAGCTAATCTCTTCATATTGGAAAATCACTCCTTCTTTCTTTTTGCGAACAATGGAAAATTCTTTCACAATTTCCATGGAGTCTGCAAAATGGAAATACAGTCAGACAGCCTATAAGAGAAATAGTGTTGATGTTTTCAGAAAGCTAATGTGAGCAACTAACCTTTTTATCTGAGAAACTCATAATACCTCCAGAGAGTCACATGGCTAGCAGATCCTTCCAACCAAGCTTTGCTTTAATCCTTTCTAATGCTTGCAGCATCCCTGTTCTGTCTACATTATTCCTCCCTTTTGGTCCAATGCACATAGAATGTGTGGAATCCTCTGTACAGTTTATGTTGCCAGGTATTCCATGCTTCACTGCCCTGCACCACTAAGCAATCTAATTATCCCACACTAGAGGTATTGTGGCAAAGGAAAAAGAAGGGTACTGCAAACTGTGGTGTTTTGGTGTGCACAGGCTTAAAGAGAGAAAGAGGTAGCAAGGTTTAATGGTTCTCACTCATACAATATAGAGCTTCTTGTGAGCACAGATAGTTTATCTGGATGGTACAGAGAGCATTTTGCAACTTCTGACTTAATATTCAAATGCTTAAGACTTGCACATGTTGCCACACATAACTTTGTCTATGCAATAGCAAAACATTTAGAGTAAAAGCAGAATGCAAACAAATCATCTAAAACTCTAGGATTTCGGAGATATGTAACAAAAGAGCCATGAGATTAGGTGAAATGTTTACATTCCTTTAGAATGTTTCGGCATCTCACATAGAGCCTCTGATGACTTAGCAGAGTAAAAGACAAAGAGCAGCCACCTTCTTTAGTTTCTAACTGGTAAATGTCTGCCTGCAATTTTTTTTAGGCCTTAGAAGGCCTCAAACAGACAGAGCTAGGGTATGGTGGGCTCCATTTCCCTCTCAGGCACTGACAGCGCTCAGCCCACACAGAATATCCTAATGCCACAGCAGTGCTCATAGACCAGAATGTGATCACAGACAATGGTAGAGAGACAATGGATCACCCTATCTTAATGCCACCCTTGGGAATTAAAATCCCATATTTTTTTTAAAAACTCATTTTTAATAAAGCCAAACAGCCCACTGATAATTTCTCTTTTTTGCTTAGAACACAACAACTTCTCAAATATTCTGTCTACAAGATTGGGAAGGACTGGTCATGCAACTGAACATTTGAGGGCATGTGAATATTGTGTCAGAATCTTTGCTTATGAAAATCCAATCTCTGCTGAGCCTCCAAACTTAAAAATTCTGCAGTCAAAGAAGACTTGAAAATGTATAAATCATGACTTTGCTCCTAGATATTTAGCCACAGTGATGAGGTGGTTAGCATCCCATACCACCTGCATCCTAATAGGCTATAAGCTATTTTGGTTTTTCTGAGGCTTCACTGAAAGCAAAGAGGATAGATAAGCAGAATGCTCTATCTTTAGTATTCAGGACTTAGAACTGCACTATAAGCCATCTCTTATGCCTTGCTGCCAGCACAGACTTGCAGGGGGATCCTACTATAATGAATAGCTTTAGAATAGTATCCAAAGTGTTCTTAAAGTAAGAGGTCACAGGCTGGTTAATGCCTGTAGTGCTCTTAACAGTTGTCTCTAGGTTCCTCATTGTTAGGAGTCCTGAGGTGATTGTAACTATGATAGTCATGGATAACACATGGAGAAGGTAGAGCTCATGCATGCCTTATATACTCAACAGCCATGCGCTTTGTTCTTGGCCAGTTTTTAACTATGCTTTAAGATTGTCTACCCCTAGTTAGACATATTTTTTTCTACTGTTGTCTTAGTCCTAGAAGTGTGATAGGGGAAGAGCTGACATCTGGCAGCACAGATCCTGTGGGACTTATAAAACTGACAGATGTCATATGTAAGAAGCTTGCTTTGCATTTGACACCCAATGATGTTATGAAAAAGTAATTCTTAATGCAAACTGAAAACCAGATTTTTAACATCCTTTTCAAAAACAAGTTGAAATTATAAAACATCTCTCTTACAACTTCTGTAAGAATGCTTGCTACATTCATGCTGCAAATAACATTGAAACATTTGTTATATATTGAATTCAGAGAAGAGTTCATAGAAAGCAGACTTTGGGTTTGACCTAGAGCTAATCTCTTTTAAATTGATCTTAGAGTTTCTTGCCTTGTTTTAAACAGAACCTAGGGAATGGTTAGTTTGGAAAGAAAAAAATAAGATATAGTTTCTTAATAACCAGTATGACATTTTTATTGTTCACATTCACCCTTAGCTACTTCTTGACACCCACAGGATAACAGTGCTGTTTCACAGATTCACAGTGGGGCACAAACAAGCTTGCATGGTTCTAAAGAGACACCTCTCCTTTCTGCTTCCTGGTCAACTCATGTGGGAAGGCCTGGAGCATAATTAGCGCTAATTAAGGAACCTCTCACTGTAGTGAAAACTCTTAATCTCTAGAGAAAGCAAAAGACGCCCTATAAAAATATTTCCTTCTTCCATCACATGTTAGCTTTGTATCGGGGCAACTTGACAATGGAGACCAATTGTGCAGAAGTATTAACTATATGTGCACATTTATCATCTAAATCTGCTTTCATTCAGCAAAGATGTATTGAGTGCTTATTATATGCTAAGCATCATTTCTAGTACTATGGATGGGGGAGAAATAAAAAAGACAAAAATCTCAGCCCTCAGGTAATTTTTATTCCAGTAGAGGAGACAAACTATAAGCAACAAAAATAAGTAAAATACAAATAATGCTAAATAGTGATAAGGAGAAAAAGAAAAGAGCCAGGCATGTGAAAGCAGGAAACGATTATTAAAATTTTAGGTAGGATACTTAGGAAGAATCACTGAGAAAACAATTTTTGAGTAAATAACTAAGGGAAGTGAAGAAGCAAGCTGTATTAGTTCATTCTTGCACTGCTATAAAGAACGACTTGAGACTGCGTAATTTATAAAGAAAAGAGGTTTAATTGGCTCATGGTTCTGCAGGCTGTACAGGAAGCACGGCTGGGGAGGCCTCAGGAAACTTGCAATCATGGTGGAAGGCAAAGGGGAAGCAGGCATGTCTTACATGGCAGCAGGAGGAAGAGAAAAGGGGGAGGTGCCACACACATTTAAACAACCAGATGTCATGAGAACTCACTATCACAAGAACAGCAAGGGAGAAATCTGACCCCATGATCCAATCACCTCCCACTAGGCCCTTCTTCCAATATTGGGGATGACAATGCAACAGGAGATTTGCATGGGGACACAAATCCAAACCATATCACAAGCCATGGAATTTATCTGGCGAAAGAGCACTCCAGTCAGAGAAAATAGCAAGTGCAAAATCCCTGAGGCATGGCATGTTTAAGGAATAGTAAAGACAGCCGTATGCACAGGGCAGAGCAAGTGGTGGCAGGTTGGGAGGAGAAGAGGTTAGAGGTCAGATTATGTAGGGCCCTCGGATCATTGTAAGAACTTCAACTTTTACTCTAAATGAGATGGGAAACTGGGAGAGGATTTCAAGCAAAGTAGTTACATGATCTTACCTACATTTTAACAATATTACACAGGCTGATGTGCTAAAACCAGACCGTATGATGATCAAGGCTAAGGGAACCAGGTAAGAGGCTAAGATAGAAGCAGAGGGGCCAGGTAAAAGCTTATTGCAATAAGAGATGATGGGTACCAGAGTGTTGATGGTATGGACTTGTGAGACAGGGTTGGATTCTAGATACATGCATATATATGGCTTTAAACAAACTTAATATTAGGCCAAGCTAACAATTATCAGAAAGCCCTTTTAGATACTCACAGGGCATGCAAGATACATGATGACGTCTTCTGCAAACATATGTAGTGAAAAGATCTATATAAATTCATATACATTCCCACACTTATTTACATTCCCTACTCGGGTTGCATATTTATTCTTAGTTATGCCATTAAAAGAAACATCTTAAATCAAACAAATTTGATGACTTAAATTTTGAGTTCCTCAGGAAATGCATATTAGATATACACATAATTTTGGAATACATTTTCATATTTAAGTATAATTACTAAATGGAAATTCACCATTGGCTTCTAATACCCTTAGTCTCTATAGCATTTCTCTGCCATAATTTGTGGAAAACATAAAACTCTGGTCCTCTTATACCACACCTGTCTCAGAGTATTAGTTTTTTAGTCTTAAACACAATGTTTTCAGACCTTTGTTTAGAAGTCATTGTTTGCAGAAGTGAGCTGCCTCACATAACATTACATTCCCTCCTTGGGGGACAGCTCACATCCAATGACTGGTCCATGCAGGGCACAAAGATACAGCCCTTGCTTCGATTCATAACCCTGAAAGGCCATGCCAACTCCAGAGCTACCCATGGACTTGGCCAAGGCCACTGTTGCAACTGCATCATAGTTTATGTTTTCCCTCCACCTGTCTTGCCTCTCTCAATCCCTCCCAGGCGTTGTTTCTAAGAGCACATAGCCAATAAACCTACAGCATGCAAATCTCCATCTCAGGGTTTGTTTTCTGGAGACTTAACCTAAGATATCATGACCTTATTTATACAACTGTTGCTTAATAAAATTGAATATTGAAACCACAGATACAGCCAAAGTATCAGCCACCTAAACATAATAACAATAACACGGACTTATCAAAAGGAATGACTGTTAACTAGTACTACTTAAATTTTAATTCTGATCTAATCTCCAAATTGCTTACTATATCAGTTCACGGTTTACCTTACGAAAAATACTTTTAAAAATGAGCAACTAATCTTCAAGACAAAATGGTTCACCACTGTAAAAAATATAAGTCCTACTTTGCAGACTACAGCAAACACATACAGAGAAATAAAAAGATATGTGTCTTAGAAGTCAGAAGTATATAACATAATTACCTGAGCATGCACATATCTTGGAAGGATATCAAGACAGTTGTATTTGAAATTATTCTCTAACTTCCACAGCAACTCAACCATTAATGAAATAACGAGCGCTACCAAAGTCTTTTACTGAAAGGAAAAAATGTGTGTGTGTGTGTGTGTGTGTGTGTGTTTCAAGTTCATATCTGCAGGGTGTATCTATTCATAGGTGACTATGCTTTGAAATGCTCTCTTGGCTGGAGATTCTTTCATGAAGTATTTTAAACACAAAGAAATGTTGCCTGCTATTGGAGACCCTGTATGCCACTGTCAGTTCACCTCCCTGAAAACAGAAGAGAGGTTTGTAATATAATATACACTAGTAATGGCAGTAACTGTGATAATATATGACATAGCTATAGCAATTTTAATTATGCATCACAAAATGCTTTATATATGCATAAATAAATAAATGCAAAATTAGAGTATAGTGAGTTAAAATTATCTTTTTTCTCATTTGTTTGCCTAAAAGCACCTCAAGATCAGAGAGTCTCAACATCTCTCTCTCTCTCTCTCTCTGTTTCCCTCTCTCTCTCATTTTGATTTTGAATTTGGAAGTGATTTTTTTTCTTACTGTTTTTCATGAAAACTGGGTAAATATTGTTCTTTTGGAAACTGTATGATCACAATAAATCACTGAGATGAGACACTTAACAATTCTGAGATTAACAATGTGGGAACAGTTCATTATTCCTACAAGATTTATCTTGTCATACTTGGAGCTAAATAATTTTATTTTATACTGTTAGAATGAACTAGAAAGAATCTTTTAAAATCACCTAATACAAATTACTAACTTTTCAGAAGAAAAATTCAGGCCCAACAAGATAAAGTTATTTATTTAAAGGTTATAGAGCTATTTATGGTAGGATCAAAGCTAGAAATCCAGCAATTCTTCCTTTCAGGATAATAAACTGAGCACAAATTTAGCTTTTTCCCTCACAACATACCACAATGTAAAGGAAGTGATATAAGAAGAAGTATAATTTCATAATTGTTCTAGGAATTCAGAGAGTACATCAGCAGCAGAACAGAAATGTGGAGGAATTTTTAGAAGCTATAACTGGGCTTTTCTGTCTCTTGGATCCATCTGTCTTAATGTCAAGTTTAGCCTTGTCTCTCTCCTGCCCCGTGCAATGAGACCACCTAAGAGGATCTTCCTGCTTATAAACAAGGGTGTGATTTTTCATATTATCTGCCTGCTACCCAGTAAAAAAATTCACATAAGCGTAATAAATAGATCATTCTGCCCATTTGCCCTCAGTGAATCCAGGTTTACTAGGTCCATTCAATGAAGCCTCTGAAACCACACTGCTTGGATATGGAACTAGGACTGAACCATACTGCCTACATAGTCCTGAACATAGTATTTGTTTCCATGGACTCAATTTACTTATCTGTAAAGAGCTGATAATAAAAGAACCTACTCTTTCAGCTATAATTATTTGCTGTTTTTATTATTGTCATGTATTTCTCTAAGTCTCTAATACAAACAATAAGCAGAATTCTTTAAACTGATGGACTCTAATAGATTCTGAAACCAAAGCAAAGAACTATACACTCTACAAGAGGTGCCAGAGAGGATCAGCAAGGATGAGTCTTGTTCCTCCACATAAAGATACTGAGAAACTCTGCACTAACTATAAAGAATAGGAGTAAAGAATGTAAAGATTATCAGAATAAGTAGTTAAAAAACTGTCAAAAACCCAAGATAGGACCACATATATACCCACATATAATAAGAGCTAACTATGGACTTTGTCTACAGGATAAAGTCAAAGAAGGATTATCTAAATTGGCTGATTTTTTTTGTTTGTTTGTTTTTTGTTTTTTTTCCAGACACGGAGTCTTGTTCTGCCACCAGGCTGGAGTGCAGCGGCGCGATCTCGGCTCACTACAACCTTCGACTCCGTGGTTCAAGCAATTCTCCTGCCTCAGCCTCCTGGGTAGCTGGGATTACAGGCACGTGCCACCACGCCCAGCTAATTATTTGTATTTTTAATAGAAACAGCGTTTCTCCATGTTGGCCAGGATAGTCTCGATCTCCTGACCTCATGATCCGCCCGCCTCGGCCTCCCAAAGTGCTGGGATTACAGGCGTGAGCCCCCACACCGGGCCAACTGGCTGATGATTTAAGTGATCTGGGCAAGAGGTAGACACACAAATTTTTACCAGCTCTTTGGGTAAGTCTGAGGTTAAAGACTGTTTTCTAAATTAATCATTCTTAAAGTGTGGTCCCTGGTTTAGCAGCATCGCCATCATTTAGGAACTAATTAGAAGTGAAAATTATTTGACCTGCGCTAAACATGCTGAATTAGAAACGTTGGATATGGGGCCCAGTAACTTGTGTTGTAACAAGCATTTTGAGTAATTCCAATGAATGCTTGTTTGAGAAACACTGCTCTTAGTGATATGGAGGCTCTAACTGGAGGGAGCCCTTATTAATCTGGGGATTTGGGTCAGAGTCTAAATGAAAACAAAACAAACAACAAAAGCTCCTTTGAAATCATTAGAAAAAAATTGAGAAGACTTTATGACCTTGACATAATCAAGAACTTTTTATATAAGACATAAGCAACCTAACCAATGAAAGAAATAGATTGATAAATTTAAAATGTAATAGGACAGAATAAACAGTTGGCAATTTGATTTTCTCACTTGCAACACACATGTCAGAGTCCATAGATACTTCACAAGGTTCCCTTATATTTTGGCTTTCCAGTCCAAAACTAGTTTGATTGATTACAAGCTTTTCTTTTAAAAACTTCACTCAGCCAATTAATAGATTAGTGAAAATTTGACTACTATGTAAATAATCAACTCTTCGTTATTAATTTAATAATGCTAAGGAAATGTTCTAAACATATCATTTGACTAATAATTGAAAATGACTAAGTTTTTTTAATGATTTTCTGAATATCACTTGGGCAAAGAAAAATAGGCCAGAAAATAGAGCAATTCAGGAAGACTAGATTGTTGATATTAATCTTATGAATTATGCAGAGGTTCAAACACTCTGCTACTGTGTGTGTAAAATTTGTACAGTAAATAAACATGAAGTTTACATGCTGTTGAGCTAAGGTGATCTTAGAGGCTAAGAACCAAGGATACTGGATTTCTTCTTTTTTAGAAAATGAAAAAATATATGAGAAGAAATCAGTATTTACATACCTCATACACAGAATTGATTAATGTTAATGTCACTTTGTTAAAGATTAATAATAATATGGAATAATAAATAAATCATAATAGATGAAGTAGAACTCCTGTTTGTATGTTCCTCCAGTTCTTACCTTCCCAACGTAAAAGCAACCTCTCTGCAAAATTACTGGAGATATGCTGACTATATCTCCAGTATTTATTTTCTTTTACCATTTGATAACATAGATACCCATAAATAATATATAGTACGTAACTGTTAATTTATGTTGCTGTAACAGAATGCCTGAGGTTCTTTCTGTTGCTATAAACAGAATTTACAAAGGAAAAGAGTTTATTTTTGCTCATGGTTCTGGAGGCTGGAAATACCAAAAATATGGTGCTGGCATCAGCTTCTGCTGAAGGCCTCCTTGCTGCTTTATAATGTGGAAGGCACCGCTTGGCAACAAAGGAGGCAAAGGAAGACAGAGGAAGGCCAACTCACTTTTATAGCAACTCCCTCTTGTGATAACTAACACCCTTAATTCATTAGCGCCCCCCACGAGAACTAATTTACTCCCATGAGGTGGCTATTAATCCCTTGATGAGGGCAGAGTCGCCATGACCCAAATACCCCTTAGTGGTCTCACTACTTGTCAACATTGTTACATTGAGGACCAAATTTCAATATGAGTTTACAACCATAGCAGTAACTTTCTGCAACTGATATTTGTAATTCCCTGTTATGTATTGACATCCTTTTCATGTTATCCTGATACACTCAACTTTTATATAGCATCCCATTGTTTAAATGTGTCACTCTTTATCAATTACTATTGGTAAATATTTGCTTTATATCCAATTTTTCACAGTGCACACTTTTAATGCTTTAAAAACTGCTGTCAATATCTCTATGCAAGTCTTCTTGTAAATATAGGGAAAATTTTCTCAAAGTTATAGGTTTAAAAATTTAAGCTTGAGTTCTGGGCTATCAGCATTTTCAACTTTACTAGATATTGCTTAAAGGACTAAATGGGAAAGTAGGCCCTATACATTATTGTGAGCAGTGAACATTGGTGCAGTCTTCATGATAATTTGGCAAAATATACCAAAACTGCAAATGTGTGTAACCTTTGGCTGGGAATTCTATGTCTGAAGACACATTTTAACAAAATACTTCCTCATGTATATATAAATGTGTTTTTAGAACATTATTAAATACAGCATTTTTCTAATAGTGAGTAATTAAAACAATAAAATTAGACATTCTTTGTATAACTTGCAGGGGTCTGTCCTGCAGACCCCTGCTGCACGACAGATGAGACACATACTCAGACATGGATATTCAGTGAAAGAGCAGGCCAGGGGGCTGCTGACACTCGGGGCTGAAGAGAGTTTGCAGCCCCTCCAAGCTGACAGCGCTTGCATTTATTTAGTGCAGATTTAATCGACAAAGGCTTTAAGTCAACACACCTGTGGATAACTAACCTGGTTGCCCCCACCCCTGAGAGGGCCATCGTGCCCTCGAATGATAAAAGGTTGATTTTAGGACCACATGAGTAAACAAGCTATTTATATAAACTACTCTACATTCCTTTGTATCTGTGCCCTAAGCTCTCTGGCTCCTGAAAAGAGAATCTGGCTGCCTTCAGCCAAACTATCTGAAGTTATGCAAAATTCCCCAGCCTTCCAAGAAGGTTTGCTTCTTTCTATTCCTATAATTTCTTCTGCCACACTGGCTGATCTCCCACAATAACTTTTTGTAATAAATACCATAGATAACATTAAAGTGGACAATCCCAGTTCCCTTATGCACCTATAAACACATGCTGAGTTGTTGAAGAAAAAAGACTGGATTTCAGGTCTGGTACTCTGTATAACATCAATAGTTTCTCTAGTTATCTCAGGCCTTTAGCTAAATGTCCAGTGTTTTAAGTCATCCTCTCTCTACCATATCTACTCAGGATGATATCTGGCATCTGTGGAACTTACTGTGACCTCTTAGAATGTAAGGGGATGGTGGATAGGGAGTTTTCAATAGGGTAGTTACTTTGGATGCCATTACTCCCCATAGTGAAGTCTCTACTGCATGTCCTGCTGGTAGAATTTAAAGTCCTGTGCTTCACATTTTTACAAAGACCAATTTCCTCTCTTGCTGTGGTGATCAGATGTCAATGCTCCTTGGCCCTGGAAAAACCTTCTGTTCTGTATGCTTTTCTTCCTCTGTCTCTCTTGTCCTAGACTGTATATCTCATAGAATCTATTCCAAATCAATTTGCCTCTCTTTATGAAAGGCTTCACAGATCCCCACTGTCTCTCAGTACAGCTATTCTCAGTCATTGTCAGGGGGCTGTGGGAAGTATGGATCCCATACCTGCCCTGCAAAAACTGAGAACGTCTCAAAAATTTCAAGTGTGAGCTTTCTTCTGTCTAACTAGACAGCACCATTGAATTTACTTTGATGTAATCACCCTCAGATTGCTAAAGGCATCATTTGAGACAATCCTCTTGCAAGGAATTAAATAAAGAACTCTTGGCACTTTTCTCAATTTATCTAAAACTCCTCTGACACTCCAGGTCAAAGTTCAAAGGAAGGGGATTGAGATCCAGGTGCTTTATTCCCTTCTTCCTCTGCTTCGTAGGATCTCCATTCTTCATTCCATAACCTCTGTGTCCTGGTAGGGTTCTATTTTCTCTTAATTTTTCTGCTCTCCCTTTGTCAATTTCTCTCATTCCCTGGCCATGATAGGTGGCTGCACTATGCAAGACACCCTATAATCTCAGTCTTTATAATTAGATTCTTGATACAACAAATTTAGAATATTCTCTGTATATAATGCTTGGCTTTCAAAGTAGGTGTTTTATTGTAAAATTCTATTTTGGAAGTCAGAAGCTGAAAATTTTCTCATTGAATTCTTGCTGTAACAATTTATTCCACCACTACTCCCACATACACAGCACCAAGATGGACAGAAGGATGCCTTAAACTGACTGCAGAAAAAGAGCATGTATGATAAAAGGCAAATGAGAAAAGTATCTTAACATGTTTCCACATATTACATTCATTTCCTGTATATATGCATAACAGCGGGTTAAGTGGGACCTTCCCTATAGCCCTGGAATTGACTGCTATCATCAAAACTATGGACGACATGGCTCTAATTACCTCACTTTCTTCATTTTCCAAAAAGAGACACCAATGAGTCAGAAACCTCTCTCGGAGTTTATTGAGGTGACTATGCTCTATTACTGCAACCACCTTACTACCCTCTCCTCAATCCCCCTAATACCAGACTACACAGTGGAAGAATAAGGGAGAAAGAGCAAAACAAACAAAATTACTGGAGTTGGAAGAGTCATCAGAAGTGCAGGCTCCATGGGTAAGAGGGAATGTTTATCCCCTAAGCAAAGTCAATCAATTGTATCTCCTTCTTTCTGGTCCAGAGGTAGACAATGCTCCCATACAAATTGCAAGATATAGGAATGAAAAAGAGGGGTATTTGAGCAGATCACACATCTCTCCCTATGTGGTAAGGGAGTAGAGAAAAGGGAAAGAAGAGCAAAGCCTATTCTTCCCCAATGTCCTCTCTATCTAAAAATTGGTTAGAGATGGAGGCAAGAACGTGATTAAATAGGATATGAGATTAAAGTGTTCAACTACAGAGAAGAGTGGTCTACTTTTATTTTTGTTTTTCCTTCTCAATATTTAATTTTAATAATTGGAAATGACTAGAAAGTTTTGGAATCTACGCAAGTTTTTATTAAGAAACTTGGCAACATAGTCTAGTTGATTGTTAATAATAGCAGAAAAATTAAACATTTAACATACATACTCTACTAAGCTTGGACTACTTCATGTCTAAATCTGCATAAAACATAAAAGACTAGAAGTAAGTATACCAACATATTAACAGATACTATTTCTTGCTAAAATTATGAGTGATAATTGTTATCTTTTTTTTTTATTATTTTTGAGCTGGAGTCTCACTCTGTCACCCAGGCTGGAGTGCAGTGGTGCAATCTCTGCCTCCCGGGTTCACGCCATTCTCCTGCCTGAGCCTCCCGAGTAGCTGGGACTACAGGCGCCCACCCCCACGCCCAGCTAATGTTTCATATTTTTAGTAGAGACAGGACAGTGTTAGCCAGGATGGTCTTGATCTCCTGGCCTCGTGATCCACCCGCCTCGGCCTCCCAAAGTGCTAGGATTACAGGTGTGAGCCACCATGCCCAGCCGATAATTGCTATCTTATCTGCCTTTGTGAATCTTATGTAAGTTCCACGACAAAATTTAAAAGTCAGAATAAAGCTCCACTATTTTAAAACGTACAAATGGACAAAAGTGTTTTGAGGGTTTCAAGAGTTATTTTTAGGGTATATTGCTTACGGCTTTGTCTTTCACTTAATTCTCAATATACGGAACAACAATAATCACAATTGTCATTATACATTTAGAAATTAATATTTTCTGAACAAAGTGAAACAAAAGCCATAGGACTGATTAAAACTCCAGGTTATAGAGTAGAAAATTAAGAAGGGCTGCAACCCCTTTCCCTTCTGAGATCTGTGGGAGTTCCTTAATCTTTAAGGTAATCTACCTGAAGGGAAACCTGAAGCTCAATAGAGCTTCTGTGACTGCTGGGCACAATTGCACTTTCCTATCTCCCCAAACTCCCATCTCTTTCCCACTGCCTTCAAAGCTCTCCCCATCTTGGGCAGTCCTGCTGCCTATGAATAAATGACTCATGCCACCCTCATGGCAGACAAAAGCCTCTAGTATCCCCTTTAGGAAGAAGATCATTAGGGCAATGTTTTCATGCAACTTGATTATTCCCTCAGATCAAAGTGCATTTCTGTTTTCATAACCAAAGGGCTGTCCTTGATATTCTTACTATGGTGGACAGAAAATATGCAGTGAGGCCAGGAAAAATTTTTATAATTGTAATTCCAAGGATATTATTTCTTTAATTATTATTATTGGAAGTATAATTATTTTCTGGAATACTGTGTTTCCAGATGGATTATTCTTTATCAAATACTTTAATTTTTAGTTTATCAACTTTTTCACTTTTAGTAGGTCTTATTACTACCATGCAGGGGAAATAGGATGGAGAGGGAAACTAGATTAATGACTGAATTGTTTTATCTTAAACCCCAAAATCCTTTAGGCAAAGTTATCAAAAGCGCAGGACCAAATTAATATGTAACTTATTTTTTTCTTCCTTATCTAATACCAATGTCTTTTTTTTTAGTCACTGTTATTCTATAATAGAAAATTCCGAATCAGTAAATGAAAAAGTAGATTCCTTGCTCCTAATCTTATGAAACATAATTAGATGTTAGAAAGAAAATTCTCATATTATTTGTAAAAGATATAAAAGAGGAAAACACAATTTTGCTAGCATGAGTAGTTTTATTTATTGGGAGACATTTGTTGAATTAACCTCTTCTTTTAATGGACACAATAATTTTCGGTTGGATTATTAGATTGCTTTTGTATTAAGAAGTCCCTTTGAGTGGAGAAGAATTTAAAGTGACATTTTTTTTTCCGCCCAATAATGACCCCAGTGCAGGGAAGAGCAAAGGAACAGAGACTATGTGTCATTCCTCCTCTCTCACTCCCTGAACACATTCCTGAACACATTCCTGAAGGCCCTGTGGTTTATGATGCCCTCTGACATGTATGTCCAGGCTGCTCCACCTCTTGCTGAGTCAAACTTCAGGCACCTGCAGGGTTACAGAGTTAACACCTGCATTAGTCTGTTCTCTTACTGCTAATAAAGACATACCCAAGACTGGGTAATTTATAAGCCTCACAATCATGGCAGAAAGCAAAGGAGGAGCAAAGTTTTATGCCTTACATTGCAGCAGTCAAGAGAGTATGTGCAGGGGAACTCCTCTTTATCGGGTCTCATTTGACTTATTCACTATCATGAGAACAGCATAGGAAAAACCCATCCCCATAATTCAATTACCTCACACCAGGTCCCTCCCACAACATGTGGGGATTCTTACAATTCAAGGTGAGATTTGGGTAGGACACAGAGCCTAACCATATCAACACCTTAGTTTTAAGGAAAGATACAGAGATTATCACTTCATCAGAAGTGGAATCGACAACATCACATCTCAAAACACCAGCCCTGGAAGCCCAGAAGGGGAGAGACCTCTGAACCAACAGCTGCTCCCTACCTCTCTTGGTCATTCAAAATACTTGCTTAAGTTCTTTTCCCTCTACTTTAAACAAGCATAACAAGACCACAGTCCAGTCCTGGAAGAATTTTCCTGGTTCCTGCTAAACATCCTTTCCTTCAAGCCAGGTTTATAATTGCAAACCCGAAGGCGTATTATGGCAGGAGCATCTGTGTTTTCCTGATAAAGTACAATTTTTCATTTCCCTCGGATTTTATCATCCTTGGAGGTGGGAAAGTGCTGACAATGCAAGTTGATGACTAGAGGTGCTGACTCTCTAAGTGCTATTTTTCAGAAGCAAAGAAGACAGAGGTCTAGGAATAAAAAATGTGATAAGGAAGAGCATATGGTCATGGCAAATGATTTGGAGACTAGGGAAGGAAGGAAGGCTTCAAGATGAACCAATATATCCCTACCTAACTAAAGAGAAAGATGAACATGTTTTCCCATTGTGTCTACATTTCTAGGAAAGCCTTGGTGTTTACATCCATTTCTAAGTTGGAGTGCCGCACTAGCATTGTTGCTACTACTACTATAAAGCATAAAATAATAGTAGCTTTCATTTACAGAACGTTGATTGGTAGATCAGGCTCTTTACATGTGTCATCTCAGTAATCTTCACCCATCACTATGATATAAGGATGACCCATTCCCTGTCTTCAAGAAATGGGCCCAGAAAGATTCAGTAACTTCCCAAAGACCAAAAAGCAAGTAAGTGACAGAGCTAGGATCCAACATTACAACTGTCTGAGTTCAAGTCCACTATATGATGCTGCCCAGGCTTAGTATCACCAATATCACCAAACATTATGTAATACTTTGTCCTTCAGGTTTCTGAAAGGCAAAAGAGAACGCACACCAACTAACAGACCTATCCTCTGTTTGAAACTTGCCACTATTGAATGAACATCAATGTCTTATTCATTTGTTATGGTCAAACCCCCTAAAGTGTGCCCTGCTTATGACTATGGTAATTAAACCTTCAGTCAAGACTTGCAAACTTCATTTAACACAAAACCTCTTTGTCTGGCTATGGCTGAATTACAAAGAACTGCCAGACTTCACTGTGATTTCTAACAGTTCAGTCAGTCCTCTAAAGTCAGTAGGAGTCTGAGTGTAAAAATCTCTCTCCTCCAAGATTTTAATAGTGGCATTGAAATTACAACCCCAGGCAGAACCCACTCAAAGACATGAAAACCTGCTTCTCTTTCCCTGTGCTCTCTTTAACAAAAGAGATAAACCAAAGTAAAAACAAAAGAGTTTCATCAAATCACGAGTGAATAAGCCAAGTAATTACTTTTTGGAGAGCAGGATATGGCAACTTGTAGGCACAATAGTCACATAATGTATTTTTCAAAGTGTAAAGTTCTAGGTTATGTCTATTTTTTAGGGGCATTTCAAGTTAAAAGCAAGTAGCAAATATTTTGAGCACTCATTATGTGCAAGATGCTGCACTGGTTTCAGTGAGAAACACAAAGCATAAAATTGTGTTTCCTCCTTCCTATATTTTTCATTTAGTTTTGAACTAATTGAAATAAACATTCCATTGATTTTACCCAAATAAGTCATTTTCATCAAAAAGTATTATTAAAATCCAAATTTAAGTGTATGTGTTAGAGCAAGAAAATAGAAATTGCTTCGTCTTTAATAGCTTTGAGACATGGGGGCAGGCAAAGATTTCTTAGATAGGACCCAGAAAACTTTAGCCAGAAAAGAAAAGAATAATAAATCAGACTTTATCAAAATTTAAAACTTTTGCCTATCAAAAGCACTATCAAGAAAATGGGTGAAAATATTTGCAAAACACATACCTGACCACAGGTTGAAACTACAAAGCATTCCCATAATTCAATAAAACAGACAAACAATCCAGTAAAAAGTAGGCAAAATATTTTAACAGAGACTTCAAAAACGAATATACAAATGGCCAGTGATAACCTGCAAAAGGACTCAACATTGTTAATCATCAGGGAAATGCAAATGAATACCACAATAAGATGACTACATACTCATTAAGACAAATAAAATGAAGAAGGGCTTGACAAGGCCAGGTGAGGATGTGGACTAGCTGGAACTCTCCTCTATTTCTGGTAGGAATGTAAAATTGTATAAGTGCTTTAGAAATGGGAGACCTGGAGTTTCTTATAAAAGTAAGCATATATTTAGCCTATGACCCAGCCATCTCACTTTTACATTATTTCCCTAAGCGAAATAAAAATGTAAGCCCACAAAAAATTTGCACAAGAATGTTCATAGCAGCTTTATAACAATAGCCTGACAGTAGAAATAACCCAGAAGTCCTTTAGTAGGAGAATGGATAAACTGTGTAATATTCATATCATGAAATACTATTTCTCAATAAAAAGATTGAAATATTGATAATGCAACATAAATAAATATCAAAACATGTTGAGTGAAAGAAAACTTACAAAAAAGAACATGTATTTATTTTCTCATTTACAGTAAGTTCTAGAGCTTAAGCCTAGTCTATAACGGAAACAAATAAGGACAGCAGTTGCCTCTGTGACAGTGGTAGAGGGGATTGACTGGGAAGGAGCATGAGAGAACTTTCTGGAATGATAGTAGTATTCTATATTTTGATAGTGGTTTGGGTTCTGCAGGTATATGTGTGTCAAAAATCAGGGAGTATGCACTTAAAATATGTTTTTCATTGTACATAGAATTTATCTTGAAATTAAAAGACTATAAACAAATTTGAATTCTAGCTAAAAGATATTCATGCTGAAGTGTTTAATAGAAGGTAAACTACTACCTTCAATTTACATTGAAATGCCCATAAGATGGGTTGAGGGTGAATACAGGGATGGATAGATAGGTAGATCTATGAAAAAGTATTATGTGTAATGAGGAAGGAATAATGTGTGTAATGAGAAGGGAAATGTGCATAATGAGAAAGGAAAGAACGAGAAAACGTGGTCAAGAAATAACAGCCAGAAGCACATCATTTCCTGTATATTTAATCTGTCTTATTCAATTGTTATACAGCCTTTGTCATGCATTCAACAGGTATTTAATAGTTTCTACTATGTAGCAGGCACTGTGCTAGATGAACAAGACACCCTGATTAATTTCAGTAAGTCTAGAGTACAGCGGCATTCATAGATTTAATATATACAAAAATTTTAATCTGTCACTATAACACAGTATTTTCCCAGTTTCTAAACTTGGAATTGTACTAGTACTTGGAGAATGGCCAACATTAACCAATAGTACCAATAGTACTATACTGTCAAAAGCAATTGACTTTATGTTGGTATATCTAAAATTATAAATATACAATTATACTATAATTTATTATTATTAGGCAAAGAGGCAGGAAGCTTTTTTAATTGTGATTTTGATAGAGTAGTTGGTCTATTTATGGAGGTAATGTGAGAAATATCATGATAAAATCATAAAAATTAAGATATTTAGGTAACCTCATTTAATCCTACAGCTTCAACTAGTATCTATGACTCTTAAATGCATCTTTTTTGCTCAAAGCTCATTTCTAAGTTTCAGAAACTTGAAACTCATGCCCTATTAGACACTTATACCTCAAATACTTCAAATTCAAAAGATTCAAAAATAAACTCAATATGTTCCCTCTAACAGCTGCTTTGCCTTGGTAATCCTTAGCTATCCATCAAAGTCCCAAACTAGAAATGAGAAAGTTAACCTAAACTCCTTCTTTATACTTATTTACTATTATACCAATAATACCAGTCAATCTCCAGTGCTATTTATTTTGGCCTCTAAAAGTCTTTAGAAGTTTATTTTCTTATAATGAAAATATCATCTATCAAAATTTGGAAAATACAGAAAAACAGCAAGAAATGTAATCATTCATTGTAGTGGGTACAATGCTGTGAGTTTCTGCTATTATTTCTGAATATAATGATTTATAGGAGGTTTCTTTTCTCACTTAGCAAAATATATTGTAAATAATTTAGTACCCTAGTACCCTACTTTTTAAAATGTAACATTATATCATCGCTTTCAGTCATGCATTTTGGTCTTTATAAACTCTATTTTCCAATGGCTACAAAATATATAATTATCTCATGTTCCAACTATAACCAACTACATTCAAGTTCACATCTCTTTTTTTGCATTATTGTAAAAGTTATTTTAACAAGCCTTCTCTAAATTCTATAATCTACAATGGGGTACATTTGGCATTGATATTTAAAAATGACTATGTTGCTTTCATTCTTAAAAACCTACAGTGGGACATCTGCATCTAACCAAGATGGAACAACAAGGACCTACTTTACTGTTCTGCTTGAAAAAAACTAAAAAACTGGAATAGGTATGTGTGTGTATATATATGTATGTGTATATATGTGTGTATATATATATATATATATATATATATATATATATATACCCATATGTGTATATATGGGTATATATATATACCCATATGTGTGTGTGTATATATATATATATATATATATATATATATATATATATATATACACACATATATACCCATATGTGTATATATGGGTATATATATATACCCATATGTGTATATATATGTATGTGTATATATGTGTATATATATGTACATACACATATACTTATTGTAAAATATGTGTGTATTATATATACATTTCTAAGACATGTAAAACGTATTTTCAAACATTGGACATCAGACAATATAAGACAGTTATGCCAGAGATAGGAAAATCAGAATTAACCCTATGATTGCCTCCCTTTATTGCCTAAAGAGAGTTTCCAGGCTGTGGCACAGGATGGGGAAACCCAAGCAAAGCCTGGTGGTCTTACAAAAGAAAGTAGAGGGAGCTGAGAGTTCAGGGAGGTCAGGGTAACTGAGGTTTACAGAGTGGAGTATTACAGAGGAGAGAGCTGCAAAGAGAGAGGACTCTGGATGTCTGTAGAGGAGCCTCCATGAGTAGTTAGTGTTGTTGTGTTCAGTGTATGCATAGAAAGAAACCATCCAAGGCTACGAAAAGAATGTCTGAAAGGATAAAAGGGGGAAAAATCTTGGGAGCACACCTAGATCTGGGAATAGTTATTGTTTCCATGAGCCGTAGTGGAGCAGGTAATAATTCACAGTGTATCAGGTAAAGCATTCCAAAGGATTTTGTCTCACTAGTAGAAAAAATAATAATGATAGAGTAAACATTAATCTGACCCTGTCTAACAAAGCAATACCCTAAAAATCAAATGTGTTTATATAATTGAGTCATTACCTAGAACGAAGTTCAAGAGCATTTTTATAAGAAAAATTATCCAACACCCAAAATGGTAAAAAGTACAATGTACATTGTCTAGTAATAAATTACCGAACATGAAAATAAACAAAAATATTTCCCGCATTGATAAAAACCAATAAATTAAAACATGCATTACAAAAATTATACAAATTATAGGCAGGGACATTAAAATATTTAGTATAACTATATTCCATGTGTTCTAGAAAGTAAAAAAAAAAATGAACATATTAAGCAAAGAAAGCAAAGAAACAAAAGTATGAAAGATTCTCAAATCTAACTTCTAGAGAGGAAAACTGCAATGTCTCAGAAAAGAAAAACACTGAATGGGATTAAGAATAGATTAAAGAAAAAAACAAATAAATAATAAAAAGAAATCAATAATACTGAAAGGTGGTTCTTTGAAAAGATCAGTAAAATTCATAAACTTTTAAACAGAATAATGAGTAAAACAGAGTAAATACAACAGTATTCAAAATTTGAGATGTGACATCACTATAGAGTCTACAGATATTAAAATAAGAAAATAATATAAACAAATACACACCAGAGAAAAATCAGTAACTTGAATAAAATAGACCAATTTATTTAAAGACACAAATTGCCAAAGTCCACTCAATAAGAAAAAAACAATCTAAATAGCCCTGTAAGTATTAAGAAAATGAATTTTTAGTTAAAACACTTCCCATAGGAAACTCCAGTCAGGATGGCTTCAGTGGTGGTGTCAAACAAACTTTTAGTCAACCAAACTTCTAAGGAAGATCAATTTTATACAAACAGAGAATTGAAGAGGAAATAATATTTTCCAATTTATTCTAAAAGGCCAACATTATCCTAATAGAAAAACTGGACAAAGCTACTACAAGGAAAGAAAATTGCAAACCCAAACCTCTCATAAACATAGATCAAAAATTTAATATTTTAGCAAACCTACTTTTCCAACGTATGAAAAGTCAAATACATCATGATCAAATTGAATTTATCTTGGAAGAACAAGGCTAGTTCAACATTTGAAAATAAACATATTTTACCATATCAACAAGTTAAAGGGGGAGAAAACATGACTATCTCTACAGATACGGAAGAAAACATTTGACAAAATCTTATGTCTATTCCTCATAAAAACCCTCAGGCAACTAGAAAAAGAAGAGAACTTCCTCAACCTGATAAATGGCATCTTACACAGAATAGATCATACACCCTAGTGTTAAACTGGAAAACATAAAACTTCTGGAAAAAACACTGCAGAAAAATTTTATGACCTTGGTTTAGGCAAAGACTTCTTAGATATAATATCAAGAGCACAATCCATAAAAGAAAATACTGATAAATTGAACTCAACATTATGTAATTCTGCTCTAAATGACACTGTCAAGAGAAAGAAAAGTCACAAATTAGGAGAAAAAAATGCAAACACTTTTCTGATAATGGGCGTGTATCGAGAACATACAAATAACTCTCTAAAATTAATAGGAAGAAAAAGAAAAGTAAATGAATTAAAGATCTGAATAGAAACTTCACCAAAGAAGATACATCAATGCCAAATAAACACAGGAAAAGATTTTCAACATCACTAGTCATTAGGAAAATATAAATTAAACAAAAATAATATATCACTACACATTCACTAAAATAACTAAAATTTAAAAAGACTGACTGTACCAAGTGTTGTGGGGGATTGTGGAGCAGCTTGAAGTCTCATACACTGCTGGAGAAACCATAAAACAAAACACTTTGGGACCGAGATTGACATTTTCTTAAATCACAAGCATTTATCTATCATATTGCCCATCTGTTTCATTCCTAAGTATTTACCCAAGGGAAATGAAACCATATTTGCACATAAATACGTAAGAACATTCATAGCAGTTCTATTTACAATAGCAACAAACTGAAAACAACCCAAATGTCCATCAAGAGGTAAATGGATAAACAAACTCTGGTATATTCATACAATAGAATGTTATACAATATGGAGGCATATCAAAATACTCACATTGAGTGAAAAGCCAGATCACAAAAAAAAGTCTTAAAATTTCTTTTATATAAATTTCTGGAAAATGCAAACTAAGCCATAGTGAAGTGGATTATAGTGTGGCAAGAGAAGACTTTTGAGGGTGTTGAATATGTTCATTATCTTGATTGCAGTGATGGTTTTATGGATATATAAATCTATTAAAATGTATCAAATTGTATATTTTTAAAATATGTGGTTTTATTATACCTAATAATGATGTAGAAAAAGAGTTAGAGTGAGAAAGGAAAGAAGGAAATATGGAAGAAAGAGAAGGAGGGAGGATAGAGTGAAAGAAGAAAGAAAAAAAGGGAAGTAGGATGGAAGAGACAGTAGGGGAGAGAGGGAGAAGAGAGAGAGACAGACAGACAGACCCAAATGCCTCCCAAGAGCTTTCACAATAATACCTAAAATCTTTGAATCACATTTGTGCCCTTTCAGGAAATGGCCTCTGTCTTCCCGTTGTCTCACGTCTCACAATTCTCTAACTCCTATCTATTTTCAATTCCTTTCACCTCATATTCTGTATCCTAGTTCACATTATCTCAAAGCTTGATATCCCCAGTGACCCCTGCAACTCCCATTGTCTTTGAGTGATCAGCGTTGGCTTTCCTTTCCCTGAGCTCCTATTCCCAGGCTGTTAATTGCTTCTCACAAATTCATAGCTCTGGCAAAACATTCTTCACACTATTTGGTCACTGTTGACTTGTTGGTCTCTCTTTTAATTGAGAAATCCCTGAGGAAGGAAATTGTCTTGTCCACCTCTATTCTCCCAATATTTCATGCAGTGCCTAGTACACAGTATGCACTTAACATAATTTGTTGCATAAAGGAATGAATATAATTATGCTAATGTATACTTCATCCCACTGGTGTCCTTTTAGTACCATAGCATGTTAGTAGAAAGTCTCAAAAGTAGTCATAGCTATTAACCCAACATTTGTTTCTTTTATATTGGAATAAATGGGGGAAACATTAAAACAATTTCCAAATGCACGAGACCATTCAAAAATGTTCATCATATCATGGAAAAACATTTCCCCTTCAAGGTTCATACCACCTTATTGTAGATTGATTTCCAAATAAATAGATTTCAAGGTGGTTTTTAAAATGTATGTACTGATTGACTTTTACCTATGTTTGCAACAAGCACAGCACTAACAACAATAATTTGGTGGAGAAAACTGCATGAGAAGAGTTAACTGACTGCTTCTTTATTCTGAGTGCAGAGTACTGTCTAGTGAACTCTTGAAATCCAGAATTTAGTCTGGCTGACAATTTTGCTGTGAGAAAGTGTCTGGCAATCAAGAAATAAATTAATCTAGTTCTCCAAACAATCCTCAGTGGGAATTATAGAGGAGTGAGGAGAATTCCTTTGGATGAACAGATGTTTTTATCAGAATGTTTTTCTGTCTCCACTTTGACAGTGCTTATGAACTATTCACAAAATATGCATTTACTGCAAAGAGGTACTTTGTTGCCCATTTATGATTAGGGGCCATGTTTCCTGGAATAGTCTGGAATAAACCCAGTTATACTGTTGCTGTATGATCCAAAATTGAAGATCAATATGAAAAAAGTTCAGAAATGTCATTGGACTGGATGCTAAATGTAGTTCATTGTGAAATGAACCTGAGAGTCGCCACTTAAGATACTGTTCTGGGTCATTTAGGTCAGACAATAGAAGCAGAAAAAGAAATGCAAACAAAGAATTTTCCTAACCCTGTCTTTAAAATATAGCTAAGAAACTGCAGTGAGGGGGTGTGAATTTCCAGGCACTCTGGGAAGAGGTGAAAATTAAAATCTAGCTGCTTATTCCCCCCAGAACAGGTTGTTTCCGTCTCCTGAAAAACACAAAGAAGAAATCATGCACCACATAAAGTCATATCCCTTTAAAGCTTCTGTTAGTACTAGGTTCATTTATTTTTCCCCGAGCAAGCATCCTTGGATTCAAGTGAAAAGCTTGAGGCATGTTTGGTAGATGATAATGAATGATGAAGAACCTAGCTAGTAAAGTCACAGTGGAAAATCAGAATGGTAAGTTTACTTCTACAAACATTTATTTAATAAGGACATGCACAGAAACCTGAAGGCAAAGTGGTTGACGGGAAACAATTATGATATACCTAGGGGCATCTTTCAACATCTATATCGAACTGATGGGAACTGGGGGAAAAAGGAACAGCAAATGAAATCCTCATCAGTCACTCATAAGAAACATGAAAAGTAGTAACATAAAAATATCAGACACCTCCTCCATATACATAGAGATAAAGGAAGACTTCCTTGTAGAATTTAATTTTCAGTCATGGTAATAAATTTAGAATAACTGAAAAGACAACTTTGCCATCTGAAACAGCCTATTATATCTACCTGTTACCTATTTCTGAATAGTTTTTTTAATGTTATAGCAATTCAACTGTTTCATCTATACCAGACATGATTAAAATATATAAATAAGGAATTTAAATTGCCCTGTAATGGAAGCTATGTAAGCTGTCACAGTTAAACTGCATTAAGCAGTAATGGTGTGTGTGTGTGTGTGTGTGTGTGTGTACCAATTACCACTTCTTTTTATTATGGATCACCTTTATTCCTGAATTTATGTGTCTCTCAAATTATAAGGAAAAATATTGCAGAAATGACTCATGACATTAGGCTTATTTTCCAACAACCAAAGTTTAGAGGGAAGGTAAAAAATTGTAAATGCTTAAAAGCTTTTCTGCTGTGTCAGTAGCAATTCCAAAAGCCTGTACTTTTTGAAGCATTTATTCTTTGCTCCAAAGGCCATAAAATGGCAAATTCTGAAATAGCAGCACCTTAAAGATATTTTTTAGAAAGTATAGTCTCCTCTTTAGTGGCACTATGCCTAGAAACTAGTCTTTGTTTCACCCAAAATCATGAGATTGAGTCAGGAAGGGAATAAAATGCTAGAAGAGTCTTCAAACACATACCATACTCTGAGCACCAGAATCGGCACTTTACACATTACCTTGTTTAATATTTGGAATACCCTAAGTTAAATTTGATCACCGTTTTACAGGTAAGAGGACTGAGGCCAAGTCCATCTAGCTAAAGTTGACCCACTTGGTAAATAGTGATCTGAGAGAGAAACCCAGTCAGCCTGACCTTAAAACCTAGGGTGCTAACTCTATAGCCCTTAATTAGATTCCAGGTGGTTTATGTTTCCGGTGTGGTTTTATTCTGGCAAGGCAATCATCAGATCAACTTCTACAGGAAGCCCTTCCTCACAGCTCCCAGATTGCACCTCTGTCTGCTGTCTCCCAGTGCCCTAAGCCAACCTCAATCAAAATATTGACAACATTAAATTACAAAATTAATCCTCTCTAGAATATATAATCCCCTTGGAGGTTGAAATCACAGCTACTTTTGTATCCTACACAATAAGCAGAGTGTCAAGCAAGTAGGAGGAGCTCAACAAATATTTAGTGAATTATAATTGAAGTAAGATGATTGGCTTAAATTTTCAAACTGTGTTCCATAGAACCCTAGGAATTCTTCAGGACTTGCTTGGTATGGGGGGCAGGGGGCGGTAGTGGAATTGCAGAGATAGAGTACTGAGCAGGCAGGAGTTCTGGTCCTCGTCATCACCAGAGCTATAGCCACCCCTGTTGCAACTGGAGCGCCTCTTCTTTAATATATTTTTCTATTGAACTTCCACACAATGCGTTTAGTTTGAACAGAGAAATATATGGCTAAAAAATATTTAAGACTATCAGAGTAGATGGTCACACTTTGATTTTCACAGTTCTACCATGGTTTTCTACTTTCCTCTCAAAAGTCCATAGCGGGATTCCAAGTAATCAAATGTATACCAAGCAGATACGTGACTGAAGTTGTTGTGGGAAATGGGTGTTGCTGAGTGTGGTGTACTTCATTTGTGTAATGTTTCCAGAATCTCAGGAAAGAAAATCATGGAACAATACAATATGTGAAACTCATGAAGGTTTAGAATGTGGTCATTTGAAAAAAAAAATTCCTCACCTGACTTTTAGGAATGTTAGAAGGACATCATGATGGAAAGGAGACATGAGTTACCCCATGTTTGAGGTTAATAATTGTGAATTCTCCTGCAAATCATGGACAAAAATAAACTCTATTAGAGATTATTATGTGAGGAGGCATTCCTAGGATCCTTTCTTACCGTAGGTGGTTGAAATCATGCCAAATGGAATAGTCTTCAGGAGCAACTATCCCTGAATATTAAGATCAGCAGAGGGAAAAATATAGGCAAATAAGGAAATGTTTACCTCACTTTAATGTTAATAATTCTAACTGTGCAGAACTGATTAATCATAAAGGTGAAGAAAGCCCAGAACATGGCTGGAGTTTAACCAGGGAGCAGGGGTCCAACTGGAGCTATGCTGCCCATGCACCGATCTCAGTTGCACTGGCAATGGGAGCCTGCATTACACCCCGAAAATCTATGGCTGTGACATCATGAGGCAAGCGCCAGGCAAATGATGTGAAAGATAATCACAGAGAGTCAGTTGTGGGCTGCATCTACCCTACAAAATCAGGGAATGGAGGGGATGTGTAAAGAGTTTATTAAATGTATGTAACACAGAAAAACAAGAATAGAGTCATGAGGAAGGAATATTTGAGTCAGTGCTGTCAGGAACACTTCTGAGCATAGGACTCCAGCCAATTCACCCACTGAGTCAGGTCAGAGCAGTTCAGCCAATAAGTAACGTTTTACACATCCATTTTGTAAACTACCTGGAGGAAGCCAAGAACAAGCTAAACATGACCCTTCCTCCTCTAGAGTGTGTGTAATGTCCTGAGACCACAGCAACCTCCGCAGCCTTGGGCTTAAATTGCCCTAGCTGTTCTCACTCTCCTTGAGGGAAAACAGCTGAGATAGGGCCTTCCCCAGAGGCAGGTGTTGAATGAAGATTCATCTACAACATGTTTTTTGAGTACTGACATTTGAACATTGTCATCCACATTTTACACAAGAGTGATCATACAGAGGTTAGCTGACCTGCCCTGGTCCCAGACCAGTTAAGTGATAAACCAGGATGTGAATCTTGTTAGGTTCTGACTCCAGGAGTTAAGCCTCTGTTGATTGTGAAACAGTATGTTTGGATACCACATTGCCTCCCTCTTGTTAAAGTCTTGAGTATGGTTTTGCTTTTTTGTTTGTTTGTTTGTTGGTTGGTTGGTTGGTTGCTTGGTTTTGAGATGGAGTCTTAGTCTGTCACCCAGGCTGGAGTGCAGTGGCGTGATCTCAGCTCACTGCAATCTCCACCTCCTGGGTTCAAGCAGTTCTCCTGCCTCAGCCTCCCAAGTAGCTGGGACTACAGGCACATGCCACCACATCTGGCTTTTTATTTTTAGTACAGATGGGGTTTCACCATGGTGGCCAGCCTGGTCTCAAACTCCTGACCTCAGGTGATCTGCCCACCTTGGCCTCCCAAAGTGCTGGGATTACAGGCGTGAGCCACCGCATCCAGCCAGTTATGCTTTTAAATGATGCAGAAAGCTACTGAGCCAAGAGATACATAGCCCAACTTTTGAAGACTGGACAGCTTTGTGGAAATGATTTGTGCTAATGGAGCACAAGCAAGCTCACAGTGACAAAGCTCATGCCAGCAGAGAGTGAACAGCATAATACTGAACAGTGTTGAGAACATGGGCTTTATAATCATGCAGACCTGGGCTCAGGTCCTGGTTCTGCAATTTAATCAGTGACCTTGAGGGAGTTACTTCAGTTTTCTTCATCTGTGAAAATGTTACGGGATCGCTATAAGAATTAACTAAACAAATGATGAAAACTCTTGGCATAGTGCCTGGTACATAAAAAGAGCTTTATGAATGCCAGCTATTATTATTAATGTTGCTATTATTGTATTTGCAATCATGTTTCCATATCACACATTTTTTTCTTTTCCAAGAAAACAAATTTTGCCTATTCAATCCTTTCTTATGAACCCATAGGATGCAACAGAGAGCTTAAATATATTTTATAGATGATTACTTGTCACTAGAGAATTTGAAATAGAACACTAGTGAATTAGGAAATTACTTACTGTCATAGATATGTGCATGTACTAAGATATTAATATTCTAGCATAAGAGGAAGGTAAACAGATAATGAAGAAAAAGTTAATTACTAGTGCTAATTTTCTTAGGAATGAAAATGATAATGTGGTCATGTAAGAAAATGTCCTCAATCTTAGGGGAAACACATTGAAGTATTTAGGAATGAGGTGTTTTGAGACCTACTCCTACAATATAGTCTCAGTGGGACTAGTGGGTTCTTGAACACCCTGGGAACATAGGCAGTAACAGGGTTTGCTGTTCATATTTTTTCAAGGATATTTGCATAGAGAACAGTCTTGAAAGACAGAGATAACGTCTTCCTCCGGAACAGAAGTCAAGCAGGTTTGTTTGCAGTCCTCTAACAACAGTTTGGGGCTCCTCAACTGTGACATTAACCTTCTGCATGCACAGCATTCATGTGTGCCTGTTTTTGTAACTCTCCTGTAGAATTTGGAGGACGGGGGAACCAATGTGAACCTTAAGTTAGTGCTGCCTGCTGTGCTATAATAACAATTTCTGGTTCTTGACCCAGTAGTCATATGTCTTCCACTAATATCCATGAAATTCGAGCAGGCTAACTTGTGAGTTTTCAAATAAGATAAAACCTCACTCTTCACAGTTCTTAACACATACTTTCAAATGTTTGAGCCAAGTAAACGTGTGTGCATATGTACATATACTATATATATTATATATATTTATATTATATAATATGTATTTATATACAATATATAAATATACATTATTAATATAAATATATAATATATTATTAATCTAAATATAATCTATTAATATAGAATACATAAACATATTATATATAATAAATATAGAATATATAAACGTATTATATATAATAAATATAGAATATATAAACGTATTATATATAATAAATATAGAATATATAAATGTAATATATAATAAATATAGAATATATAAACGTATTACATATAATAAATATAGAATATATAAACGTATTACATATAATAAATATAGAATATATAAACGTATTACATATAAAAAATATAGAATGTATAAACGTATTACATACAATAAATATAGAATATATAAGCGTATTACATACAATAAATATAGAATATATAAACGTATTACATATAATATAGAATATATAAACGTATTATATATAAATATATAATATATAAACATAAAGGTATTATATATAATACAGAAACGTATTATATATAATATATAATACAGAAACGTATTATATATAATATATAATACAGAAACGTATTATATAATACATAATATATAAACGTATTATATAATATATAATATATAAACCTGTTATATATAATATATAAACGTATATAATATATAAACATATAATATATAATATAGAAACATATTATATATAATATATAATATAGAAACATATTATATATAATATATAATATAGAAACATATTATATATAATATATAATATAGAAACATATATATAATATATAATATAGAAACATATATAATATATAATATAGAAACATATTATATATAATATATAATATAGAAACATATTATATATAATATATAATATAGAAACATATATATAATATATAATATAGAAACATATTATATATAATATATAATATAGAAACATATTATATATAATATATAATATAGAAACATATTATATATAATATATAATATAGAAACATATTATATATAATATATAATATAGAAACATATTATATATAATATATAATATAGAAACATATATATAATATATAAATACAAATATTATATATATAAATATATATATATAGAGAGAGAGAGAGACAAGGTCTCACTCTGTCACCCAGGATGGAGTGCAGTGGTGTGATCTAGGTTCACTGCAGCCTCCACCTCCCCAGCTCAAGGGATCCTCACCTCAGCCTCCCGAGTAGCTGGGACCACAGGCATGCACCACCACACCCAGTTAATTTTTGTATTTTTTGTAATGACCGGGTTTCTCCTCATTACCTAGTTTGGTCTCAAACTCCTAGACTCAAGCAGTTCTCCTGCCTGGGCCTCCCAAAGTCCTGGGATTACGGGCATGAGCCACCTGGCCCAGCTAGAACACAGGTATATTAACCTTAGCTATAAATCACTGAATTCTACACTTGAGCACATGGTCCCAAGTGGAAATTGAAAGAAAGTAGGCGTCCCTGGAGTTTTGTGGCCATGCAGGTATTGGGTGGCTTTTGGAGGGTTCTCCAGCTGTTGCTTCAAATATGAAATTAAGAGAAATCCATTCAAGAGGGTTTCAGCAGGTATAAAGCAGCATATAGTCTGGCTCAGCACTTAAAAAACACTCAGATAAGTATTTAACTAGATACATTATTTGCACACTGTTTTACCCTTTTCCTCTTACACATGCATTCAGCAATATTTCTGAGACATTTAGTAAGGACCTATTTTGTGCCAGGTATCACAATACATCTTATAATAACCCTGTGATAGGTGGGTGGGAGTTATTATCAAACCTATTTTGCAGTAGCACAAGGTTTAAGAATTTGCCTGACACTCAGAATGACAGAGCTGGAATGTGGAATTATAATCAATCTTGACATCTTCCAGCAGTCCATGAATTTTATAAGACATAGATCAGCAAGGTTATTAGGGTCAACTTTATACTCTTTCTGAATTAGAAAAATTTAACCTGGAAAATGTTCTTTTTTGAACACTTTTCATGAAAAATGTTATTCATACTGAACTGATGTTTGCACTATTTCATGATGAGAAATGTTCATTTAATTTAAGGTGTACTGAATATTAATTTACTGAGGTCTGAACAGAGAAGCACTGAATTGTGTCTTTCGAAATGAGAGAGATTGTGGTGTTCATTTGTCTAGTCCAACTATTTTATAATAAACCGGGCTCAGGGATGTTCAATGAAATATTACATTCAAATTTACGTAACTGCATTTCTCTTGTAACAATAAACAATAATTTTCAAGGCATGAGAAAACTTCTGGACTTACAATCAAATGTAACATTTTAATTGTCAAATTCTTTTTATCTTTTTTCCAGCATTATTGAAATGTGATTGATAAATAAAAATTGCATATATCTAAGGTATACAAGCTGATGATTTGATAGGCATATACATTGTGAACTTACAACCACAGTCAAGCTAATTAATATATATCCATCACCTCACCTATTTACCCTTTTTTTTTTGCTGCTGAGAAGTTTTAAAATCTATTCTCTTAGCAAGTTTCAAGTATTCAATACATTATTATAAACTATAGTCACCATGCTATACATTAGATCTCCAGAACTTATTCATCTCATAAGAGAAAGTTTGTACCATTTGACAAACATTTCCTCATTATGATCCAGCAATCCCAATTCTGGTATATATCCAAAGGAAATGAAATCAGTATCTCAAAGAGATATTTGTACCTACATGTTCATTGAAGCACTAGTTACAATAGACAAGATATGGAAACAATCTGATTGTCTGTGAGTGAATGAATGACTTGAGAAAATGCAGTAAATATGTACAATGGAATATTATTCAGCTTTAAAAAAGAAGGAAATCCTGCCATTGAAACAACATGGGTGAACCTCGAAGACATTATGCTAAGTAAAATAAACCAGACACAGAGAGAAAAATACCACATGGCCTTATTTATATGTGGAATCTTAAGAAATGGCAAACTCATAGAATCAGAGAGTAAAAAAAATTTTATATTATTGATATCTTCTTACTTCAGTAAGATCTATAATCCACTCTATTTTTGCAATGCATTATCTGACTTCATATCCAGATATTTAAAGATTAGTTTATTAATGATTCCTTAGCTAGTATGAACAATCTAAATATGTTCTCATTATTTAACAGTTATTTTAAAGACCTTATTTAAAGTATTAATAGTCTTTATTTATTTAATAGCATATTAAGCTTGGGGAAGTTTGTCTAAATTCTAAATCCATAATGATTTGACAAAATTCAGGTTTTCCTTTAAAATGTGAATTTAAGTGACAGCTCAGGTAATGAAATGACTAGCTACACTTAAAATCTTTCAGTTGATTTGGGGAACCCCAAAGAAAGATAAATTGAAAATATACACAGCAAAATCATTATGTTGACAACATGCCATCTTACAAGTGTTCATATGTAAAACATAGTCAACATAATCTTTTGAGCATCAGATTTTCATGAATATCCAAGTAATATCTCTTAAAAAATTTTTTTATTACTTTTTTTTAAGATTCAGGGTCTCCCTCTGTCAGGCTGAATTGCAATGATGCAATCATGGCTCACTGCAGGCTCAAACTCCTGGACTCAAGTGATTCTCCCACTTCAGTCTCTCAGGTAGTTGTATACACCTGTATTTCCTGTAACCAGTAACAAGGTGTGTACCCAGTTACTTTTTAATTTTTTTTTTTTTTTTTTTTGTAGAGACAAAGTGGTGTTATATTGCCCATGCTGATCTTGAACTCCTAGCCTCAAGCAATCCTCCCACCTCAGCCTCCCAAAGTATTGGGATTATAGGTATAAGCCACCCCCACCTGGCCAATACCTCTCACTGGATACAACTTTTTCATAATCATGAGATTTTTATCTATATACCAAATATGGCCCTTGATTTATATAGCAAAGTCAAGCTGATCCTAAGCTGGATTTTTTCACAGATTCCCTTAGATTTTAAAATATATGGTTAACTATTAAGCCATCTGAATCCTTTGGGTCTATCACATAGGTCAAACTGTCTTAAAGAGATAGAATTTATTGTCTGATTTCTGATTGTTTTCATTAAAAAGCAGGAAAACAGTGTCAATAGGTTTTTATGGCATTTAATTATTTTTAAAGCAGAAAATGAAAACTATCAAAAGTGAATATGAGGTAAGAAGAAAACCAAATATGAAGAAGACAAAGAGGTTGTGAAACATACACAATAGTTGTATCTATTCAAACAAGAAAGAAAGAGAAGTAGAGAGGGAGGAAATCTGTTCGGTTAGTCCAATTCTATTTGGATGACATGGTTAATGTCAAAAGCAGAATATAAAAAGTATAATGTTTGTCTCATACTTGTAAAAGTGTTCATTGAAGATTTAGCTACTTTATATCTAAAGGTTTTTTATTTTTAGCAATTTTAACTGAGAGACAGGGTTCTCAACCATTTTTTAAACTGCAGTTGCTTTGAACAAGCATAGAAATTTTATAAACTCTTAGGAATTTATATATACATTTTGGGGGGGTCACCTAAGTCTTAAATGAAAATCAATCTTTTCTATGTATTCCCATCAAGTCAAAAAGATTTTTGTCCAGTTTAAATTGCCATATTAAAAACAATAGATAGGTATTCCTTTTCAAAATAAAAGGGATATAATATTAATTATGCTTTTCAAACTGCATCTTGACTTTTTCTTATATATATTTTGATAAACTCTCATATATTGGTATGAATGAAATATTAGGTGCTGTTTAAGAACTGTATAACTCACAGAAATGGGATTTCTGAAAATATTACCATTCAAAGTATCTTTTTAGTGGGTTAATATTTTTATAATTTGTCCATCGGATATTATTGGATTATTATTATCCAGTATACTGTTAATAAACCAAGTCATTATATTTGAAGAAATACCTTTAAGTAGCTTTGTAAATATTAATAACATCAATAACATCATTTACCAAGGATCTACTGAGCACCTTGAGATATGTGATGTAGATGCATTGACTATTAACAAGAAAACAAAATGAAAAGAATTAACCACTAATAGGATGTATTCAATGTTTTATTAATAACACCACACGGTCCATACCATGTTGTAGAAATACAGATATTATGTTCTGGATATACAACTACAGGTAAAGAGATAGAAGAGATCATAAACTATATAGCCGAATCAACTTAATAATATAGCCGACTGAGGAATCAAGAAATTGTACTAGTTGGGAAAAGTTCTAAAAGAGTCCTCTGAATTTTAGCACCAAAATATATAACACTGAATAGATAAATACAGATATATGAGGTTTAAAAAATCAACCTTCTTGCCTTTCACCAAACTGAGGGACAGAAAATAGATTATTATATTCAACCTGAAAATAGACACATGCAATATTCTTCATTATCATTCTTGGCTCTTTTGTGAGCGAAGCACTCAGCAAGTCTTTAACTCACTCTAGTCCTCAGACATTTTATCTGAGGAATAAATCTGGATGATCTTTTCTAGAGTTTTCTTCCTACCCTCATATTATTCTGTACTTTCGTGAAGGTGCCCAGAATTCAACCTTTTCACTTGCCAAGAATCTTAAAACTATAACGAAATATATCACCTAAACATGATCTACACTTCCCTAATTTTGCCATTGGATCTCAAGTGTTAATTCAAAATTTCACAAGTTATCCTTTCATTTTGTATATTAGCCTGAGTCTATAGATGCAATTAAAAGTTCTTTATGGCTTTTATTTTGATCTGGGAATTGAGTCGATTGCTATCACTCCAACTTGGTGTATACTGTATAAATAAATATACTGTATAAATATTTACTCAAATACCGGTTTTAAAGTGTTAATTCTGCCAAATTAAAAAGTTTTCTTTGTGCTTGTCAGTGATTTATAGTGTGTCTTATCTTTCTTATCTAAGTATCTATGAAAATGAAAAATAAATGGAGGGAAATATTTTTGAAATTATTATGGTTAAATTATATAAGAGTGGAATATAGATTAGAAGATGTTTTTCTCCTATATATGAAGTATTACAGAATGTTAGTACAGGAAATATTTGGGAAAATGTACCACAGTTAGGGACACCACTTAGCACATATCAACATATGTGTCTCTTCTATTCTATGCCTTCTTCCATTAAGGGTACCCTATACCCAGGTCCTGGTGCACATTAAGGGCCCATGACTGTTTGCTGAGTGAGTAAACAATGATCTCTGTCTCTTTTTTTGTAGATATGGCTATTGAGGTAGAGAGAAATTACGTCATTTGCTATTTTGCAACAAAACCAAAATTAGAATCTAGGCCTTCTGACTCATACTGCAGTTGTACTTTTTACATTAAACATATATAAGAATTTTAACATTTGTTAGATATATAATAAAAAAGAACTTCTACATATGAGTGTTTTTGTCCAGTCAGGCTGCTATAACAAAATACCTTAGACTGAGTAACTTACAAAATTTCTCACAATAACGTAGGTTGAGAAGTTCAAGATCAAGGCAATGGCAGTGCGGGGTGAGGGTCCTCACAGACAGTGATTTCTAGTGGTGTACTTACATATGGAAGGGGCAAAGCAGTTCTTTGGGACCACTTTTATAAGAGCACAAATCCCATTCATCAGAGCATCCATCCTCCCAACCTAATCACCATCTAAAAGGCCCCATCTTCCAATACATCTTCTTAAGGATGAAAATTTCAACATTTAAATTTTGGGGGAACACAAACATTGACTATAGCAATAATAATTTTCACTTAGAGACTGAAGACCTTTTTTAAACTCACTACTTCAACTGGAAATGTAACCAATGGCCTAGTAAAGTGGCCAGGGCTTAAATCGCCAGGTTGACTGCTTAGACCTCATTACGTGCTGCTTCTCTATCTTATGTACTCTGTGGGGATGCAGCCTACTTGTTTTGGTAGAGAGCCCTGAGTTCTAATAGAGTCTCTAAAATGCAGTAGTATTCTGGAATTCTATGTGACCTGGTGGATCTGTTCTAAAACTTCAGAACTGAAAAAGACTTACAAGTCGTCTTACCTAACATCTCACCTAACACATGAATTCTTTGTACAGCAGCTCCTACACCAAGCACCCAGGTGTGACTGGAACTCCTCCAGATAATGTGTACTACCTCACAGGGCAGCTTGAAGGAAAGGAAGTCAGTTTTTGTTTTGCAGGGTGTTGGGTTGTTTATTTATTTTTTCTTCTTTTCCCAACTTTATTGACGGTTAAAAATGGTGTATGTTTAAGTTGTACAACTTGATAATTTTATATACATAAACATTGTGAAATACCCTCCATAATCAACCAAATTAACATATCCATCACCTCACCCAGTTACCACTGTGTGGGGTGGGGGGGCGGGGGAGGTTTGAGAGAGAGAAAATGAGAGTGCTTAAGATCTGCCCTAAGCTTTGAAACTAAAAGATATGCATGACTATAGAAAATGTCCTGAACTTTTTCAATCCTCATATTCCTCATTTTTTAAGTGTAGATACTAATATCTACCTCACAGATTATTATGAAGATCAGACAAAATAAATTATATATAGCTCTCTCACACACCAGCACTCAAAATATACTCATTTTCCCCACAGATGCTTTAGCAATAAATTTGGATAACATTTGCTTCTTCTTAGATATATTAGTTTCCCTTTATTTCCTAAGGTCTGTTATAAAAAATTATCACAAACAGAGTCACTTGAAACAACAGAAATTTATTCTCTCACAGTTCTGGAACCTGGAAGTCCTAAATCAACATGTCAGCAAGGCCATGCACTCTCTGAAGCCTCTAGCCAGAGATTGTCCCTTGCGTCTTCCTAGCTTCTGTTGGTTGCCAACGATATTGGCATTCCTTGAAATGTAGACACATCATTCCACTCTTTGCCTCTATCATCACATGTTATTATCCCTGTGTGTTTGTCACAAACTCCTCTTTTCTTACAAAGACCCTAGTCCTATTGGATTTAGGGCCCACTGTAACTCAGTGTGACTCATTTTAACTGATTATATCCACAAATGTCAGTTCCCAAATAATGTCACATGCAGAGGTTCCGGGTAGACATGAATTTTGGGGAGGACATGATTCCACTCAGCACACTAGAGTTGTTATTACAGTTAAATAAAATATTATATAAACTGTAAAGTACAAGTAGATTCCACTTCTCACATTTCCAATTGTTAGGTACCTTGGAGATATTGCAGGTTCAGTTCCAGACCACCTCAGTGAAGTGAATATTGCAATAAAAAAAGCCATTCAAATTGTTTGGTTGCCCAGTGCATAAAAAAGTTATGTTTACATTATACTATCGGCTACTAAATATGTGATAGCTTTACGTCTAAAAAATGTACATACCTTAATTTAAAAATAGTTTATTGCTAAAAATGCTAATGATCATCTGAGCCTTAAGAGAGTCAAAATCTTTCGCCTGGTGGAGGGTCTTGCCTCCATGTTGGTGGCTGCTGACTTATCGGGATGGTGGTTGCTGAAGGCTGGGGTGGCAGTGGCAATCTCTTAAAATAAGACGACAATTAACTTCTCTGCATTGACTGACTCCTTCATGAAAGATTTCTCCTTAGCATATAATGCTGTTTGACAGTATTTTACCCCAGTAAAACTTCTTTCAAAGTTGGAGTCAGTCCTCTCATACCCCACCACTGCTTTATTAACTAAGTTTATAGAATATTCTAAATCCTTTGTTGCCATTTCAACAAGGTTCATAGCACCTTATCAGGAGTAGATTCCATCTCAAGAAGTCATGTCATTTGCCCATCCATAAGAGGCAACTTCTTATTCATTCAAGTTTCATTATGAGATTGCAGCAATTAAGTCCCATCTTCAGGCTCCACTTCTAATTCTACTTCTCTTACTAGTTCCATCACATCTGCAGTTAATTCCTCCAATGAAGTTTTGAACCCCTCCAAGTCATCCCTGAGAGTTGTAATCAACTTCTTCCAGATTCCTATTCATGTTGATATTTTGACCTCTTCCCATAAATCACAAATGTTGTTAATGGTATGTAGAATGATGAATTTTTTCCAGAAGATTTGTCGCTTACTGTGCCCAGATCCATCATGGAAATCACTATCTAGGGCAGCTATAGCCTTATGAGATATATTTCTTAAACAATATTTGAAATATGTATGTCCTAAAATATGTATTTCTTAAATAATATTTTAAAAAATACTTGATGTATTATTTAACACTTGAATGTCAAAATTACTCTTTGATCCATGGGCTGCAGAATAAATGCTGTGTTGGCAGGCATAAAAAGAACATTACTATCATGTACATCTCCATTACAGCTCTTAGGTAAGCAGATGCATTGTCAATAAGCAGTAATACTTTGAATAAAATCTTTTATTTTGAGCAGTAGTTCTCAAAAATAGGCTTAAAATATTCAGTAAACCATTCTGTAAACAGATGTGTTGTCATTGAGGCTTTGTTACTTCATTTATCAGACACAGGCAGAGTAGATTTAGCACAATTTATAAGGGCCCTAGGATTTTTTTGAATGGTAAATTTGCATGGGCATCAGTATAAGGTCACCAGCTGCATTCGTCTCTAACAAGAGAGTCAGCTTGTCCTTTGAAGTTTTGAAGCCAGGCATTAACTTCTCTTCTCTAGCTATGAAAGTCCTAGAGGCCATCTTCTTCCAATAGAAGGCTGTTTTGTCTACATCAAAAATCTGTTGTTTACTGTAGTCACCTTCCTGAATGATCTTAGCTAAGTCTTCTTGATAACTTCCTGTTTCACCTTACACTTTCGTGAAACATATGGAGATAGCTACTTTCCTTAAACCTCATAAACCAGCTTCCACTAGTTTCAAACTTTTCTTCTGAAGCTTTCTCACTTTTCTCAGGTTTTATAAAATTGAAGAGAGTTAGGACCTTGTTCTAGGTTCAGCTTTGGCTTAAATAAATGTGGTCTATACAGACCTCTAAAACTATCTCCATACCAGCAATAAGTCTCTTTTGTTTTCTTATCATTCATATGTTCCCTGGAGAAGCACTTTTAATTTCCTTTGAGAACTTTTTCTTTGAATTTACGATTTGGCTGTTGGGTTCAAGAGGCCTAGCTTTCAGCCTATCTTGGCTTTTGACATGCCTTCCTTACTAAGCTTAATTATATGTAGCTTTTCATTTAAAGTGAGAGACAGGCTGGGTTCAGTGACTCACGCCTATAATCCCAGCACTTTGGGAGGCCGGGGCAGGAGAATCACTTGAGTCCAAGAGTTCAAGACCAGCCTAGGCAAGATGGTGAGCCCCCATCTCTACAAAAAAAAAAAGAAAAAATTGCTTTTAAATAGCCAGGCATAGTGGTGCATACCTGTGGTCCCAACTACGTGGGAGACTGAGGTGGGAGAATCACTTGAGCCCAGGAAGTCAAGGCTACAGTGAGCCATCTTCATGTCATTGGACTCCAGCCTGGTGACAGAGTGAGACCCTGTCTCAAAAAAATAAAGTGAGAGATGTGTAATTCTTTCTTTCACTTGAACCCTTAGGGGCTATTGTTGGGCTATTAATTGGCTTAATTTCAATATTGTTGTATCTCAGAAAATAGGGAGGTCTGCGGAGAATGAGAGAGGCCAACAGTTGGTCAGTGGAGCAGTCAGAACATACACAACATTGATCAATGAATCTCACCATCTTATATGGTCATAGTTTATGGTGCCCAAAACAATTATAATAGTTACATCAAAGATTACTGATCACAAATCACCAAAACAGATATAATAATTAAAAAGTTTGAAATATTGTGAGAATTACCAAAATGTGACACAGAGACATAAGGTGAGCAAATGCTGTTGGAAAAATGGTGCCAATAGACTTGCTTGACAAAGGGTTGCCACAAACCTTCAATGTGTAAAAATGACAATGCCCAATAAAGTGAAGTACAATAAAATGAGGCATGACTCTGTGTGTGTGTGTGTATGTGTGTGTATACATTATACACACATTACGCATTCAATAATTACTTTCTATCATAATAAAGTAAATTATTTACCAGTTAGATAGAGGCAAAATGAGGTCATTCCTATCTCCATATAATAAAGTTATAAGATAATACATAAAAGGGTTTATGTCTTGTATTGCATTTCAATATATAACATTAATTCATTTTAGAAAGTCTATAGTCATCAGATGTACGAGGTTAGGAATTCCAATGTGTTGAGCATCAAATTTAATTTTCTATTTGCTCATGCTGATGATTGAATTACATGGATGTGAAGGCTATTGTGCCCTTGAGACAAAGTTTAACAGTCCACTTAAACAGTTTTTTAATAGAAACTTCTAAGGAATGTTGATTCTGTCACAATGTAACAGCAGATATATATTTAGTTCAATGATTATCTACATATAAATATTTAAATAAAAAGGGATGGCATTAGTCATCTTTTATAATCCATAAGTTGGGTAATATAATGAAATCTTAGAATGGTTCACTTATTCTCAACTTGTGAACATTTTAAGTATTAGTATTTAAATTAATATTAGCAGAACAATTGAGTTAGGTGAAGTCTTTTCTTCATAGTAACCTGTAGCAAGTCAATCAATGTCACTTAAATTGCTGCAGTTGGACTCCCAATAGCATATAATTTTCACTGAGTGGTACTGGGTAAAATACACCTCAAATACTATAATCAATCCTAGGAGAGAACAAAACCAAGACTTATTTTGCAGACAAGATGTGATAACAAGAGTACTTCAAGCTTCCTGCATAGAAATATAGAAATTCATATAAATAGTAGAAGGACTACATTTTTATCATGAGCTATAACACTTTTACTTTGAATTGAAGACACATTGGGGTTGTATTTATGATATAAATATCATATAAGAAAATGAGAACTTTTTTGATTATCTAAAAAGAGAGTGAGGAAGACATCTAAAAAAAGTTAAATCTCTTTAAGTTTTCATTCTCTAAAATAAAAGAAACATTTTTATGTTCACAATTCCCTCTCTACAATGAGTTTATCAGGCCTGTAAAGCTACACTAATTTAATAGATACAGGTGGTATCATTCGCATGGCCATTTACCCCAGCCTAAAATTCTCATTACTGTCACCTGAAACTACAATTGATTTCTAACTGTTCTTGCGGCTATAACCTTTCCCCTTTGGAGTCCAAGTTTCAGATTAACCTTCCTCTAGCATGGCTTTCATCATGCCATTCCTTTGAAGAAAAATCTGCTTGTACTCTCATCACATTCAAGTCATCCTTGCCTCATTCCAACACATCTGAAATCTGATCACAGCCAGTCTCTTCAGTTTTATTTCCCATGTCTTCCCCTCAAAACCAGACAATCCAGATTTTCCCTTCTGTAGAGACAGTCTACACATTCCAATGTCTCTGCCTCTGCTCTGATTATGCTACATGAATTGACCTTTCTCCATCCAAACCTTTTTCAGACCCATTCAAACATCCTTTCCTTCATGACGCTTATCTGATTCGACTCTCTTCCTTACAACTCCTTCCAACTACAAGTGTATCTGTTACAGTGTTTAGCACATTCTGGTTTATCTTTACTGCTTATCTTTCTCCCTTACTGATCTTTCTTGTACAGTTCATAAGGAGAAGTCATGCTTGTATCACATTTGAATCATCCCCAGCAAGTAGTGGAACACCTACATGAATTAATTCAAATGAGTTTTTCATGTGATTTTTTTAAATGAAAATTCCACGGGAGATTACCATCTCAGAGAGAAAACTAATTTAAGACTCCTTCACAGATTATCAGATGAGGATGTGGAATCAAAGAAGTTTGAATTGTTATAAATGTATCTGCTCTCAGGAGGCAGATGAAGGGAAATTGTATACGGTAAGTTCTTAAATAAATACTATTGGAAGTTTCTTTAAAATAAAACCTGTATGTTCACCTTCACTTAGTAATCATAGACCATATTTCTGTATCTTCCTTATATTCATTGTTTTCTTTGGCAGATGTTGCTATAAAATACAAAATGAAGTTGAGATTTGGAAAATTTTAGGTTTATTTGATTGGTATCACAAGTTGACTTTCAGGGTGGGAAAAAAAAAAGAAAGAATCTGCTTTAGATACAATTCCAAATAAGACAATATAAAAAGAAGTAAGAATAACCAATCTTTCTCCCATTACTTATTTGTGAGACATAGAGAAGAATCTAAAATAAAGCCAGAGTTAATGAAATGCTTTTAAAGTATGTTGGAATGTTTGAATACAGTCCCTATAAAATACAAGTTGCACTTCTTGTCACCTGGCCTTCACTCAAACACTTCTCATTTTGTTAAACTCTCTTTTCAGCTGAACCGCCTGATGATAGAAAATACAACTTTACATTCTGCCAGTGGAATTGCTTGGCACCAGAATTCTAGCTGGATATTCCCCTGTGGGAATCTCACTTTTTGTATGCATTGTTAAGCATCTTACTTTGTATTTAGATAAAGCTTTTATTTCACGACTGCTTCGTTTCTCTTCTTTATGAAATCCAGGTAGTGTAAATCAGCTCTTTTGACTTGTACATTTAATTAGAACAGCAGATAAGAAAAGGTATTAATAAAATCCTCCTTCTATTAAAATAGAGGTCAACAGTGGCATATTACTACTCCATAGAGAATATAACCAAATTTAAAGTGGGGAGCTGTTTGGCAGATATTAGGCTCTGGAGAACAATCAAACTCCTGTAAACTTCCTTGAAAAAAATCTCATTATATAACAGAAAATGTAGAATGAGAAAGCGTTTTTAGATTTAAACTAATTAGATTATGTCTTGATGTTTGCCTCTATTACTCATAAAAATGGTTATCCATAAAAAACCTAATTGCTTTCTTCTTATTGCATCTTATACTATTTATTTGTTTGGAGGACTTTTTAAGAATTTTCTTTTGCTGTTTAGGTACATTTGGTTTCTCCTTGATTACTAGCAGCTGCCCAGGACATTAACATGAAGTCTCCGGCCTCAGGTCAGTGAGTTGCCAACCTACCACATTACCATCCTTGGAGCAAACACTGGGCAATTTTAATTCACTCTAAGATCATAAGAGTGAAGTGACTACCAAAAAACAATCAAATTAACTGGAGAATAATGTCCAACCCTAAAGGGATAACATTCTCCTTTGGTTATATCCCAACCTTGATTTTGCACAGTTCCAGATACCATTTTTTGACTATTAATTCAATAAAGCACCATTGTTTAGCATTCCTTGTTTCCTATTATTCAGTTCTTCATTCCTGTTCCTTGGGCTCACTCCTCAAAATAATCAGCACCTAATTCTTTGTCTCAAGTTTTCTATTAGGAAGAACTATGCTAAGACAAATACTGAATATGCCACAAGGGGATATTGTGTACTGAACTTTATAATTTATTTTTCCATAAAGCTGTTTTTTCTTTTGTTGAGACAGGATCTCACTCCGTTGCTCAGGCTGGAGTGCAGTGGTGCAATCATGGCTCACTGCAGCCTCGAACTCCTGGGCTCAAGCACTATTTTTTAAAAGAACGTCTCATCTCAGGTGTTACAAAGAATACATTAAGGGAAACAAAGAGCCAGAATGAGCTGTTCCAATACAAAATAAAATCCAGTTCCTTGTTTTGACTCCTCACAAGAAAATGTGAGGCAGAAATATGACCTCTATAACCTGGTCCCAAGTTCTCTCTTCAAACTCAGACCGTATCCCTCTGTTTCCCACTTCTTTACTCCAGTATTTCTGTTCTTCTTTATCTTTAAACATGCCATACATGTTCCTACCTCTGAATTTTTCCCATCCTGTTCCCTGGACTAGCAACAGATAATTGTCCGGATCATGGCATGACTCATTTTTTCACTTAATTCAGGTCTCCATCTAAATGTCACCTCAGCACGAATGCCTACCACAGTATCTAAAATATCACCTCCAGTCACTTTCTTTTATACAGTTTTATTTTTGTTCAAAGCCCTTCTCACTATTTGAAAACACTCATCACTCTCTTGTTTACGGGTTGCCTTCCCCCATTAGAATGCGAGCTTCAGAAGGGCAGAGCTTCTGTTCACTGCCTATTACCAACACCTGGGAAAATCTGTGTGTCTTTGAAAATGTGTGTGTGCTCTTCCTCATTCTTATTTTTCTCATTTTTTTATAGAGCAGGGAAAATGCAATCCCAAACCATTTTGGAAAACACTGCTCTCTATTCCTTAGCAATTTCCTTAGCATACCATACTGCCTTCACTTATCTTTCTTTGCCTCTTTGGTTTTTCCTCCTCACATTCACCTGGAGAATTGTCAGTCCCACTTCAACACTCAGATTCAGCATCATCTCTCCATGAAACCACGCCCATGGCCCACCCAGGTGGATGCTCTGCCCTGTGTGTCCTTTGCTCTGTGTGCTCACTTATCTTAAGGCATGTCACTTTATACTATAAAGGCTTGATTGTCAGGTGCGGTGGCTCATGCCTATAGTCCCAGCAATTTGTGAGGCCAAGGTGGGTGGATCACCTGAGGTTGGGAGTTCGAGACCAGCCTGACCAACATGGAGAAACCCCGTCTCTACTAAAAGTACAAAATTAGCCGGGAGTGGTGGCGCATGCCTGTAATCCCAGCTACTCGGGAGGCTGAGGCAGGAGAATCGCTTGAATCCAGGAGGCAGAGGTTGTGGTGAGCCGAGATCGTGCCATTGCACTCCAGTCTGGGGAACAAGAGTGAAACTCTGTCTCAAAAAAAAAAAAAAAAAAAAAAGCTTGATTATATGTCTGTGTCCCCTCCTGACTCTGAGTTCCTTGAGGACAATGACTCTGTCCTTTATCACTCACAACATCTTTAGTACTTATCAACCTGAATAAAGACACTAGAAAAAATTAATTCTCAATATGTTGGGTTTACTCAAGAATTAGGAAAAAGTATTATAATCCAGACACCATTACCGGGCAAGTGTTCTTCCATACACGTCTTATCCGAATTACTGCAGTGCTAAAGAATGTCTAGTGGTAAATTTCATCAAAGCAGAAGATGTGTGAAGGACATGAAAGGGTTTCTTGAGGGATATTTTACAAGTCCTTGGAAACAGCTCTCATCTCAGATATGCATGAGCCTTCTCTCTTCGTGCCTTCCTGACCCTATTTTGTCTGAATCTCACAAAAGTGATTTCATCCTGGTATATGCAACTTTCACAGTACATAGAACAGTGCCTCCCTCAAATATTTTTCACCACCACCATCCTAGTCTGACACATTGCATGCTGAGTGGAATATTTTTGAAGCTGCTATGTTTTCTTTCCTTACCAGACTTCCTAAGTTATGTCTCTGTCAAATGCGGTCTGTCTCATAGGATCTTTAATGTTACAATTGTCTTTTTTTTTTTAATTCTGTTTTCATACTTTAAGTAAAATGAGCTGTAAATAATACAGCATATTAATGGACGGACTTAACAGCATTTTTATATGATCACTTTGTGCCACCTCTGGGGTTTCTTTATAGCAGGGACTGTACCAACTCAAAGAAGCTTGCAGTTTTGGAAGCTAGAAGCCCCTCCACTTTGCTCACTGCAGCCAGTGCAGTCTTGTACAAATGTGAATCTGACAGGGTCACACACTCTTACTAGCTACACTGCTTCCCTTCACAGCCTTTGCCAGTGCAATTCTCTTTCTGGAAATGCTCTTTCTTCCCTTGCTTCTTCCCTTGACACATCTCTACTGATTTTCCAATTTCACTCAGTAACTATTACCCCTCTATTATACACCTTTACAGCACCAACCACCTCTCTTTCAGGCATACTTCACATTTGTAATTTTACTTTGATCATACGATTAATGTCTGTTTCTCCCTACAAAGGTGAGCTCCCAAAGGAAAGAGACTGTTGTTTTTATTCCCCTAGCACAGGGCAAGGCACATATAAGTAGTCAATAAATATTCTTAGCATAAATGAATGAATACCCACACAAAACTGTGTGGGCATTCATAACCTAACCAAGTTTCCAATATACAACGTAAGGGTTGCTAAGGAAAAAGAACCCTTTTCAGTCAGCCCGAGAGGATTTTGGTTTCTAAAGTAGCCTTAAATTCTTATAGAGTTTAAAAAAGAAGTAGCTTTTTGAACCTGATCATTTTTAGAATGCTAGCCTAGGCTGTAAGTCAAAGGGAGAAAGCTTTATGTTCACAAACCCCAAGGGGTTAAGGGCACGATCCAGGGAACCTGGAAGAAAAGCCAGCCACTGAAGCATGAAAAACCAGGTGTAAAAGAACTTTCAATTCAGGTCCACTTGTTAGGAATTCTAAGTTTTACAGTCCTTGATCCTCCCTGTATCAGATTACTTTGTAACTCAATTGTTTCCTCAACTCAAAAGAACTTGATCTTACTTTTTTTTTTTATTCAGGTGTTGAGTGAACTGAAAGATAGAGAATAAAGAGATTAATTAAAGTGAGATAGCAATGGTCAAGTTCACTCTCTGCTGAGTGTATCACCCTCATCTTAAATCTTCTTAAACCACACACAATTAATGTGAAAGCCTGAGGGCACTTGCATGGAAAGGATAATGGGCTGAATCTTTAAATGATATAAAGTTCTTAATCCAAAGTCTCTCTGCTTTATTGGTTTATGTTAACACTTTACTGATTAATCTTGTGATGACTGAAGCTGTTTCTATTCAGGGAAATCAAATTGACGGTTTGATCTATTCTATTTTTAGTCATTTTAAATTCTCGGTCACCACACAATTGATTGAATTGACTGAACTATAATCTAAATCTTAAAACTGCAGAAAATACCAGATTGGTCATGATGTAATCCAATAAATATTACAGAAGTCACTAGTTTCTATAACATTTTCTAAATATTTTTATAAGTAGTTGCAGACAAGATACATATACAACTGTAGAAGACTAATTTGTAAATTACCACATGTACAACTATGAGAGACTGGTCTGTAAATTACAGTATTTCCATACAAGTGCTATTCTGATGCTACCTATAAAATAATGTTTTTAGAGACAAGTTAGTGACAATCTCACACAATAAGGAAAAAGGCAGGAGACAAAACTATATAAAAAATATAAGTCGACTTTTTGTGGGAGAAAAAATATATAGGAAATGTATATTTGTATATATTCCTGTGTATAAACACATGCAGGAAATATATATGTGAAAAGAGACTATATATGTGAAAACAGGAGATACATTTATTATATATGTATGTTTATGTGGGTGTGTATATATTATGTATATGTATATTATGTATAATATATACACACCCACACAAATACACATATATAATATATACATTATATATACCCACACAAATATACATATTTATATGTATATGAAATATGAGGGAATGGTAAAGAGATAATTATAAAGGCATTTTTTCTTCCATCTTCATACTTTTTCCTGTGTTTTCCAAGTAGCCTATACATTTTAATAATTAGAAGAAATCAACATTTTTAAAAATTAGATTTATGGCTTTCAATGAAGAAAATCATCTTCAGAAGTTTCTCATAATTTGGGGTAGTCTTGTTGTAGAGAAATGGGGAGGAAGAAAAAGATATACCACCCACAATCTCCTGCCACTACTAAAATCGTCTCTCTCTCTCCACCCTCCACCACACACACAATGATGCTACTGTAGGCTCAATGCCTTGACATCTAAAAGCTATGCTGTGTCACTATCTGTAACTGCAACACTCTAACCATGTATTTTTAGCTGCTGATAACCTAGAACTGATGTATCATTTGAAACTAGCAAAAAGCCCCTTTATTTTTTACTCTAAAGGCTTCTGGAAACCAAGACACCGTGGGACCTCCATTAATTGTGGATGAAGAAAAGGCACAGGAGAGAAAATTTAAAAAGACCTGTGTAGCTCCTCACGTAGCAAAGCCTACCTTATTGTGAAGCCTGCATCTGTGGAAGGGGATTTTCTACAAAGACCATCCTCCCCAAGGATGGGAGAAGCCAGCCTATATGACGTGGCCTGGCACTGTGAGGGTTCACACAGAGAATCTTCTCACTCAGCCTCTTCCCAGGGCTGCAAACACTTTTAGGGAATCCATGATGAATTAAAGAGAAAATTGAATTGATCCTGAGGACATTCTGCAGGGCAGGCTACAACGTTTGCAGGGCCCAGAATACAATGAAATTGTGGGTCTTCTTGTTCAAAAGTAGAAAAAAAGTGCTACTAATGATGCTAAAGTATAAAGCTTTTGCTTTTCTTCCTTTTCTCTTGGTTTGTCATGGTGTTTTGTTTGCTGTTGAATGTCATTCAAATTTTTTAAAAAAATAAGTTTTCAATTATTAGCATGAATTTTACCATTCCTCTTTATATTGCATAATCCCTATTTCAAATACAAATACATGAGCATTCAAACTCATGCAGAATCCACCAAAATTACCATAGCTAGTGCATGCACAGGCATGTTGTTCTTAGCAAAACAGTGGAAATACTGCACAAAATTAATTCAGCTATTTTTATTTCACTTCTTGATATGTGCACATTCTACCAACACTCTACTTTTAGCTCACTAAGGAGTAGAGACAGAGTGATAGGGAAACTATAGGCTGCCCTATTTCCCATTCCGTCTGTGTCATTTTCAGGCTGTGTGGTTGTCTAATACAGGGAAGTAACTCAAGTAAGTAAGGAAATGATAGGGTTCCTTGCTTATTCATGTGTCCTAGAGCACCATTTCCTTCTTTTTACATTTAAAGCAAATTCTGGCTTAAATAGAAAGCTTAGCATCTCAGGGCTATCAGTTCACCTGCTTGCACAGTCATAGATACAACATGCTTACCTTGTACTCGCCTAACATCCACACATGGTGGGCCCACAAGAATTCTGTGCTCATGGGACATCAGAAACACTGATGTACAGTAGCAAATACAGTAGCCAGAAAGGTAAGCATATATTTTGTGCTTATCTCCTCTGCCTACACATATACTCCACTGTCCCATCAAACTTATCTTACAGAACACAAGTTTAAAGATAAAACTGTTAAGAATGTCAAAATAACAATGAGCATTAAATCAATTTCAGGGCCCTTCTGATCACAGGTCCTTTTTGGCTATACAGACTGCACATCTATGACCCAGCCCTGACATACTGCTTTGGGTTTTAGCCATAGCACTTTCAAGCCTCCTCAGCAGCCTGATGTCTACTTAACTAATTAATGAAATTAAGTTTGCCAGACCCAGGGACAAACAGCAGGACATGTGCACCCTGAAATCTACAAAAAAAGAAAGTGGAACAAACTCTCACCAAATAAGGAAGCTAACCATAATGATCTGATATTTACGTAAGGTTATAAGATTGACTATTCAGCAAAATCCTACTTTACAATTCACGAATTAAGCCAGTAGCGGAAGAGTGATTAGAGAGCAGCAAAGAAGAAAAGTTTGCTCACTGATTATTTCAGATGCAGTTCCTGAGATTGACTGGGACACTAATTGGAGAATCATTAAGTGCAAAGGTACAGTCTTACATATATCAATGGTCTGTTTTCTTTCTGGTTGACAGAAATGAACAATTCCAGGAATCATGCTGAACACTGTAATCTGATAATTAAGGAAGAGCTCAGTGGAGCAACGAAAGGAAACAGGAAAATTAAATTTAAAAAGAAGCCGATGAAGAGCCAGGCACCAACTGACTCAAAATTGTCCATTTAACATGTTCTTAAAGAGAAACTGAAAATGCTCTTTATAAACAAGATTTAGTGGTATCAAAAGAGAGCAGCTTTTCTGTAAAATAATACCAATGTTGCCAAGGCAATGCATTTCTTAACCAAGCAAGTTAATATTGCTTCTGCCTACTGCTTGGCTTCAAAACAAGCAAGGCCAGTCTTATACAGTGATCAAATCCAGTGCACTTTAAGTGAATTGTGTAGATGTACTCTGTAGCCATCCACATATATAAGGTGACTCTCATATCAATAAATTGGTAAAGTAAGATTAACCAGAAGTTTTCTGCTGGACACTGATTTGGTATAATTTCTATAATTTAAAATTTCTACAGTTTCTCAGTTTGGCCATTTTTCTAGTGCCCCAATCCTCCTCTAGCCTGAGGTCCCAATAAAAACCAGAGTTTATGGACTCTCTCCTAAAAAACTATCTTCACCTGAGCTGCATTCTGTTACTCATGCCTTCCGGTGTAATTCAGTCTCCAATATTCACATGTGGGCCAATCTCCATTGGTCAAACGCCACTTGCGTGAGTTACAAATTGGACACCACCATATACCTCTAACTATATTTCCATTGCCATTATCACCAGATTAGAACTCTGGATTCAGTTGGCCCAACTCTGAAATCATTCCTGATATTATAACTTGGACAACCCAGCTCGCAATTCTAAAATCATTCTTTATCAACTCCTGCGTTTTCCTCAGACCTTTAATCCACTAGTTATTGTCATTTAAAACTGGCTCATTCTCTTCTGTTGGCACCAAGTTGTTGAGAACTTAGCAAATCTCCAGCTTAAGTTTATCTGAGATGCTAACTTAGTTTCGAGGTCACTCCAATGTGGCACCCCAGCATCTGTCATATAACCCTGTTCCTATCCCAAATCCTAACTCCGGAATTGGGGAGCGCTCTCCTCTCTCATAAATACTTCTTGTGCAGTCAACCTCTGTGCCTTTCTATTCCATTGTAAATAGGAAGAGAAAAAATAGTACAACTGTAAGAACTGAGAATTATTACAAAGGTTCTTTATCTCAAAAATTATTCCAATCCAAGTGCCAAAATACTTACAATATCACATTGTAATTAAACTCAATTCAACATAAATTTCTTTAGTCACTAACTAAAAAAGACACTATGGATGACTCTACACTTATTAAAGACAAATAAGGCATAGTTCCCGCCCTTGAGGAGCTGACAGTTCAGTTAGAAAGAAATAACATATATTAGACTATATTTTGGTTACTTTTATGTATGTGCATAATAGAAATATTGATGAAATGCTATGAAAATATAGATTAAAGATAATTTTCTTTGGGTTAATCTTTGCTCTCTTCCAGACATTATTTTATTCAAATTATTTCAAGAGGTAATATACCAGTCATTAGAGCTATCAAGACCCTCACTCTCCTCCAAGCTGTGTAGTAGAAGGTGATAAGAGTCCTGGGAAATATTAAAGCAAAATAAGAGGCATTCATAAAATATTCATTAATGTATTCATTCATGCATTCAATATTTATAAATCATCAATTCTGTGACAAGTACTCTACAAAATACTGTGCAGGATGAGAAGTTCTATGAGGCATAGTAAATGTCTTCAAAGGTAACTCATGTTACGTTTTCCTTGATGTTAAGAAGCCAAGTTGAGACTTTTGTAATTTAGAGTTTAATAGCTCAAATTTTAATATTTCAGGCCTTCATCCATATTCTATTGTACAACAAATTCTTATAGGTCTAAAGGAGCATTACACATTTTATTCAATTGAGTCATCTATATTCCTGCTTATTCCTCCTGTAGGTAGTTGCTCAGCTTCATTACTCCAATAACTTTTTTTTAAGAAAAGAAAAAAAACATTGATTGCTTAGACCTGTATTTCACAAACAGGAGCTACAGCTGCTTACATCAGAAAGAATCACTTGGGTTACTTATAAAAATGCAGAAAATCTGACTCAGAATCTCTGAGGTTGAAGGCCAGAAATCTGCATTTTTAATAAATGCACAAATGATTCTGATTAACAGTGAAGTCTGAGAGCTTCTATTCTGATACATCTTTACCTTCGCCTTATACTCTTGAGGACATAGGTCTTTCTATTTTTAAATACTCTTCTATCTCCTAGACTTCATATCTCAGCTCAGCTATCCCTTTGATAAACAGACTTTCTCTAACTACCCCAAATTAACCAGGTGTCACTCAATATTCTTCTTTTATAAAACCCAGTTCCTTTCTATCAAATAACTGATCACATTATTATACATTTGCAGATATTCTGCTTGAAACATAGTTCTGCCACTCTAAGCTGCATAAGGGCAGAGACCGTATCTATTTACTTTGCCATTATATATTATCTCTTAGCACAGGGCTTGGTACAGAGTAGATGCCTAATAAATTATTCAGTGAATGAGAAAAAAAAATGGATAGTAATTACCTTCACACACATGAAGACGGAACAAAAACACTATATAAAATAATATGCAGAATATGTAACAAGTTAATATATGGTCAATTCTATACAAGTCATAAATCCTTTAAGAATTTAGGAGGAGAGAATCAACGTGCGCTAATGTGGTCAGGAAAGTCTTACAAGATGAAATGAAAGCTTAGCTGGGCCCTAGATAGTAATTAAAATCTGCAAAGAGTGAGAGAAAGACAGAATTCATAGACAAAAGTTCAGAGGCCAGAATCACAATGTCTCAGTTAAATTAACCCAAGATTTATTCCAATTCAGCACATTCTGTTTATAGATAAATGTGGTAAGGAATTTTTTATTTTGATTGATTTCCTTGTCCTTGGAGGAACAGTCCATAGAAAAGCAATATTCTAAATTTCTCATGGTTTTATTGATCCCACCACCAATTCCTAGAAATAATAACTCTGTGAGTTTCAAAGTATAAAGAGGTTAAAAGAGCATCAAAATGATATCAGATATCCAATCAGACATTACAAAACCTGGCAGAAGTGATGTAAATATTGAAACAAAATGTACATCCAACGTATCAGGGAATCAAATCAGAATGTAAAAAAGTTGATGCCTCCAATACAAATCAGTAATCTGGATATCAATCTTCCCCATATTTGAAAAACGTGAGTGGCCAGTCTACTTTTATTTCCATTCCCATTGTTTTCCTTTACAAATGCAAAGAAAAAAGGAATTTCTAAAAAACATTTTCAATTAAATGATCAGTCTACTAAACAGTCTCAACTTGAAGAGATGCAAATATAAAATGGTTTTCTTCTCCTGTTTGTTACCAAACACATTTTATAAGTTCTCCCTTTACGTAGCATTTATGTCACTTTCAGACATTAAAAGAAGTCTTATGCATTATCACTGTAAGTCCTTTCATACATGCACACATATTATTTTTAACTAGGAAATTATTCAATTTTAGAAAAAAGATCAATTAAAATTGCTCACAAAGCTTCTGCCACATTAAAATCAGTAAGTTGGTCTTGCCCTCCCTCTGTAACAGCCAGAACACTGGTGGGAAGAGAGGATGTATAAAAATATATAAAACAACTGCTCTAGGGAATTGAACGCTATGATCTCTGACAGAAGGAAAATACGTGAGATAGGCTTTTCAATCTTCCTGGGTTTTGGCCTGAAGGAACATCATGACCCACAGCACATGGTGGGGAAACTGAGCACAGCCTGGGGATCTCACTGAACTCACTAGGCAGAGATCAAGGTTTGGGTTTGCTGAGGCCACCGGAATTTGCCAGGCAAAATACAAAAAGGAATAAGATACAGAGAGGGAGACTTCCAGAAACTTTCATGGGGTTTGGGGGGGGTCCTACAATCTGTTTCTAAATACTAAGCTGTGAAACATAGGATTGGATTTCAAAGGCCAAGCAAAGAGCCAATAGAGAGCTATAAAATGAACAATTCCCAGAGATCAAACTGGACTGGAAGGCACTCAAGTATTAATCAGCCAGAATGGAGAAACCTCTTCAGAGTACAGTAGAAGTAAAGCTAAACTAAGAAAGCATACTCTAGATAGAAATGAAAAATTCACTGAACAAACTTAATAGGAGATTCAACAAGGCTAAAAAGAAATCAGTACATATGACCACATAGCAATAGAAAATATCCAAACCGAAGCACAGAGAGGAAATGGCTAAAGGGGAAATAAACAAATCCATGGTGACCTTTGGGACAATTTTAAATGGTCTAACATATGTGTACTTGAAATGATGAAAGGGATATAAGCAGGAAAATATATGTGAAGGAATAATACCCAGAGACTTTCCATATTTTAAGAAAACTATAAATCTGCATATCCAAGAAATTCAGTCATTCAAAAGCAAGAAAAAAATGAAGTATGAAGTAAACTACATCAAGGTAGTAAGGCATAATAAAAAAGAGCAAACCTCAAAGCAATTACAGAAAAAAAGGCATATTCCATGCACATGAAAAAAGACAAGAATGACTAGGGACTTGTTAAAAAATAATGCTAGCCAGAGGAAAATAGAACATCTTCAAAGTGCCATCAAAACACACAAAAATAAATTGTTATCATAGAATTTAAAAATCAGCAAAAGAAATATTAAGAAAAAAGTCATTTTCAGACAAATAAAAGCTGAAATACGTGTCGCCTGCAAATATGCACTTCAAGGAATGCAAAAAATGTTATTTGGAAAGAAAAAATAATGATTTCAAATGGAAATTTTGATCTGCATAAAGCATGAAGAGCTTCAGAAATGTTAATTATGTATGTGAATATAAATGACATCTTATTCACATGTTTTAACTTATTTAAAAGATAAATAATGAAGAAATAGTAAACTATTACAGGACTATAATATATGTAGAAATAAAAGGTAAGACAAAAATTACATAAAGGATGGAAGATGAAATTAGAAGTAAACTTTCTTAAGGTTCTTACAATATATGTGAAGTATTATTTTGAGATAGCTTCTAATAAGATGAAGAAGCTAATTGTAAATCCAAAAACAATTAATTTTTAAAAATGAAATAAAGGCCTGTAACATAATTCAATAATGAATATAAAATGAAATACAAAAACTACTCAATTCAAAAAAGGCAGGAAAACAGGGACAAAGGAGCAACAACAAAAAGCAATGGTACAAATAGAAAATAAATATTATTGTACACTTAAACTCAGCTATATCAAATTTTACACTAAATATAAGTAGACCAAACGCACCAATTAAAAGGTAAAAATTATTAGACTGGGTCAAAAGCAAGACCAAGATATTTGCCTGTCTACAAGAAATGCTTTTTAAATTCAAAGATGTACATAGATTAAAAGTAAAAGGGTGAACAAGGGTATTCCCACAAAAACGCTAATCATAAGAAATCAAGAGTGGTTATATTAATGTCAGACAAAGAAAGTCGTTTTTTGTTTTTGAAATGAAGTCTCACATTGTTGCCCAGGCTGGAGTGTGGTGGCGTGATCTCAGCTCACTGCAACTTCTGTCTCCCGGGTTCAAATGATTCTCGTGGCTCAGCCTCCCAAACAGCTGGCATTACAGGCATGCACCACCACACCTAGCTAATTTTTGTATTTTTAGTAGATACAGGTTATCACCATATTGGCCAGGCTGGTCTCGAACTCCTGACCTCACGTGATCCACCTGCCTAGGCCTCCCAAAGTGCTGGGATTACAGGCATGAGTCACTGCTCCTAGCTAAAAGAAACATTTTAGAACAAAAAAATTTACCAGGAATAAAAAAGAGAAATTCCACAGCAATAAAAGGGGTAGGCAGGTTAGCAAGAGGACATAATTTGTACCATTTCTGAATGGAAATTTAAACACTTTTTCTCTCGGTAATTGTTAGAAATACCAAATTTTAAAAAATCATTAAATACAAAGAAGAATTGAATGACACTTTTAAGTAATGTGACCTAATTGGCATTCATAGAATATCTTTTCCCAACAATAGTTCAAATACGTATGTAACATTCACCAAGATAGGTCGATCATCTTCTGGACCATAAAAGCAGTTTCAATAAATAAAAAGACTAAACTCACACAGAACAGGTTCTCTAGGTATATATAATTAAGTGAAAAATCAATGTTTATATCTTCATGGAATAGTGCCAAATACTTTGAAAATTAACAACCTTCTTCTAAATGACCCAGGGGTCAAAGAAGAATTCATAGTTAGAGGATATAAATAAAGTGGTCCTTAAAGGGAAACCCTTAAATATTTCCATTTAAAGTAAAAAAGGTCTAAAATCAATTATCTAAGCTTTAATCCTAAAAAGCTTAGAAAGGAGCAAATTAAGAAAATAAAAATTAAGGAAATAATAATAATAATGGAAAATTAATGAGGTTTATTATTTAGAAAAATCATTAAAACTGATAAACGTCTAATTAGATAAATCAAGAAGAAATAAGGAAAGCACAAATTACCCATGGCAGTAATAAAAGGTGGCATATCACTATGGATTTTACTGACATTAAATATTAGGGGAACATTTTGAACAACTTTATGCCAGGTTAGCATAATAAATAAATTCCTTGAAAGATATAATTACCAAAATTGAAACATGAAGGTATCAAAGATGTGAATAGCCACATACATATTAAAAAGTTGAAAGAATAGTTAAAATCTTTCCCATAAAGACACTTCAGATTCACAGTTTCACATGTAGTCTATCAAAAATTTGAAGAAAAATATAATAACAATCCTATACAAATTATTTTAGAGAACAGAGGAGAATGGAACACTTCCCAAATACTTTCATGATGTTAGAATTACTCTAATACCAAAACCAGACAAGAACATTACAAAAAAAGAAAATTACAAACCAGTCAGTGTCCTTTTAAAAACATCAAATCGACTGCACAATATATAAAAAAGATACTATATCATGACAAAGTGGCATTTGTTTCAAGAATTGAAAGATGTCTTAACAATTAAAAATTAATGTTTTCCCCATATTAACAAAATAAAATGGGAAAATATGATGATCTTCATAAATGTATTTCTCTGTACTTAACACCCATTTATATAAATTTGGTATTAATAGCAAACTAAGAATGAAATAAAACTCCCTCAACTTGACACAGGGCATCTATGAAAAGCCTGCAGTTATCACAAACTTAATAGTGAAAGACTGAATGATTTTCCCGTAAGATTGAGAACAAGGCAATTTAAGTTTGTTCTCACCACTTTTATTCCACATTCTACTGGTGGTTCTAGTAAATACAATTAAGCAAGAAGAGAAAAAAAAATAAAAGCATATGAAATGGAAAGGGAAGAAAAAACTGTCATTAATCTCAGAAAACAGGGTTGTTTATGTGGAAAGAAAACTATAAAACAGGTACTAAACCTAAAAGAATTTACCAAGGTTTTAGTAAACAAATCCAAGAAGCAATTGTAACTCTATATGATGGAAAATAAAATTTTTATGTTTCCTATAGCATTCAGAAACATGAAAATATTTACAGATAATTTTTAAATGCCCAAGGCCTCTACACTGAAAACCATAAAACATTGCTGAGATGTACTAAATGAGAACTAAATAAATGAAAAGACATATCAATGTATTGGATCAGTATTGTTAAGACTCAACATTGTTAAGATGTCAATTCTAGATAAAACACAAACAGTTTTAAAGAAATTGACAAGCTGGCTTCATAATTTATAAGGAAATCAAAATGACATAGAATAGTCAAAACATTTCGGAAAAGAAGAATACATTTATGCTACCTGCTTTAAAAACTGAAGAGGATTTGTACCACCTGATTGCAAGACTTATCAAGAAAATATGGCAATGGCATAAGGATTTTTATATTCATCGTTGGAACAAAACAAAGTTCAGAAATATACCTAAATAGCATCCCATTCAACAACAGTTCCAAGGTAATTCAATGGGAAAAGTCTAGTCTTATCAAAAAATGATTCTGGAATGAGCCATTCTAAGCATTAATTCAAAATAAATCACACACCTAAAACTGTAAAGCTATAAAGACTTTGGAAGAACATATAGGCATAAGGTAGGCAAACAATTATTAGAACTCATAAAGTACAATGAAAAAATGATAAATTGGGATTAATCAAAGTTAAAACCTCCATTCCTCAAAATACAACAGTAAGGAAGTGAAAAAATATTCACAATACATATATCTGATAATGGACTTGTATACAGAATATTCTAAAAACTCTCACAGCTCAAAAGTAAGTCAATCCAATTCAAAAATAGAGAAAAGATTTGAACAGATTATCATATCACAGGAAAATACTTGAATGGGTAATAAGATCATGAAATGGTACCCAACATGATTAGTCATCAAGGACATGCAAATTAAAACCATCCAAAGATACTATTAACATGGCGAAATGCTAAAATTTTAAAGATTAATGGTATCTATCAAATGTTACAAAGAATGTGGAACAACTATAACTTTCACGTATTGCTGGTTGATGTGTAAACTCACACACCATTTTTGGCAAATATTTCGACAGTTTTTTATAAAGTTAACTGTATACATGACATACAATATTGCTATTCCAGTATATTTACACAGATAAATGAAAGCATATGTTCACAAAACACTTGTATATGAATATTTATGGAAACTTTATTTATAATTGCCCCAAACTGGAAACAACACAAATATCTATCACTAGGTAAATTATTAAATACATTTTGGTATATCTATTCAAAAGACTACTGTTCAGCAATAGAATGGAATAAATACTAACGTAGGCAACAACATTGATGAAGCTGAAGAACATTACGCTAAGCAAAAAAGACAGACACAAAAAAACAGACACTGCATGATTCCATTTAAATGAGATTTTTGAAGAGAAAAAAAAAAAAACCTATATTGTCAGAAAGCAAATCAACAGTTGCCCAGGATCTGTAGTAGAGTGAGATTTACTACAAAAACAGATGAGGAAATTTGGAGGATAATGGAAATATTATACATATTGATTGTAGGAGAGATTATTTGGGTGTATATATTTAGGAAAACTCATCAAATTGTATATTTAACATGATATATTTGTTGTAGATCAGATTTACTTTCATAAAGTTGAATTTTTTAAGCCTCTTAATAACCCCCACAGCACAGCACTCTCCTCCTAGGTAAAGGACTCACTGTTTTAACGTATCTTTCTTTAACCAATATTTCTCTAGTTTTGTCTCTTGGTTATAAGCTAGATGGCATGGCGAGTGACTTTCTCAGAAAAGGTTTTTGCCCTTTAATCAATCCTTGAAGAAATATCTGGCATCAAGTTTATGTTTTCTACAGATATACTTATCTCTTCGTCCTTCGTTTGGGAATTTACCTTACTTCTCTTTTACGCATATTTAAACTTATTTTTTAAACATACACCTTGGTATACTTTGTTTAGGAATTCTTTCCAGCCATGATCCAGAGGAGGAATCTTAATAATTAGGAGGCATCATTCGCACCCCTGCAATGGCAGCTGTTAGTTCGGTAGCTTTTCCAAGAGGGCCAAATCAAGCTCATTGAGAAAGTTAAGTGAATCTGGCTACCTAGAAGAGTTTAAGGAAGCTGCAAGCTTTCTAGATCAAATCACTTACTCTTGGGCAGTATAGGTATGGTAAATCCCCCTGATAAAGAAGAGATCAAGGACTTACACTGGTGAGTGGAGGCTACCAAGAGAACCAGAGCCTAGACAGCCTTAACGGGACATAATGCCGAAGTCAGCACAGCTAGCCAGAATGGAGAGCTTGTACAGTGTCATTCTTCTCAAACATTTTTACAGAAGTAAAACAGAGCTCAAAGAAGTCTTACACAAGTATAAAAGGCTCTTGATTTATTTTAAAAGTAATTGTGGGCTGAGCACAGTGGCTCACGTCTGTAATCCCAACAATTTGGGAGGCTGAGGTGGGCGGATCACTTGAGGCGAGGAATTCCAGACCAGCCTTGGCAACATGGTGAAACATGTCTCTACTAAAAATAAAAAAATTAGCTGGGCATGGTGACGCATGACTGTAATTCTAGCTACTTGGGTGACTGAGGCACAAGAATTGCTTGAACCCGGGAGGCGGAGGTTGTAGTGAGCCGAGTGAGACGAGATGGCGCCACTGCATTTCAGCCTGGGTGACAGAGCAAGACTGTCTCAAAAAGTAAAAAAATAAATAAATAAATAAATAAATAAATAAAAAATAAAAAAAAGTCATTATAAAAAAGGGAATGTGTATTAATGTAAAAATGATTTTTAGATTTTTGTTATTGAATAAAAATGACAGTCCAAGAAGATGCACCATGCTTATCCTGTGGCTTTATGTACTTCCTGGTACAGCACTGGATCTGTCATGAATACACATATTGTGCTCATGGGCTTTTCAAAACCTATATGTAACAGTATGAAGTTGAAATGGCTTAGCCCACAACTAATGAAAATTATTAAGGATCTGATGAAGGTTTTAAAAGTTTTAGAGAGACTTATCTAGTAGAAGGGTGGATTAGAGGGGGAAAAAGTGAGATAAGGGAGATCAAGTAGGAAACTATTGCATTACTTCAGCCAAAACGGCAAAGTCCTTTGCTAATATTATTTCTTGGAAATTTGAAAAAGTCTTCCACAGAACAATTTGGGTACCAAGAAAAGACTCACAGATTGTATTGTTGGCTATAGGCAGACGTTTCACCATTGGGGTTGTGAAATATTCCCTTTTTCTTCCATCTTGAAGAGGAATGCTCACAGGAATTCCTGACAAAGACAAATGGAAATACGTGAACATCTCTGAAAAGCTAAAAATGTGACTCCCTTTCCACTGGTATTTGAAAATAGATGTTTAATATTTATTTAGTGGTGGCAGTGAGAAACAAATTTTCTTTTAATAAATATCGTACAGTTCCATTTAAATTTAAAATAAGTAATTTATTATATGCATTGAACATGGAATAGCATTTTAAATATTTGAATTGTCATCAGATTGCAATTTTTCAAAGCAGATAACATCTTAAGGGGCAGAATAAAGATACTTAAATTAGTAAATACCATAATGCCATGCAATATTCAGGTTCAAATTTTGAGCTAACTATAATTATCAAGGAACTGGCCTCAGGGTTTGGGGAGTACACTATAGTTGTATAGTGTAACCTGCAAGAAGAGTCACAAAAGTACTCCTTAAAGATACATTGGCACCAGTGAGAGTGATTTTTCCCTTGTTTGTTCACTTAAAGGTGATAACTTTCTTAGGAGTAAAACTGTCCACTATGGAAATCTGAATTAATTGGCAGCATTTTTAAATTATTTCTCTAATGTTTAAGAGCATGTCTTAAAATGGCTACTTGATTGCATCACATCTCCAACTGTCCCAACTTTGAGCACCCTTTTGGTCCATTGTGTTGGGGCAAAGAGTCCAGTGTGAAAAGAAGTTAAAGCACTTCTGCCTATAACGTCTTTCTTATTAGTGTCTTTTAAATTTTTTTGTCTGTTTGTTTTTGTATGTTTTGGCTTGTTCTTAGGTTCTTTCCCTGCCCTTGTAGGTCACTCCAATGGAAGGATAACAGAGAGCTGGAGTACAGTCTACAGAAAGGGAAGCATCATAAAAAATACTTAAACTAGACTTCAGTTCTTCCCAGAGGCTCCTCCTGGCTCTCCCATCATGGAATCCACTGGTTCTCAAACTTTAGTGTGCATCAGAATCACTCGGAGGGATTGTTAAAATACTGATTTCTGAGCTTCTTTCCCAGAGTTCCTGATTCAGTAAGTCTGATGTGGAGCTGGAGCTTCTGTGTTTTTAACAAGTTCCCAGGTGATACTGATGTTGCTGGTAAGGGACCACACTTTGAGAACCAATAATTAACCAACTCATTAGAATTAGATTTCCACAGAGAAATTTTGAGTCGAAATACAAAATATTTGTAAGTTTTTGTTTTGTTTCATTTTTCCTGCCCTTCTCCTTTGTAATTCTCCTTTTCTAATAAACCTGCAGTGGTGGTAGGATGCTGGTTGAAGAATCATGTAAGAGTTCTAGACACTGCTTTATATCTTTGAGCCTTGGAGACATGAGCAACGTTAGGCAACGTAGGTTTTTTGACTCCCCTCATAATAATAATAACTATTATTATACAGTATATGTAACATAATACATAATTATTATCATCACTCCTTAACTTCTAAGACGCAACATTTGCAGTTCATCATTTTTATTTATTTATTTATTTATTTTTGAGACAGAGTCTTGCTCTGTCGCCCAGGCTAGAGTGCAGTAGCTCACTGCAACTTCCGCCTCCCAGGTTTAAGCAATTCTTGTACCTCAGCCTCCTGAGTAACTGGGGCTACGGGCATGCACTACCACACCAGGCTAATTTTGTATTTTCAGTAGAGATGGGTTTTGCCATGTTGCTCAGGCTGGTCTTAAACTCCTGGCCTCAAGTGATCCTCCCGCCTCAGCCTCCCAAAGTGTTGGGATTACAGGCATGAGGCACGACACCTAGCCATATTGATTTGTTTATTGTTTACTTCTGTGAGTGTTAAGAAGTTGGAATCAGTGATTCCCTTAAGCTCTGTAGAGGAAGAATTCAGTGAACACGGACAAACCTTACATTCTGCCTTGTACAGCAAGAACATCATCAAGATACATTCAGAACAACTTTTGTGCAATTTATACAGGAATAGCTGTCATCATCAGATAAGTATCTAAATGAAAAACAGGAGTTTAATGATATTAACATATTAAAAAGTATAGAGAAAATGAGAAATGAGTCCAAGAAAAATAACTTTAGTCCACAACTGTACACAATATAAACTGGGTGGGGGGAGCCTATTTAGAGAAAGCACATAGATTTGATTAATCAGCTTTAGAAGGCAAATAAGTATGTAAAAATAGAAAACTCTGGAAGATTAAAAAATGTAGAGATTTTAAGAAAAATATAGGAGAAGTTAAGCAAAAGAAAAAGTCCTTTGCAAACAACATCACTACAAAAGGATGATTTTTTGAAGATTAAGACTCAACCCAATCCTGAGTTAGTATCAGTGCAGTATCAATCCAATCCTGACATTTACGTCCCACACAAATTATGACTTGAATTATAATCTTGAAGTACTATGAGATGCTCATTTATAAAAGAAGGATGAGATTACCTTTATTATATTTTACTAAGCTTAAGTGAATATTAAACTTAGAAAATCATTCTACATACTTTCAGAGCGATTTACAATAACCAGAATTGAACCAAAAGAATATTCTGCTTAACCCATAATTAATCAGACAGGAAGGACATAGAAAGTAGTTCAGAGAGAAGTTACTGAACTCAGACTTCCTGGATGCTTATACACTACACACTTACTTACAGTTTAATCTAAGACTCAACTGACACATCTCTGAAGTGGAGCTAACAAGTTAGCACCAACTTCAAAATTTTGTTGGAAGATTTAAATTAGATAATTTTTGTGAAATTCTTATGCTGTGGGCACATGGTGAGAGGTCAATAAATATCAGCTGTTCTATTGTTACTAGTAGTAAGTGTCATATTATTGTGGTTAATAAGTGTCTTAGATTTCTATTGCTGCAGTAGCAAATTACCACAAATTTGGTGGCTTTAAATAACACAGATTTATTGTTTGTTATCTGCTTGTCTCTTCCACTTATAAAGACTCCTGTGATTTCATTTTAGGCTCTATCTTACCAAGTAGAAAAATTCCACACAGCATTGCCTCTGACCAAGGCACTCACTTTACAGCCAAAGAAGTGTGGCAGTGGGCTCATGCTCATGGAATTCACTGGTCTTACCGTGTTTCCCAACAACCTGAAGCAGCTGGATTGATAGAACTATGGAACTGCCTTTTGAAGTCACAATTACAACACCAACTAGGTGACAATACTTTGGAGGGCTGTGGTAGAGTTCTCCAGAAGGCTGTGGATGCTCTGAATCAGCATCCAATATATGGTACTTTTTCTCCCATAGCCAGGATTCATAGGTCCAGGAACCAACGGATGGAAGTGGAAGTGGCACCAGTGACCATCATCCCCAGTGACCTACTAGCAAAATTTTTGCTTTCTGTTCTCATGACATTATGTTCTGCTGGCCTAGAGGTCTCAGTTCCAGAAGGAGGAATGCTGCCACCAGGAGACACAACAATGATTCCATTAAGCTGGAAGTTAACATTGCCACCTGGCCACTTCGGGCTCCTCCTACCTCTAAGTCAACAGGCTAAGAAGAGAGTTACAGTGTTGGCTGGGGTGATTGACCTGGACTATCAAGATGAAATCAGTCTACTACTCCACAATGGAGGTAAAGAAGAGTACGTGTGGAATACTGGAGATCCCTTAGGGTGTCTCTTAGTATTACCATGTCCTGTGATTAAGGTCAATGGGAAACTACAACAACCCAATCCAGGTAGAACTACAAATGGCCCAGACCCTTCAACAAGGAAGATTTGAGTCACTCCACCAGGTAAAACCACGACCAGCTGAGGTGCTTGCTGAAGGCAAAGAGAATACAGAATGGGTAGTAGTGGAAGGTATTAATCAATACCAGCTACAACCACGTGACCAGTTGCAGAAACAAGGACTATAATTGTCTCGAGCATTTTCTCCTTATTTTATTAAGAATATGTTTGTGCCTGTATACACTTGCATAAGAAAATATCTTCCTTTTCTTTTCTCTTTCCTTTATCATGTGACATAAGATTTATTGACTTCATATCAGCATTTAAGTGTTGTTAACTTTATGTTATAGCATTTAGGTTAAGGATTAGCGAGCTTCCAGTTGTACGAAGGATAGCTGTATTATGTTAGGTGTAATTATGACCTTATTATTGTCTTTATTTGGAGATTAAGTATGATTTCAAGAGATGTATATGGGTTCAAGTTGACAAGGGATGGACTTGTAATGGTTAATAGTAAGTGTCAACTTGACTGGAATGAACAGTGCAAAGTACTGTTTCTGGGTACATCTGTGAGGGTGCTTCCAGAAGAGATTAATATTTGAGTCAGTGGACTGGGAGAGGAAGACCCACCCACACCATCCAATCAGCTGCCAGCGTGGCTACAAAAAGCAGGAGGAAGAAGGTGGAATAAGCTAGCTTGCTGAGTCTTCTGGCTTTCATCTTTCTCCCATGCTGGATGCTTCCTGCCCTTGAACATCAGACTCTAGGTTCTTCGGCCTTTTGACCCTTAGACTTACACCAGTGGGCTGCCAGGAGTTCTTGGGCCTTTGGCCACAGACTGAAGGCTGCACTGTCAGCTTCCCTACTTTTGAGGCTTTGGGACTTGGATTGAGCCACCAGTGACTTCCTTGCTCTTCAGCTTGCAGAAGGTTTATCGTGAGATTTCACCTTGTGATCATGTGAGTCAATTCTCCTTAATAACTCCCTTTCATATATACATCTATCCTATTAGTTCTTCCCTAGTCTTATCCTCCTCTGACTCTCTTCTGCCTGCCTCTTCTACTGTAAAAGACACTTGTCATTTCACTGGGCCTACCCTGATAATCTAAAATAATCACCGCATCCTACATCTTAATCACATCTGCAAAGTTCCTTTCGCCTGTAAGATAACATATTCTCAGGTTCCAGGAATTAGGGTGTGGAGATAATTAGAGGCCATTATTCCACCTACTGCAATAAGTTACTCAGTACATCCCAATAATCTAGTATTCTAGTTGAGGTTTCATCAAAATTTACAGAGAAGCAATACAGTTATCTAAGCTACTTACATTTCAAATTTAGCCACAACAGATTACTCTAGCCCTCTCTTTCAAAAAAAAAAAAAAAAATCTACTGTAGGGCATTAATTACTTTCAGTAAACACCTACACAGCCCCAACTTAATTACAATCTTTCTACTTATATTTTATTATATGTGGATTTGTGTTTTTTTAATTAAAAAATAATGTATTCTGTCAAAAATGCAAATTAAGTCATAAATACCAACATTGATTTTACAAGAAATTACTAAATATCTTTCCTTTGATTACAAACCTCAATAAAGATATTCTGGCTTTAGAAATATTAATTCACTAATCCCATTCACTCTGGATTTACTGAAAGGAAAACAAAAGTATTTCAAAGGGCTTGCCACTGTGATGGACATTTCATTTAGCAAGTAGAGAAAGAAACAGATTTTTATGCTTCATGTTGTTCCTATTTATACATTCTTTTTCTTCTATTCTAACTTTTATTTTGGGTTCAGAAGTACATGTGCAGGTTTGTTATATAGGTAAATTGCATGTTGCAGCGGTTTGGTGCACAGATTATCTTGTCACCCAGTTATCAGCATAGTACCCAATATACTGTTTTCTGATCCTCACCCTCTTCCCATCTTCCACCCTCAAGTAGGCCCCGGTGTCTGTTGTTCTTTTCTTTGAGTCCATGTGTATTCCGTGTTTAGCTCCCACTTATAAATGAGGGCATGTGATATTTGGTTTCTGTTCCTGTGTTAGTTTGCTTAAGACAATTGCCTCCACCTCCATCCATGTTGCAGCAAAGAACATGATCTCATCCTTTTGTTGTTGTTATTGTTGCTTTAAAACTTTTTTTTAATTTTATTATTATTACACTTTAAGTTTTAGGGTACATGTGCACAATGTGCAGGTTTGCTACATATGTATACTAGTTCAACCATTGTGGAAGTCAGTGTGGCGATTCTTCAGGGATCTAGAACTAGAAATACCATTTGACCCAGCCATCCCATTACTGGGTATATACCCAAAGGATTATAAATCATGCTGCTATAAAGACACATGTGTACGTATGTTTCTTGTGGCACTACTCACAATAGCAAAGACTTGGAACCAACCCAAATGTCCAACAATGATAGACTGGATTAAGAAAATGTGGCACATATACACCATGGAATACTATGCAGCCATAAAAAATGATGAGTTCATGTCCTTTGTAGGGACATGGCTGAAACTGGAAACCATCATTCTCAGCAAACTATCGCAAGGACAAAAAAACAAACACCACATGTTCTCACTCACAGGTGGGCATTGAACAATGAGAACACATGGACACAGGAAGGGGAAGATCTCATCCTTTTTATGACTGCATAGTATTCCATGTGTATGTGCACCACATTTTCCTTATCCAGTCTAACAATGATGGGCATTTAGGTTAATTCCATGTCTTTGCTATTGTGAATTCTGATGTGATGAACATACATGTACGTGTGTCTTTATGGTAGAACAATTTCTATTCCTTTGGGTATATACCCAATAATGAGATGGCTGGATAGAATGGCAATTTTGTTTTAAGTTCTTTGAGAAATTGTCAAACTTCTTTCCGCAACAGCTGAACTAATTTACATTCCTATCAACAGTCTATAAACATTTCCTTTTCTCTGCAACCTTGTCAGCATCTGTTATTTTTGACTTTCTAATAATGGCCATTCTGACTGGTATGAGATGGTACCTCATAGTGGTTTTGATTTGCATTTCTCTAATGATTAGTGATGTTGAGCATTTTTTCACATGCTTATTGGCCATATGTATGCTTTCTTTTGAAAAGTGTCTCTTCATGTCCTTTGCCCACTTTTCAATGTGGTTGTTTTTTTGTTTGTAAATTTTCTTAAGTTCCTTATAGATTCCAGATATTAGACCTTTGTCTATAAGATGCATAATTTGCAAATATTTTCCAGCATTCTTTTATTAAACAGTGAAATGTATCTATAAGATATGGCAAAACCACCAAGTAGTAAAACTTGTATGAATTAATCAAGCATTATATAAAAACAAAAAAACCTATTCAAAGATGATCAGGCACCATTACACTAAAACTTAAAATTGGTTCTGTAACCTGATTATACAAATATATTCTTCTAATTAGGGTAGATTGATGAAACCCAGGTATTTAGAATGAGTACTCAGAAAAAAAAATGGTTCAATTAATCAACTCACAACCGCTTCCATAGTTCTTTGTACTGTTGATTCTTCTTTATGTGAAAAATTACTCATGAACAACTCATATAAAAGAAAAGTGGCATCCATAAATATGATAGCAGAATATATATGGCAAAAAATATTCAGCAATTTACTCAAAGGAAAGCTGTTTTATTACTACTTATTTTATAATAATGTTCTTGGTACTGGACAAAAACAAAACAGAAAAGCATGATCATTTTGCTCTTGACAAACACTTATTTTTGTATCTAATATTCACAAAAAAGATGAGTATTTGAAATTATGTATAATTAAATGATAATCCATAATCACTCACCATTAAGTAAAACATATGTTAATTAGAGAGTCTAAACTAATTGCAGGCTGTCAGATACATATGAGTAATACAAATTTCTTATTTTCATAATAGTGTATAATTACGTATTTCACAATAGACTAATGGAATTTCAGGAGCCATCACATTGTATGGTGCCTACTTGTTAAACAACACGATGAATAATTTAGAAAGAACTGTTTCCTCCTTTATGCTATCAAAAATGAATTAAAGCCAAATAAAATTCAGGTCCAGAAACCATAGTCACCTTATATCAGTAATCTAAAGAAAAAAGAAAGATCAGGGTGATTCTTTGTCAGGATGATTTTTATTTTTTAGTAAACGTGTAGTGTTCAAGGACTGAATATTGGTATGAAGCACATCCCTATTGGAGCCTATCCAATAGGGTTTATTGGTTGAAGTACCAAATATACTGACAAAATAATAAATTCATCAATTTTAGTAGTAATTGTCCAAAACACATTGAAAATCAATTATTGGTTTCTTCCTTACACCATATTTTGCTTCTGAACAGAATTAATGCAAATGAGAAGGGCAATAATGTGGAGGAACAAAAATAATATTGTCACACTTCTATCATAGGTATCTTTGGCATGGGCTTTTTTAGCCTTATATCAGATTCCAAAAGACATTACACTCCAAAGGCCATAGACATTCTCAGCTCAGTGGGCCACGAGATGGAACACTGAATGTGACAAGCTCAGTCCACAGAGTCAGTACTCACACAAGCCAGGGTTCTACTGATGACCCAGAAATCCAAGTTACTTTATAAAAACCACAACAGCAACATTGGGTTTTCCATACCCTTGTCATTTTAGTCCTATAATACCATAATAACACAATAAAACTCAGGCAGTACCCACATTATAAATTAAGATCTTACCTTTAGCCATAATAGCAGAAGTTAGAGGCCATCATTCTTTTATCAACATTTATTTAGCACCTACTAAGTTTCAGCACTGGGATGATATACTTTCATTTACTATTTAATCTTATCACATGTTATTTCATTTAGCCTTTAAAGGGGAAAGTCTAAGTTATTTTGCAAGTTAAACATACCAACATTTCTATTTTACAAGGGAAAGTTCAAGTATTTATGTAATTTTTGATTCTTTAATTATTCTAATAATCCCTCCTCATCTCTGGTTTTTATTTTGCCTAGATAAAAATGGTCTATGTTTCACCTAAATTCTCTTAGAGGCAATCATATTTTGTTACTAGTGATACTTGTATTGGTTTTAATTGCTAAGTATTAAAATTATCTTTTTTAAGAATAAAAAGTCAAACATAAAAATAAGAAATCAATCCCTTTGGTCTCGACACATTAGTTCTAATTATTAAGTCTGTGAAAATACATCAGCAGTTCTTTTTTTTTTTTTTTTTTTTTTTTTGAGACGGAGTCTCGCTCTGTCGCCCAGGCCGGACTGCGGACTGCAGTGGCGCAATCTCGGCTCACTGCAAGCTCCGCTTCCCGGGTTCACGCCATTCTCCTGCCTCAGCCTCCCGAGTAGCTGGGACTACAGGCGCCCGCCACCGCGCCCGGCTAATTTTTTGTATTTTTAGTAGAGACGGGGTTTCACCTTGTTAGCCAGGATGGTCTCGATCTCCTGACCTCATGATCCACCCGCCTCGGCCTCCCAAAGTGCTGGGATTACAGGCGTGAGCCACCGCGCCCGGCCAGCAGTTCTTTAATGTAATAACAAATAGAAAATATTTGATATTTTCTGACATGCGAGAGGGAAAGAAAATAGGAAAGTGTGTAATAGGGTATTTTTTTTTTTCAGCCAATCTCAGCATTAGTTAACTTCCTGGAAAGAAAAAGTAGGCAGAAATAGGGGAGCTATTTAATGATAATTAGATGACAAGCTGGGATTCTCAGCTTCTAAAATAAACGAGCCCTTTCTCCAAACCATCTGGGAGCAACCAAATTGTCCTTGGTGTTCCTACTACCACAGAGACTTGTCACTTCAAAACAGAGGGGAAGGGCCTGAAAACACATACATGAAAATAGCTCACTGGACTGAGAAATCGTGCTGCAGCCTTGTTGACAGGTCTGAGAATTACAGTTAGGTCATTAACAAGGACTTCAAACTGCAGGGGAAGGATCAGCTGTCATCGTGGCTCCCCCTGTAGGGCAATGGCACTCATTAGAATGAGGTGATTGCATTTCTACTGGGCCTTGACAGGCTGTCCTCAGATACCAACCTAAGACTCCCTCTCTTGTTCATCATTATCAGCAAAAGTATCTGATAGTTTTCCCTCCTTGAGCAGATGTGTAAACTAACAGGAGAATACGGCCTGTCAAAATGACAATGTGCATTGATTCCTCTTATCTTGATGTCTTTGGGAGGACAGCTTATCTCAAATTTACAAAAGAAGGAACTCCGTATCAGTGTTTCTTCTCAGTAAATGACAAGGGCAGGCCTGGTGTATAACTAATTGCCTGTTTCCAAAGCAACATTTAAAATGTAATACAAAGCATTCACCCACTATAAACTGATGAGAGACTACATTTGCTTTTCAATAAATAAAGGCACATTATTTAGAAGGGATTAAAAATACTGTTGCTATTGCAAAAGTATAAAAATATGCATAATTTAAGTGAAATTACAGCATTATAAAATAACTTTAAGATAAATACTAACCTATAAGTTGGTAAAATTATATATTTACCCAATTAAATATATTTGTGGGCTACAAATAATACTAAGATGTATGTTAGCCATGAGGGAAATTTTTTTCTAGACATATATTGGGATTGCTTTAGGATACAGCTCTTAGAAATTCATAACATTTTATTCCTGTACTCTTTACTTTTTCTCTATTTTTATTTCTGAATGCATAAAGGTTGGGACAGTATCATATTTTGTATCAAATGTTGAAAGCTCCCTATTATTTTATAATGTAGGTATTTAATAAGAGTGATTGACCAATGAACAAGAGAAAAAGACAAAATTCAACTCACTGCCTACCACCACCTTCCAGCCATCCCTCCTATACCTATTCTAGAATATAGTGTGAACCTGAAAATTGGAAGGGGAAAGTCGTACACCTGAAAGAAAAAAATAAAAGTAAGTATTATTTATAACTAAGTCCATATTCCCCAAAATGAGCAGCTAAAAATAATACCCTGAGTTCTTTTTCTTTCTTTCTTTTTTAACTTTTATTTTAAGTTCAAGGGTACATGTGCATGTTTGTTACATAAGTAAACTTGTGTCATGAAGGTTTGTTATACAGATGATCTCGTCACCCAGGTACTAAGCCTAGTACCCATTAGTTTTTTTTATTGATCCTCTCCATCCTCCCACCCTCCATCCTCCAACAGGCCCCAGTGTGTGATTTTCCCTTCTATGTGTCCATGTGTTCCCATCATTTAGCTACCACTTATAAATGAGAACATATAGTATTTGGTTTTCTATGCCTGCATTAGTTTGCTAAGGATAATGGGCTCTAGCTCCATCCATGTCCCTACAAAGCACGTGATCTCGTTCTTTTTTATGGCTGCATAGTAGGATGGACTGGGCTCACTCTTTCAGCCCTCCTGCATCTTTGAATCCAGTTCTTAAGCTTAGAGCCTAGAAGCAAATAGCTAGAGAGGAATCATCTATAATTATCTAGTTGTTATGTCTGGGGTATCACATCCATTCTGATCTTGAAGTTTGGATCCATGTTGAAATCAATCTGAACTGTTTGACTCATAGTAATTACTAAGTATGTAACAATGAGCAATCTACAGTATTTAATTTCCCTGTATCTCAGTTTCCTCACCTGTAATGTGGGGATAATGGTATCTATCTCCAGTGTTGCTAGGAAAATAAAATGAGATATTCCACATAAAGTTCTTAAAACAATGCCTGGTACATGGTTAGTTTTCAATAAATGACAGCTATCTTTACAGCGAACACTATTAAATTAAATAATGACTAATAACTATGGTTCAGGCCAGTTCTTCAAAATGGACACTACACATCAGGTAAACCCCATTAGTAAATTATTTTCTGGGATTAAAAAAGATAACCCACTGCCGTAAGATTTTGCACACGTCTCCAAATATGATCACTCTGACTTCTATGAAGTCAAATAAACTCTGAGATCCTGGCTGAATTCTATTCAGACAAATCAATTCCTCTGTTTAGATGATATGTCCTTGAAATGTGTAGCCTCGAAAACAAAAATATTTAGAAAAATGTGGGCTTTGTTGTGATAATTCTCTTTTACAGAGGAAGGGCTGGAGTACAAGAAACACATAACTTACTCTGATAGAGTTGACGCATGCTTTGAATTTTGAGTGCTTTATCTCTATTCTTAATATAGACTATTGATAGGTATTCCCAAATTTATTTGCTAGCTAGCTGTGTAAATAGAAAATACTACATTCCTCCCAGAATACCGGATTTTAAAATTAGAAAGCTCTTCTCCACCTGCCTTCCCACCCAGCCATCCCCCTTCAAAAAAGAAAAAAGGGACCAAAATTATTACTTCAGTACCTGTCTGTCAACTTCAGAGTGAAGGAAAAGAGGAAGCAATCAATGTGACACCAAGTAAATGGTTCATGCCCCCAAACATCAACCGAGTCCCCCATGTGTGTAACGTATAGTTTAGATTGGCATATCAGACTTAAACAAACCGGAGATCTTAATGGGTATTAAGTTTTACAATAATTTCAAGGACAAAAGTAATCAACAGACTCAGACACAGCAGAAAGATCAAGGGCTTTAAGGGCAGTTCTCCAAGTCCTATCTTCCCATGCGAAACATGGACTTCTGGCCCAGAATAATAGATGAAATCTCTAAAAGTGAAGTCTCCAGGGTTACCTCCTATTGCAGCAGGAGTCTTTAATTGTGAAACATCTCCATTTAATATCCTAGAGAATTGTAGAACTTACATGGCATTCTCCAAGATGACATGCCTCATAGATTCTAAAGTCTTTCAAATAATTCATTAGCCAGGGAACAGTACCACTCTCAGACTCAGCCAAGCAGGGACCCTGACCTAGGACCAGCTCCTCAGGTGGTCCTGGAGGGCTCTATGCTTTGAAATCCCTTCACTGAAATGTTCTAAGTCCTCCTCTACAATTTTGTACTGTCCGAAGTTAGCTTCTCAGGCATGGTACCCTGAAACCTCACACCCCTCCAGCAGAGTGCCTTCAAACCTGTTCCTGCATGGATCCTGGTCACCAGAAGCACCTGCCTCAAAATTTTCAGAGTCTCTCTCTGATCACCAGGGCTGGCTTAGACCAACTGTGCTATCTCATCAAGGTGTTACTTCCCAGCACCAGATCCTAAGTGGGTCACGTTGCCAGAAATACTGTCCTCAAAAATGTCCGAGTTCCCCTCTGGTAGTTGGAACTTCCTGGAGTTGGTAGTGCTTTGTAGTTAGGGTGCCACATGTGCTGTGCTTTCCATTTCTTCTCTTTGAGGCACTCTCTGATCCTCTATATTATACGTGAAATTGACCAGTTGCCTGGAAGAACTCTGGGACTTGCATCTTTGATATTGCTGTGTGGTTCAAGGGCACGGTTCTAATTCAAGAAAATCAGCATTAAAAGCAGATTACTCCCAATAGAAAGCCCTAATATTTCTTTTATTAGATCTCATGAGATTCAGTCATAGAATGTGCTTACACACAGATTTTTTTGTGGTTCTCACTCATGTCAGACAGAGGACAAGTTCAGGACTCCGGATTTCTGAAAGTTCAACACAAACCCTTGGGGATAAGCCATTTGTTTGGGCCTGTATTATCAGCTCTCACCTGTGCATGTACTGACAGTGGTGCTCCCTATAGTTTTAGTACCCAAGAGTGGTGGAGGTGGTGGCAGGCATCCCTTACCCTGTGTACCTCCCCTCTAGTGCTAGCACTCAAGGCAATCACTCTACCTCTTCAGCAGGCTCCACACTTCCAAGGTGGCCACATCTATCTCTTCTAAGGATTTTTTTCAAGCATTGCTTTGCAACACCAGTGGGCAATTTTAATTAATGACCTGTCTTACCTCCAATTAATGTGGTGATGTCGTGTTCTCCAGGGTCAGTCTTTTTTTTTTTTTTTTTTTTTGAGACGAAGTCTTGCTCTGTCACCCAGGCTGGAGTGCGATGGCGCAATCTCGGGTCACTGCAACCTCTGCTTCCCAGGTTCAAGCAATTCTCCTGTCTCAGCCTCCTGAGCAGCTGGGACTAAAGGGGCATGCTACTATGCCTGGCTAATTTTTGTATTTTTTTTTTTAAGTAGAGAGGGGGTTTCACCATAATGGTCAGGCTGATTTCAAACTCCTGATCTCAGGTGATTCACCTGCCTCAGCCTCCCAAAGTGCTGGGATTATAGGTGTGAGCCACCGCGCCCGGCTTCTCCAGGGTCAGTCTTAAGCAGATCTGGACAAAGGACAAATATCCCTTGTACAAATGAGATCCTTCTTTTTGCTCTGCCCATGAGTCCCTTGCTTTTTACTTACTGTTGTTGGCGAGTGGAAAGCAGAGATGTTATCAACATTGAAAGACATTACGTCATAGGAACGCAGTGATGATTGCCTGAAGAGTTTAACATGGTTGGAATATGTTCTTCTATATTTATGCTATAACATTCTAAATAATACATTTAACATAACCAGAAAATATGTTATTATTCATATTTTCTTGCATACACTGTGAAAGACTTACATTTGTGGTCATCACCCCCAAAGCACAGTAATAACATTTGAGACAGTCCTTAGAATTCCATATTCATGGGTGGTATGATGGAGAATGCAGCACCCTGAGTAATAACATAATCGTCACTAACAAGATGGCATTAGGGAACTATAGAACCAAGAAGATCAGTGGTGTTTCAATACAAATAGGTTTGAAGATCCATGACATTGTGAATAATAACAGTAAAGCTACATTTTTCTTGTGGTAGAAAATATAAAATTTGCCAAGAAGGACACATTTGACAAGAAAGCACATGAAGAACATGGCTCCTGGAATTGAACAAAAAGAAAAGATGACTGGGCATTATAAAATATTATAATGTGCTCTGATCAGAAAATAAGCAAATATTTCAGTACCACTTCTCTGCTCATTATTATACATTTTCGTCAATATATCTCTATATTTTACATATATGTATTAATTTTGTAATACATTATATATTGAATCAAATTGTTTGTACACCCCCAGTGCATCTCCAGAAAATATTTACCTGGGGCTTCAAATGCCCTAGGGGCAGTCCTGTAGGGAACATCCTCATAGGAATACTAAACAGATAAAGTCTCTTTTCCTTGGGTAATATTATTACTCTATATACTCTAGGTTCCAGTTGACAAAGAGATTTGATGGGATCACCTGCCTTTTTTTCTTTCCCCTTGGGATATCACACAGAATAGAACACAAACAAAACACAGATCAGCTGCTTCAATTCCTTTAATTTTGCAAAGAACCCCTTAAAACACTGCCTATGTTTGGATTCCCACTTCACTCCTTACTAGCTGCATGACATCAGTTATTTAACCTCTTTATGTTTCAATGAACAGTACTTATTACATGTAAAGCATTCATATGTTTCACAAATATTTATTGAACACTCACTATATACCACATAATTGTCTAGGTGGTTGAGAAACATCAGTAACAAAAGCAAAGATTCATATCTTTACGAAAATTCTTCGGAACTTCTTCCCATCATCATAGCCTTTTTCCTATATGCTTTGTAAGTTTTTTCATCTTTAAAGAAAATTCTGCTTAAAACGCAAATATTCTACATGGAAAATACAGTTACACATACCAAACAAGAGCCTAATTATTAGTAAGTATCCAAGTAAAGCTCAGTTGGTAACTAAAACCACAATAATGAGATGCTGGTCAAGTCTCATCAGGTTGGGGCAGTGGTGCACGAGTAAACTGGTGCAAAAGAAAAGTTTTCATGTGTAGATTTTGCTGATTTCTATGAAATATTCCCAGTGTGGCCATTTTCAGGTTACCAACAGTAGCTTGCAACCAGCTTGCAAAATTCCTGAATTTTTAACAATCAGCTCAACAGTATAAGTTGGTCTCAGCTTATCAACTGGGTTGGGAAGAAGTGGGCAGTAGGATCAAAGCAAAGCAGACAGAAAGGAGATCCAGCAGAAAGGTAGACATTATGTCAAGGAAATTTTGTCCTATACACAAAAACACATAGACTGGGTTCTGGTCTTCTCCACGCCTTTGCATTCCACACGCAGATGAGTTTTTAAATTTGCTAATAAAAGCATTCAATGTTATTTAGAAAAAATAATAGCTAAAGCAATCCGCTGACCTTAGCCTTAACAAAAGCACTAATTAACCACCTAGTAAAATAATGTCAAAAGAAGGTAATATTCATCCAATTTAAATAAAGTGGTAATCCTAATGTATTTCAGCACTAGTGAGAGTGTATCTGACATATTTTGACTACTTTGGACATAATATTCATACACAGGTACACACAAATGTATACACACATAGCAAACATCACAAAGCATTTACCATATGCCAGGAACCATCTTAAGAATGAATACAACTTCTATGAGGGCAAGGATATTTATTTTAGCCATTGATGTTTCTCAACCATCTAAAAGACTGTGTGATTCATGGTATATAAATATTCAATAAATATTTGGTAAACAAATGAATGCTTTACTTATAATAACTAATCTGAGGCAAAAAAAAAGGTTCAAATAACTGTCCAAGTTCATGCAGCTACTAAGAAGGGGAACTGGAATTCAAACACAGGCAGTCTTTTAAGGGGTCTTTGCAAAACTAAAGACTAGAAAGAGGAAGAGAAACAAGTGTGAGTTGCCAGAAATTTAAATGGTAGAATGGTTAGCAGATCTAAGACCATTTAGTTTAGAAGAGACAAAACTCAAGTTAGAATTGTTTTGACCTAGTGAAATATTAATTGTTTTGATAATATTGCCCAGTACCTCAGGGTACTACCTGGAATAGGAAGTGAGACAAAGAGGAATCTAATATAATAGATTCCAGTGAGTCAGAATTTCAATTCAAAATAAGAAGTTTCTGGGAATTATCACTGTCCAACAATGCAGTAGAACAGAGAACAAACAAGTGACCTAACCTCTCCCGACTCCTTTCATGGAAAAGTATTCAGGCAGGGGACAAAGACATGGTCCTTGCGTGAAGTGGGAAGTTAGACTACATGGCCTCTAGGATTTTCCCAGTTCTAAGATTCCTTGTTTAAAATAGGGACAATAATTCAATAAATAAGTCATGAAGCATCTTTGCCATTTCATCTACAACTAAACCACAAATAGGCTTAAATATATGAGAACATTTTGATATATTTGTCTGGTTTGAAACTGTTCTATTTTTTAAATCAAAATGAAACTCAACAATTAGACATAGACTAATAACTGGAGAGAATAACGTTTGCAAATCAACCCCACCTATAAAGTCTCCAAATCATCGCATATTCAATAGCATCTAAAATTTTAACCTAACTAATATTTCAGGAAGTACATAAATTCAATAAGAAATGTTTTTAATCAGTCATTTATTCATTAACATGTCTCCAAGGTATGGAAATTAGAAGAGGTTTTCTTACAAAGATCAAGGGGTAATATCCCATGGTAGCAGGTCAATGCATACATATGAGTTTCTTATTTCTCAGTGGATCCTTCAGAAAAATGCATTGAGTACCAAGTTGTAATGTAGAGGTTATGCATAAAGCTACTGAAAATGATTCATTATACTCTCAAGCATTAGCCTTGGGGAGCCTGGCATATGATAAATAATAAGAGCATTCTATGGAAAAAAACCTAGAGCACTTTTTGTAGTCAGAATCTCCTCTGGTGATTTGATTTTTATTTTTGGATGTTCTTTTGGTACCATTAAGGCCAGGATCTCTGTACCCTTATGCAAGTTAGAAAAAGGTCCCTCTTGGGGAGACCAACTCCAAAACACAACTCTTCCTCTGACTATCTTCCCCTTTCCCCTTCCGATGGTCATGACTTGGCAAACAGAGTCTGAAGTAGGTCCTTAAGCCTCAGCCAGGCACCCTTATGAGGGTATGATCTAAATAAGTATTTGTGGAAGCCTAGGTTCTTAGTCTATTTGTGCTGCCATAACAAAATACCACAGAATGGGTAATTTATAAATAATAGAAATTTATTTCTCATAGTTCTGAAGGCTGGGAAGTCTGAGAGCAAGGTATCAGATGGTGAGAGCCTTGTGTCTCTGCTTCTAAGACGGTGTCTTGTTGCTACAACCTCTGCAGGGAAGGAGCACTATGTCCTAACATAGGAGAAGGGTAAAATGGGGTTCCTCCACCAAACCCTTTTATAAGGGCACTGAATCCCATTCATGAGGGTGGAGCCCTATTCAATCACTAAGCCCCCCTAAAGGCCACACCTCTTAATACTGTTGCACTGGGGATTAAGTTTCAACATGAATTTCAGAGGGAACAAAATCATTCAAACCATAGCATCTAGCTAGATATTTAACCATAGAATGGTCCTGACTCTGAAGAGTAGATTTAAAATAAAAGTTTAAAGAAAAACAGCCTAAACCAATTCATTAACTCTCCTATGCATCACTAGGACCACCTAACAAATGGGAACATCCCAGAATCTATCAAAATGTTATCACGTATATATCAAAATGTTCTCATATATTTAAGCCTATTTGTGGTTTAGTGGTAGATGAGATGGCAAAGATGCTTCATGACTTATTTATTGAATTCATCCCAGTGAATCTCCAAATAATTATTTTTTACATTCCATTATCAAACCTAGAACTTCTCACAACTGGTGAAAACTCAAAAATTGGCCAGGTGCAAACTACTTTTGCTCAGGATTAAGGCTACTTTTGCCTTTTAATCCCAATAGCTGACTTGCTCTACTGGAGTTGAGGTAATCCAAATTTACTACTGATTTTTTTATTTTTCTTTCAAACCTCATTTTTTGGTCTTTTCTTGATCTTGAGTACTAATGATACTCCAGATATTGTTTGGACCACACCTTCCAGACCTTAACCTTCCTTCATGCTCCTGATAATTAATCAATTATTTAATCTTTCAACAACTATTCATTAAGCATATGCTTGGCACTGGGCTATGTTAGGAACACAAAAATAATTAGGATGAATTTCTTACCCCCAAAAAGCTGACTGACCAGTAGAGCATTCCTGAAAATAAATATTTTGATAAGTATTAAAATACAATCTGATAAGGTCAAAAATAGAAATAATTAATCATGCAGAAAATGAAACTGAAGCCCAAAGAGAATTTGGTCACCTGCTGAAGTGACAGAACTGAGGCCAGAACCCAGGTCTCCTGACCCTAATCTGGTGCTGTAATCACTACTTTCTTATAGCACAGTTGTTTCTATTTGGTTAATTTACTGATTAAGTAATTCCTTCATTTTCTCAGAAAGTATACTTTCTGAACAAAACTACAGATTATTGTAGCAAGAAAACTATGAAATCAACATAGAAATTGTAAACCCAGAATTTGCAAATTAAATGAGGAAGCACAGAGAAAGAGAAAACAAGGAAAACTAGAAATGAAGAATTAAAATACAATATAACTTTATAAAATGAATGGATCAGATTACATTGCATAAATTTTCCACACCTTTGCCTACAGTTTGTGACATTCACAGCATACTATTAACCAGGGTTTTCTATTTGACAGATATTATAATAGGTCATGTTGAGCACCTAAATTTGCACATGCATTTCTTATTTTGACATTAAGTATTTTTCTTTTATGTGCCATGAAGACATAGGAATACTTTGTACATTTTATAATTGTAAACATAGTTCCATTTAAAAGTAACAAAAAGTATCATATTTTTTCAGAGTTCAGTTTTTGCAAAGTTCATATTAATTTGAGCCCCTATTTGGTTAATGACCTTTACCTTTTAACTGGTCAACCAAACCAGAAATAGAGAAAAGTCATCAGATCATCTCTGGGCACATCTCCAGATCCCATCAACTATGTGGATCCCCATTTGAAACAACCCCCTACACTTCAACTAACACAGCTTTTATATAATTTTCACCTAGGCTATGGCAACTGCCTCCTAAAATGCCTTTCCATCTCTGGCCTTGAACTCCTCCACTATGTTGCTACAAAGAGTAATTTTATACAAAACAAGTCTCCAGGACTTAAATCCCTTTATTGGTTTCCACTTGCTAAAACAAAACAAAACAAAACAAAACAACAACAACAAAAAAAAACAGTTCAATCTTCTGTATATGTTCTTCTTGACTTTACCTCTGTCTGCTTTTCCAACTTAATCTCCCCCGCTATCTTCTTGAACTCAATTTCTAGCCATAAAATCTACTTAAATTTCTTCTAAATTTACCATCTTTGAGAACTCATGCTTATTTACATCCTGTTTCTTTTCATTAAAATGACATTCTTAACCTTACTTTCCTAACAAACATCCATTTTTTCTTGCTTATCTTGGTGTATACCATTATTGTAGCATTCTTTAAATGAATACCGCTTACTTGTTGCCAAATATTTCTTCCCTGTTAGCTTATGAAATTGTAATGCAAGAAATGTGACTTGTGCATCACTGCATTCCCATATTTTAGTATAAGGTATGAAACAGAGCACCCAACAAGTGGTAGTTAAATTCAACACACAAATATTAGAGTGATTCTAGGGAAGACTGGACTTTTTAGAGTTTGAGCATTTGAAAAACCATATCAGAGATAGGAAAGAACTAGGTGTTCTGGATTGTCTGTTGACACCCTGATACAACTTCTACTATTCCCATTCAAGTCTGAAAACTTTGTTTCACAAAATTCTCTCCCTGTGTGTTATTAGATTAAAATTTGCCAATGAGAGGACTTCATAAATTATTTGGAAGGCAGAAGTGAAACAGAAGCCATTATTCTAAGGAAACTGTGGAAATCAAACATGATGACTCCAGTCACTGTGGTACTTCCACAGACCTCTCACGGGCTCCCACCTTGTGGTTTCACAAACGTCCTATAAGCTTTTTTACTCATGCCAGTGCCAGAGCTTAATAATGATGTGATTAATGGAAGTCTCTCTGATCCTCCAGTTGCAGGCCTCCAGACAAATCTCCACCAGCTACACACAAATTTGTGTACACATGAATTCTTACTTATAAATTTGATTTACACTTATTTCTGTCATCCTTGTAGTCCCTCAGCTTTTCTGAACAAACCCAGACTGACATAGCTTTTGGCACTAAAGTGGATCCAGGGGTACAGAATATTAAAGATGGGAATCTGGAATTGGTTCTAAAATGTGATTAGATTTAAAAGCACTAATAACCTCATTGCCAGTAATAAATAGGATACTTATAGACCATGATATTTGAAAACTAATTTCTTGCATTATCACCTGGAGTTACCTGGAGTTGGATGCCTATGCTTTGGGTGACTATCTTAGTTTATGCTGCTATAACACAATGCCATAAACTGGGTATCTTATAAACAACAAGCTTTAATTTCTCACAGTCTGGAGGCTGGGAAGTTTAAGATCAAGGCACAGCAGATTTGATGTCTGGTGAGGACCACTTCTTCACAGATAGTGCCTCCTTATCGTGTCCTCACATGGTGGAAAGAAGAAGGGAGCTTTTGGGGGCCACTTTTATGAAGGCATGAATCCCCTTCTGGGGGCTCCAATCTCATAACCTAATCATTTCCTAAAGCCCCTATCTTCTAATACCATCACCTTGAAGATAGGAGTTCAACATATGAGTGTTGGAGGAACACAAACATTCGGACCATACCAGCGACCTACTGCTACCCACTATTTTTTTTTTTTTTCTTTTAGACAGAGTTTTGCTCTTGTTGCCCAGGCTGAAATGCAGTGGCACAATCTTGGCTCACTGCAACCTCTGCTTCCTGAGTTCAAGTGATTCTCCTGCCTCAGCCTCCCAAATAGCTGGGATTACAGCTGCCCACCACCACACCCAGCTAATTTTTTTTTTTTTTTTTTTTTTTTTTTTAGTGGAGGCGGGGTTTCACCATGTTGGCCAGGCTGGTCTTGAACTCCTGACCTCTGGTGATGCACCCATCTCAGCCTCCCAAAGTGCTGGGATTACAGGTGTAAGCCCATGAGCCACCGCAACCGGCCCACTAATTTTTTAATTAAAAAATTTATAATCAAAATACAGATTATAAGGACAAAGAGGAAAGAGGGCCGGACATGGTAGCTCACGCCTGTAATCCAAGCACTTTGGGATGCTGAGATGGATGGATCACCTGAGGTCAGGAGTTTGAGACCAGCCTGGCCAACATGGTGAAACCCCATCTCTACTAAAAATATAAAAATTCGTCAGGCATAGTGGCGCACACCTGTAATCCCAGTTACTCGGGAGGCTGAGGCAGGAGAATCACTTGAGCCTGGGAGGCAGAGGTTGCAATGAGCTGAGACCATGCCATTGGACTCCAGCCTCGGCAACAAGAGCAAAACTCCATCTCAAAAAAAAAAGAGGAAAGAGATGGTTGCCTGTTTTAACTGTACTAGAAAAAGCAAATGATGAGGTCAGGGCTTTCTATTTCTATCTTGAGTTCTGAGTAATGAAAGTGAAATATCTACGACTATCCTGAAAAATATACCTTATAACTTTTAGCTGCAGGTTTGAAGTTTTTGAAAACGAAACCCAAAGTCTGATACTACATGTGATTAATTAAAATGCAAATCAAATGTATGGCTCCTCAGATTCTCTTACAGTACTTTATCTATAACATTGATGGGGAAAGAATGAGACCCTAAAGATTGGGATAGAGCTATTTAGATAAATTGCAATGAACACCCAAATTCCACTCAGTAGAAACCTACGCTGTCAGAGTAAACTCACCTTCCCTTACTGAAGAACCTGTAGACTTATGGAAGAATGCTGACTCTCAAGTGCCACCCCATCAACTCTTTTGCTTCTAAACCTATAACTGAACTCAAACCTTAAGAAAAATACAAAGTCTAATCCTGGAGGATATACTATACACACAAAAGAATTTTAATATTTTGACAATTTGTGTTAGTGAAAACTAGAAGAATATCTTTGGGAATTGATTGTAAGAGTGTTAGAACAAGGAGAAAGAAATACACTGTTGGATTCAGCTAGGTTTATTTATATGAGTGCACTAACAAGTAATTTTGGATTCCATATATTATTTTGAATTGTTAGGAATAAGTCTAATAGCCTTGTTTTATTCAGGGTTTCCCAAAGAGACAAAACCCACAGAAGATTGGTAGATATAAAGATTAGATAGATGATAGATAGATAGATAGATAGATAGATAGATAGATAGATAGATAGATAGATAGATATAAAATTTATTAGGGGAAATGACTCATGCTGTTATGGATATTAAGTCTCAGGATAATCTGACTGTAAGACGGAGATCCAGGGATGCTTGTAGCATGGCTCAGTCCAAGCCCAAAGGCTTCAGAACCAAGGAAGACAATGGTATCATTCAGGCCAAGTCCAAAGACCTGAGAACGTAGGGGACCAATGGTGCAAGACGCAGAGTCCAAAGTCCAGAGCACCTGGAGTTTTTATGTCTCAGGGCAGAGGAAGAAGGGTGTCCCAGCTCCAGGAGAGAAAAGGGGATAGAGAGAGAGGGAGAGAGAGAGAGAGAAGAGAGAAGAGGGAGAGAATTTGCCTTTCCTCTGTCTTTGTGTTCTATCCAGGCACCCAGCCAAACGGATTGTGCCTGCCTTCATTGAGGAGGAAAAATCTTCCTCACTCAGTCCATCAACTCACATTCCATTCTTCTTTGGAAATACCCTCTCAAACACACCCAGAAATAATGCCTTACCAATTATCTAGGTATACCTTAATCCAGTCAAGTTGACATCTAGAATTAACCATCACAGGCTTGTCAGCTGATTGACTGTAACTGAGTCCCTGTGGTGGCCAAAGTGATCTGAAGAAGGCAGTATCCAAAGGCTTAGGGAGACAGGGATGCTAGAGTGGATTTTTTTTGTGTTCCACTACTCATCTACTCCTTCTCGAAGTCTTTCAGAAATACATTCGGGAGGATTAAACGAGCAACCTTCAAAGGTTCTTTAATGGTTTTTGTTTTTTTTTTTTTTTTTTTTGCATGCCAGGAATGACGCTGGGAGAGGTATCAGTGGAACAGACTCCTAGAAGACAACGAGAATGGTGGGATTCTGAAGTGGCAGGGGCCATATGATGCAAGTAATAGTTACTGGCACTAATTGACAAGGTCAAGGTGGGCATTGTTACCATAATACACAACAATCATTGATCTGATAGTAGTCAGGTAGTATGACCTACAGAGATCTTTGTAGCTAAATAATTATAGTCTTAGGACTAATACAGGTGAACAGCCTACTAAATCAAGTCTACTTTGATTTTTATAAGCAAAATTGTTAGGACTGGTAGATGGAGCCCTGAATTGAATCACTACAATAGAGTCATGCTCCTTAACCACTTCCCAGACTTGAGTGGTTTGTAGACTCAGAGCAGCTTAAATGAAGAGAAGGTTTGAACCCTTTGAGGAAGGATACTGCCACACTGCCAAAAATGTATGTGGTAAAATATCCATTTAGTCTTTTCCGGAAGAACCTGGAACCATTTACCAGGGTGCTTGTGCTTTAGGGAAATAAAAATAACTGAACATCTTAGGGATTGCTAGACACTGCCTTTGAGCTGACACAAATTCTTGGAGACACAAAACAGCAAAGTGATTCACCATTCAGAAAGGGGATGTACGAAAGCCAGGCGATTCATGTCATTTTGGCTCAGCCCATCTACAGTGGGTCCCTCAAGCCACCTTGTAGTCATGTTCCTAGTTCTAAAATGAAAAGTTGGAATGGATACACTCAGCAATGTGGGCTTCCACTTGCCAAGGTTAATCTGGCTACATCAATATTGAATGCCCAACCTGCCAACAGTAGAGACAAACTGTGAAGCCCTGATACAATGGCATTCCAAAGGGTGACCAGATAGCCATCTGAAGGCAAGTTGATTACATTAGCAAATTTCTTTCATGAAAAGGGCAGCCATTTGTTCATACCAAAATAGACATGTATGCTGGATCTGATTTTGCCTTCCCTGCCCAACAGTTTTCTGCTGGTAAAGAGAGCTTAGTTTCCAATCAAATAAGGCCTCTACAGGGAGTTAAAACAATGGTTACATTAAACTAGAAGCTAAGAATGCCACCTTGTCACTATAAACACCTTTATGCAAATAAACTGGAAAATCTAGAAAAAATTGATAAATTCCTGGACACATACCCCTCCCAAGACTAAACCAGGAAGAAGTCAAATCCCTGGATAGACCAATAACAAGTTCTGAAATTGAGGTAGTAATTAACAGCCTACCAACCAAAAAAAGCCCAGGACCAGAAGGATTCACAGCCAAATTCTAAGAGGTACAAAGAAGAGCTGGTACCATTCCTTCTGAAACTATTCCAAACTATAGAAAAAGAGGGACTCCTCCCTAATTCATTTTATGAGGCCAGCATCATCTTGATACAAAAACCTGGCAGAGACACAAGAAGAAAAGAAAATTTTAGGCCACTATCCCTGATGAACACCAGTGCAAAAATCCGCAATAAAATACTGGCAAGCTGAATCCAGCAGCACATCAAAAAGCTTATTCACCATGATCAAGTCAGCTTCATCCCTGGGATATGAGACTGGTTCAACATACCCAAATCAATAAACGTAATCCATGACATAAACAGAACCAATGACAAAGAAACACATGATTATCTCAATAGATGCAAAAAAAAGGCCTTCAATAAAATTCAACACCCCTTCATGCTAAAAACTCTCTATAAACTAGGTATTGATGGAACGTCTCTCAAAATAATAAGAGCTATTTATGACAAACCCACAGCCAATATCATACTGAATGGGCAAAAGCAGGAAGCATTCCCTTTGAAAACCGGCACAAGACAAGGATGCCCTCTCTCACCGCTCCTATTCAACACAGTATTGGAAGTTCTGGTCAGGGCAATCAGGCAAGAGAAAGAAATAAAGAGTATTCAAATAGGAAGCGAGGAAATCAAATTGTCTCTGTTTGCAGATGACATGATTGTATATTTAGAAAACCACATCATGTCAGCCCAAAATCTCCTTAAGTTGATAAGCAACTTCAGCAAAATCTCAGGATACAAAATCAGTGTGCAAAATCTCAGGATACAAAATCAGTGTGCAAAAATTGCAGGCATTCCTATACACCAATAATAGACAAACAGAGAGGCAAATCATGAGCAAATTCCCATTCACAATTGCTACAAAGAGAATAAAATACCTAGGAATACAACTTATGAGAGATGTGAAGGACCTCTTCAAGGAGAACTATCAACCACTCCTCAAGGAAATAAAAGAGGACACAAACAAATGGAAAAACGTTCCATGCTCATGGAAAAGAAGAATAAATATCTGAAAATGGCCATACTGCCCAAAGTAATTTATAGATTCAGTGCTATGCCCATCAAGCTACCATTGACTTTCTTCACAGAATTAGAAAAAAACTACTTTAAATTTCATATGGAACCAAAAAGAGCCTGTATAGCCAAGACAATCCTAAGCAAAAAGAACAAAGCTGGGGGCATCACGCTACCTGATTTCAAACTATACTACAAGGCTACAGTAACCAAACAGCATGGTACTAATACCAAAACAGATATATAGACCAATGGAACAGGACAGAGGCCTCAGAAATAATGCCACACATCTACAACCATCTGATCTTTGACAAACCTGACAAGAACAAGCAATGGGGAAAGGATTCCCTATTTAATAAATGGTTTTGGGAAAACTGGCTAGCCATATGCAGAAAACTGAAACTGGACCCCTTCCTTACATTGGTTTTTTTTCTTTAGAGCTTGTATACTTGAATTCTTTTCAAATTACCACTTTAATATATGTTTGAAATCAGTGAATACAAAGGTGTACAAGAAAAAAGTTTATCATCTGTATCATGACACTTCCTCTATTGCACCTTCCTGAGATAAGCCATGTCAACAATATGGTGTGTATCTTTCTAAACATTTCACTTAGTTTATTAAAACTTACACGAGACTTTGCATGCATAGATACGGTTGGTTTTTTTTAATTCCCTTTGCTTTGTTGCTCATTTTAACATAATAAAATCATACTGCAAATAGGATCTGCAACTTTGGCAAAATATTTATGTAGATATAAGTACATATTATTTTTTACTATTTTCCACAATTGAAATCATATTTGACATACTTTCATACATTCTGCTTTTGTCATTCATAAATTCTTTAGATCAATTCCTCCAAGCCAACTGGCATAGCTCTAATTCATTTGTTCATTTAAATAACTAAAATAAATCATGGTTTGGATATTTTATAATTTATTTAGGCATTGCCCTAGCACTGAGCAACATATTGCTACATGCCACTAAAACAATGCTAATAAAAACATCCAAAAGAATATCTTTATTTGCTTTTATTTGTGTAGGATAGATATGCAATAGTGACCTGTGAATTGTCTAGGGCTAAGACTTTTTATTTTAGTGATTGCTGCCAGGTTGTTTTCCAAAATAGGTACAACAATTCATATTTCTGTCAGAATATATATGAGTACCCAAGTTTGTTAATATTAATTTTGAAGGTTTGTTGCTTTTGTTTGCACTTTCCTAACCATTTATTTAATAATTTTGGTGTGTTTATTGGTCATTTGGTTTTTTGTGAATTGATCACATTTCTAGTGGTTTGCTTCTCTTGTCTGCCTTGTCTTTATGTTGTCTGTCGGTAAGACTTTTTTGTTTCGTGCGGAAATCTTTATCTCATCTCTCTTTAAAATTTTTTTGTATTGTACAGAGATGTACCCCTTACTTCCCATCTAGGCTACAAATAGATAGTTCTGCAATCTGTTTTTTTTAATCGATTTTGTCCGTTGTACTTTTTGCCATACAAAAGTTTTATGTTTTTACATGCTCAAACATTTTCAATTATACAGCTTTCAGTGTAAGCTCCATCATGCAAAGAGCTTGGAAGCCATCACTCCCATTCTTTCAAGAAAAAGCAATACAAATTGAAAATCAACAACTTTTTCTGGATCTGTTAGAGAACTGGAGTTGCAGACAAACCATTACCCCCAAATCTGGAGAGACAGGCAGTGAAAAATATCATAGATCAGAAACTTGAATGTGCATTAAAAGAAGATGGAAGAGGAGGAGGGAGGAGGAGAGGGGAGGAGAAGGAGAGGAGAAGGAGGAGAAATAATAGTGGAGGCAACTATATTTTTATTTTTTCCCTTTTTTTTTTTTTTTTGGAGGCAGGGTCTCATTCTGTCGCCCAGGCTAGAATCCAGTGGAGGGATCATAGGTTACTGCAGCCTTAAACTTCTGAGCTCAAGTGATCCTCCCACCTCAGCCTCTGAAGTAGCTGGGGCTACAGATGCTCATCACCACATCCAGCTAAATTTTTAAATCTTTTGTAGACACAGCTTGCTATTTTGCCCAAGCTGGTCTCAAATTCCTGGTCTCAAGTGAATTTCCTGCCTCCACTTACTAAAGTGCTGGGATTATAGGTGCAAGCCACTGCACCCAGCCTATTTCTACTTAATTGATCTAAAAGATACCTATTTGTTTAAAGCAATATTAGTAACAATGGGTAACTAAAATAAATAGCATTGAGGTGACAAGGGATAAGAGTTACCTGCACTACATCTGAAGTAGTATAATGCTATTGGAGGTGGTCTTTGATTAGTTAAAAATTCACATTGTAAACTCTAGGGCAACCACTAAAAAAAATTTTTTTAATAAAATTGATATGCTAAAAGAGGAGTTAAAGTAGAATAACATAAAATGCTTCATTACACTCAGAGAAGGCAATAAAAGAGAGGAGAGGGAGAAACAAAGAACAAAAGCAACAAATAGAAAACAAATACAAACATGATAGATAGTAATCAAACTACATCAATCATCACTTCAAAGGTGAATTGTCTAAATATACCAATTAAAAGACAGATTGTCAGAGTGGATAAAAACACAAGACCCAACTATATGCTGCTACAAGAAACCTACTTTAAATATAAAGATTCTGATAGGTTAAAAGTACATGGATAGAAAAATATATAGCCTGATAACACTAATTGAAAAAAGCTGGAGCACCTATATTAATTTTGGACAGAACAGACTTCAGGAAAGGGAGATTATCAGAAATAAGGAGAGGCATTACATAATGATAAAGATGTCAATTATCCAAGAAAACACAACGGTCCTAAACAGGTATGCAATAACAAAATATGTGGTACCAACTAATGAAATTAAAAAGAGAAATAGACAAGTTTTTTTTTTCCAGTTTGAATTTTTCCTGTTTCAGTGCAGAGTATCTACGAAATTTAGATAATGGGAATATATACAGACATTCTTTAATCCCTAGATGAAAGATTTGATGTACATAGTAGTGAGCTGATAAATGTTTAACAACTGACTTCAGGTGGAGGAGGAGAAGAAACCCTGATTTGTAGAATTTGATGATGTCTGCAATATAAATCCTCCCACCATGGTCAGTTTCAAGCTATCAACATGATATTCCTGAATATGTTGTTAGGAAGAAATGCACATAATTGTCTCAAACGAGCTGTTATGAGGCAGACTCTATCATGCTACTGAATATCTGAATAACTTGCTAAGATACTTTTCTTTTTTAAAAAATAAAATTGTCATTAAAAATTTCATGAAATTAATTTTTAATATATGATGTGAGACAGAAGTTCAATTTTATTTTCTCCTAAATTAGATATTCACCTGCACCAGCATCATTTACTAAATTAACCATTTTTCTCATATTGAATTGAAATAGCAATTTTGTTATGATAAAAAATTAATATACACTGTGAGCTATTTCTGGATAGTATTTCACTGTTGTACTTTTTAATTTGCTAATTCTTGATCCAGTCATACCAATTTTATTATAGTAGCTTTATAGTTCTGCTTTTTGGAAAGGCAAGTGTTCTATTATTACTTTTGTTTTAATTGTCTTCAAGAATTGATACAAATTGTAAATCATATGATCCAATCATTAAAAATAAATTTCTAGCTGTAATGCCATTAAATTTACATATAATTTGGATAACAATGACATTTTCATAATATGGTATACGTTTTTGTTAAAAAAATCTTTATTACCTTTAAGTAGTTTATCCTATTTTTATCTTAATTAGGATTCTTACTAGGACTCACTGCTGACTTTTATCAAAGGACTTTTCATAATCTATTGGTATGATTATATTATTTTTCTCCAACAATGGAGTGATAGTTTGCATTATGTTCACAGAAATACTGTTATTAAACCTCCTTTGCATAATTGGATTTTCTTTGATAACATATTTTGCAACTATATCCATCAAAGAGTTTTGTCTATAGTTTTCTTTGGGGTATTACATATATTATTTTTTATATTCAAGTTATTCTGTCTTCATAAAATAATTCAGAACTATTCATCACTTTCAATAGTCTGACATAGTTAAGTAACATGAAATTCATTTTTTTAAATTTAGATACAAATTAGAGGTAACTCCACCTGTCCTCATGTTTCATTTTAATGGTAATCTTTAATCACCTGAATGACTTTTATAATCTCTTTTATGTTAATTCATTTAGTCAAGAATTTTTTCCCTTAGAGGTTATGTTTGATCATTTCCTTTATTTAAAATATCTTGACAGAATGCCAAAGCTTTTTACAATCTACTAATTCTCAATATTTGCATTATTTTGCTTTGTTACTGTTATTCTTTCTTAATCAGCCTAATACAGCATTTACCCTTTACCCTTTTTTCCCCATTGTACTGTTATCTTTTCTTTGTTTTTGTTTATATTTCACTAATTTCAGCTTTTATATTTATTAGTTTCCTCTTCTAAGTTTCCTTTTATCTTGTTATACAATTTACATTTGTTTGAGATAAATAGTAATATTCTATTTAGTTTAATGAAGGCATTTAAACTTATTTTCTTTTGATTACAGGTTTCTCTCTGTGCTTTATAATTTGTGATGAGATGTTTTCTTTTTTATGACTTTCTTGCTTGTAAGTAATTTCATTTTTACATTTTGTAATTCAAAGGTTGTCTAGAAGCAGGTTTCTTCATTTCTAAAGAGTTAGAATTTTTATTATCATTTATTAAATTTTATTATTTACTTTACATTTTATTAAATTTTATAAAAAACAACTATGGCTGTAAAAAGTTTTCTAAGTAAAAACATATAGTTTTGTAATTGTTCATGGATACATGCAGATGTATATTATCATTTCATATATATGTATATGATCTTTACATCTTAATGAAGTATTATGTAATATATATGTATGATTTCATTTAATTTTTATGCCTTTACCAAAATGTGTATGTTATGTGTTTTTGACTATAAAATGGGTATATTAAAATATCTCATCATAATTTTACTTTGCAAGATAGTCTTATATTCAGACTAGTTTTATTCTCTGTCAATTGTAATGCTTAGAAATATAGAATTGTGTATGTTATGTCCTCTCCATGAATCACATTTTTATCATTTTCTACTACTTTCTTTGTAATGTTTAGTATTTTTAATTTATATTGCACCCTGTCTAATGTTAATATTGTTATTACTGCTTAGCTTTTTATTAGCAGTTGCTTGATTTCTCTTTATCCATTTTCTTTATTTTCAGTCTTTCTTTATCACTTATTTTTTAGTGTATTTCCTGTGATGCGTCTATTTCTGGGTTCTGGGTTGTAGTCCAAACTGAGTCTCTGACTTAAGGGGATCTGAAGCCATTCATGTTTAGTTTAGTATCTGATATACTTGGTTTTATTTCTTCCATTTTAATTTATGGTTGACTGTTTATTATTCTTCATGATTTTCTATTTACAGATCTGTATGTTTGCTGATATAAAGTCACTATTTCATGTATCTCCTTTGTTTCTTTGAAAGTTCTTTGCTTTTCTACAAAGTGTTAATAATAGGATCCTAATGAAACGCATCATTGAGTACTTATTCTCAACTGTTACATGAAAACAACACAGCCACCATTTCTCCTCCAACAATGTGCCTTCCCTCAGGCCCAAAAGATGAAACTTGTAAAATATCTTTACTGCTTCACTCTAAATTACCTTTGGAAAAGGTTTTTACTTTTTTATTCCTTTTCCTACCTCAATTTATTGAATTTGACAAAATCCCCTACTTCTTTTGGTCCCAGACTATTTTTAAATTTTTTAATTGCTGCATCATTATTTAACATTATACACTGATTTATCTATTTACATACATATGAGAGGAATTGGTTCATTGCTGATTAGTGTTTTCTCTCTTTTTCCCTCTCTTGATAACTCTCTTGAGATTTTTTTGTCACTTGGTAGGAATCCCTTCCAAAGTGTTTTGCTTATAAAAATTGGATGTAATTTTAAAATACTGTATATCAGCAAATATCTTCCTTTCTCCTTACAGATGAATGCTATCTTGGTTAGAATAATGGATTCTCAGGTTTCAGACCTTCTCACTCATGTCTGTAGTTGTCATTCCATGGTCTTCTAACTTCTAATGTTACAAATGAGATGATTGATTGCTGTCTCCTTCTCTTTTTAAATAACTTATTATTTATGTTTGGAGGCTATTTTCCTTTTATTCTTAAAATTCTGAAATTTTACTAGGATATGCCTGGTGATGCTTAGAAATATAGAATTGTTTATTTGTACATAAAAATAGTATATATAAATATAGAATTGTTCTATAGAAATATAGAATTTTACCAGGATATGCCTGGTAAAATTCCTCAATAATTCTCCCCACAAGTAAAATATGTATTTAGGGTCCTTTTTGAGCAGAGAGGATTCTTCTTTAATTATTTATTTGCTTACTGATTACCTTGCCTCCCTCTTCCTTTTTTTTGTGAAACTGCTATTGGTCTAATGACTATGTCTTCCTTGTTTTTAAATTTTACTTTGCATTTTCTTGGACATGGTCTGCTTATAAGACACATCGTCACACCTTTGGGTCTACTTTCCCTTCTCAGCACTCCCCAGTGGATTTTGATAGGAATGAAAAAACAAGAAACATGAAAAGAGGCAATATTCACCAAAAATTGATGTTCTCCTTATCCAAATATCCAGATATTGTGAGAAGCATCCATGAGTTCTTGTTGCAAGGTCCTTTCCGTTACCTTCTTCCCTGAAGGGAGAGGTATATGTTCCAGTTTGACTACTTATCCCTCAGCTCTCACCCCCAATGGTATATCTTCCTACATCTCTCTTAGGGGATTATTCCCATCCATATCAGCAGTCAGCTGTCTTAAATAACATACCTACAAGATGAGTCAAACTCAGCTACTTCTTCTGTGCCTGCTTGACACATGAAGAATTCCTCTACTCATACTACATCAAGCAGTCGGAAAGCAGCCTGCTCTACAGTTCCAATCTATACCCACTGTCTCTCTCCAATTTTCTTTCCATTTCCACATCCAGTAAGATATGCACAGAAAATAGTAGAATGTATGCTGCATAAGCAGACATGCAAACAGGAAACGAGATGCCAGCCTCCTCTTTTGATAGGCATTTCTAATATCTTGACAATCATTCCTCAGAACCTCCCTCACTTAGTTGTATGGGAGTTGTGGTGGAAGGGGTTATAGAGCAAGCCCCATCTATGGAGAGAAGGAAAAGACTCCTAGGCCGACCATTTATTGTACTATGGACTTACGCCTCTCAGTGCTGTTTGCTGCTTACAGAAACTAGGAATAGGAATAATATTTGAGGGTAATACAGTGATTTAGCTTCATTACAAGCTTTGAAGGCATCTATGGCCCGAGTTGTTTAGTGCTTACTGGCTCTTTGTCTTCATCTTTGGGTACCAGTCTCCAGAGTCTTATTCAACATTCAATTCTACTGCTTAGCTTCTATTAATTTAAGGTTGAGACGGTTATATACTGTGAGAAATACATGTCAGCCTTTAAGCTACCTACAAATAAAAGCTGCTCTACTACTTGCACTATTTCTTTTTTCCCTTTTGTGTTTGGATGTTAACAAATTCAAATAAAACGTGGGACAGCACCTAACATTCCAGTAGAAAAATTTTCTCCATCCCAAAATTACATAACAGACTTATGAAAAACTAGCACTGATAAAAACAATATACTTTTCTTCATACAAGTAAACTCTGGGCCCCTATTTACTCATGCTACCCAAAACAGATGCTGTCACCTACAAAGACCCATCTCATCGGCATTGTAAATAAACTGGGGGATGGTAAGCACTTGTAATAATCACAATTGTGAGCTATTCATGAAATTCATTTGTTATATATAGCCCAAGAATGTTGTGCCTAATTTTTCAATGTCATCGCTATCTCTACAAGAGTTGTCACAGTGCAGTCTTGTATTAGCTCACAAAAATCATCTGTCTTTTCAATGGACTTTTTAGTTCACAGCAGGGGGTAACCCCATTGTTGTACTATAATGTGTTGCACTATGAAGCAATCATATAAAACTAATTCTAGGCTTCTGTCTTTATCACATGCAGCAGTAAAACAACTAATTTGCTTAATTCTAGGAAATACAAGAGGAACATTGTCTGTTCAAAGCAAAGAGAGTGGAACTGAATATAGGATAATAAGAAATGATTGAAAAAGCGGGGCCGGGCGCGGTGGCTCACTCCTGTAATCCCAGCACTTTGGGAGGCCGAGGCGGGCGGATCACGAGGTCAGGAGATCGAGACCATCCTGGCTAAAACGGTGAAACCCCGTCTCTACTAAAAATACAAAAAATTAGCCGGGCGTAGTGGCGGGCGCCTGTAGTCCCAGCTACTTGGGAGGCTGAGGCAGGAGAATGGCGTGAACCCGGGAGGCGGAGCTTGCAGTGAGCCGAGATCCCGCCACTGCACTCCAGCCTGGGCGACAGAGCGAGACTCCGTCTCAAAAAATAAAAAATAAAAAAAAAATAAAAAAAAAGAAAAAAAAAAAAAAAGAAAAAGCGGGGTATATTTATGTTGGCAAGAAATAAGACAAGGGAAATAATAATTGTGACAAAATATTTTACACCCACTCTGTAGAAGAGAAAATGCATTTTAATCTGTCTGTGTGGCTCTGGAGGAAGAGATAACGGTCAAAGAATGGGGGTTAGAGAGGTGGGTTTCCCCACAACATAAGGACTTGTCCTACAGCTCTCCAGGAGTCCTCAGAAAACTCAGAGTTTGGCCTATTGTAAAGCTGAAACAGAAGGGACATTTCTTCATGGGAAGTTTATTACTGAAATGCATGAATGTTGGACTAGAAGACCCATAATCCCTTTGACTCTTAGCCATGATTTTATGGTTTGCTTTCCCTTCTTTCTTAAAAAATTAGTGTGAATTATTTACGACACACCCCGGTGATTGCTTATGTCTTAAAATGTAGAGCATTAATAAAGTAGTAGATACCCCCCTGTATGCTTTTATTCTGACACCTTACTTCCCTTCAGAGGAAACCATCATCCTAAATATAAAAGGTATTATTCTCACACTTTGTTTTGTATTTTTATTGCAGACACAATTATCCCTAAATGATGCTTGGTATTGGACAGCATGTTTCTAAGCTTCATGTAGAAGATGTCATACTTCATATAAATACTATCATACTTTATGTACTCTACTGAGTTTTGTTTTTTTCTCGGCATTTTTTATTAAATTCATCCATACTTGTATAGACAGCTCTATTGCATTTATTTTTACAAATTTATGGAATTCTATTATATTACTATAGTTTAATTTGTTGTTTATTCCCTTGGCCTATAATTATTTTCAATTTTAGGCACTTTAAGTAATGCTTCCATGAACGTTCTTGTCAATGTTGACAAATGCAAGAGCTTTCCATGGGGTATGTAAAAGGGTGATTAATATTTCCTTCCTTGTATTGGTGGGGTGGGCTTATGGACACAGCATATAATTTTCTTCAAGTGTATTGATTTTGGCTCAGAATCTCTTCAGTTTCTCCAGTTGTTTCCAAATCTTTCATCTTCCTCTTTTACTTTTTCTTTCTCTTTTTTAACCCTTCTCCCTCTAGTCCCAATCTTCTGTGTTATGAATAAATAAGATTCCTTTTCTTCTACCTACATTGTCAAGTCACCACCAACTCACCAGAGCATCCCCTTTGCCTTTGGGTGTTTGTGACAATGAAACAATTGGCCTGTGAGGTAGGACAAATTTCTGTGAGCTTTATTTCTTTTGCTCTTCTTGCAATATTGACTCTGCATATCATCCAAAAATGCTATTCAAGACTAGATGCCCATGGCTTAAGAGATCTTGTTGGCCAAATGACACTTTATAGAAACATTAAGGTACTATATTTATAGGATTTAAATTACTGTGTTTCCAAAGGAAGTCCTTGGGAAGAAAAGATAGAATTCAAATTTTTTGTTCAATTTTTAAATCTGTTTTTTTAAGAGCAAAGACAAAAACAAAAGTAAAGCAAATGTACACTGCATAATTTAAAATAGTTTTTGATATCAAGCTAAATATATCAAATGAAATCCCTATTACTCTTCCAGAGAGGCCTATGTTGATGTCTCTGAGGAAGGCCTAAGGAATTCATAAGCCAACTACTATGTAAAAAGAATACCTGGAGAACAACTCTTAAAACCCAGCTGGCAAGCTGCTTGTAGTCTGAAGTATGTAAATAAAAACTTTTTATTTTTTCTTCTTGTATTACAAGTACTCCTCTGAAATATACAACAACTTTTAATTCAAATGCAAACATGATCAATTAAGTGGACAACTAAATAATAGAATTAATTCAAATGAAGGTTAAATTTCACTCAACTAACTGAATTAAAGGAGATTTCCTTTTATGAGTTTATGGAAATCATTCAGTTTTTTTGTTGGTTTTATTAGAAATTGAACTTGAACTGAATAAACTGAACTTGAATTGATGAAAACTAAATTTTTTATCAATATAAAAAAGATAAAATGGAGGAAAGTAGACATGTATTGTTTTGTTTAAGACCTTCGGTTCCAATAACGTAGCTAAAGTAAAGGCTGGATGTGTAGGTTATTAAAGGATGCATGTGGAGTACTGGGTGGGATAGAATTTCATGAGACAGAAACCAGAGTAGACTTGGGCACTCCAGACCCAAAGCAAATCGAGAAATCCCACTAGTAGAGACATATAGTATTAACTCCTCTTGGTATCTGTCCCAAAATTCTTCTTCCTAACCATAATGCAACCTATATATTATAAATTTTCAAAATCTCTGTTGAACTAACGGCTTCTTCTCTCTCATCCTTTGATTTGTCATCATTTCTTATATTCCTGTTCTCCCTTACGACTTTTGCAATATACTCATTCAGCTTAGTTTCCTCCCTGTTCATGACATTAGTCTCAGAAAACTTCCCATGTAAAATTTCGATGAGGTAGAATATAATTGACCCAGTTACCTATTTGTGTGAGGCCACATGATGGTCTCCTGAGCGGCCTTTTTTTTTTTTTTTTTTTTTTTGAGACAGAGTCTTGTTCTGTCACCAGGCTGGAGTGCAGTGGCATGATCTCGGCTCACTGCAACCTCTGCCTCCGAGGTTCAAGCGATTCTCGTGCCTCAGCCTCCCGAGTAGTTGGGATAACAGGCACGCACCACCATGCCTAGCTAATTTTTGTATTTTTAGTAGAGACAGGGTTTCACCATGTTGGCCAGGATGGTCTTGATCTCCTGACTTTGTGATCTGCCCGCCTTGGCCTCCCAAAGTGCTAGGATTACAGGTGTGGGCCACCTGAGCAGCCTATTAACTGGCTGTCCACCACCGGCCTAATTAGCTGTGGCAGGAAGTAGGGAAAGAGTCATACTGTGGAAAGCGAAGCCATATAGCACTGCCCTTCCCTAGTGCTTAAGTATTAGGTTGGTGCAAAAGTAATTGCGGGCCATTAATGACCAAAATTACTTTTGCACCAACCTAATATCTTAGAAGTATGCAGCCCCTTCTCATGTAACAGTGCCCTCCCCTTCAGTTGTGAGAGCGGAACATGATTGGACTTAAAGTTGGGGCAGGATTAGATCCCTACATGGATCAGTTAGAAATGTTTTTACTGTGGTAAACTGTGACCAGTTTGCATTCTGAGCAGCTGACTCCACTGATATGTCAGCCACTAGTCACTATGGGATGCAATTTTAAAAATGCAACTTATCTCCATTGCAAGGAAAAATAATAACAAACAACAATACATGTTGCTCATATTGTTGAGCATCTATGGAGTACTGTTTGAGTCAGGCAAGTTGTCAGCATTTTGCTTGCAGTTTTGATGGTTGATCTGCAGCCCCTGGCAACATGCAGGAAGCATGGCACAATATTTACTCAGTACAGGAGAGAACACTTTCCCCTTTGTCCTTATGCACTCTCTTTTCCTTGGGGATTTTCTCCTCTTTATTTAGCATTTTCCTCCAAATCTCCAGCATCTGCCTTCCCTGATTGATTCAGCCTGCAGACACCTACATCCAGTTAAAACTCTTTGTGGGAGATAGGAACTATCCCCAACCTTGTTTGTCCCTGGAACTAGATTAGGAGCACGTGCAGCTTTTACTTCAATGCCCTGGGAGTCATAACCTCCCACCATAATCTCCTCATCCTTGAAAAGAACCCCCTGTGAAGAAATAAAAATAGATGGGCCTGTAAATCCCAGCACTTTGGAAGGCCAAGGCAGGTGAATCACCTGGGATGAGGAGTTCAAGGCCAGCCTGACCAACATGGTGAAACCCCATCTCTACTAAAAATACAAAAATTATCTGGGTGTGGTGGTGGGTGCCTGGAATCCCAGCTGCTCAGGAGGCTGAGGCAGGAGAATTGCTTGAACCCAGGAGGAGGAGGTTGTAGTGAGCCAGATGGTGCCACTGCACTCCAGACTGGATGACAGAGCAAGAGTCTGTCTCAAAAAAAGAAAGGAAGGGAAGGGAAGGGAAGGGAAGGGAAGGGAAGGGAAGGGGGAGGGAGAGAGGAAGGAGGGAAGGAAGGAGGGAAGGAAGAGAGAGAAAGAGAAAGAAAGAAAGAAAGAAAGAAAGAAAGAAAGAAAGAAAGAAAGAAAGAAAGAAAGGAAGGAAGGAAGAAAGAAAGAAAAGAAAGAAAGAAAGAGAGAAAGAGAGAGAGAGATGGAGGATGGAGAAGGGAGCCCCTGGAGACTTGTCATCAGGGCAATATTTAAGTCAGCCATACGGTATGATTGATTGCAAAGGTTATACCTGACCCACGGAGAATGACTAAGGGCTAGATCACTGGATTTCCAAAGTCTCTTGTAGGTGAGAATTGTATTCAATAATATCACCCACTCAGGACATTAGAAAACTTTTTGTTATCATTTAAACTAGAAAGAGCCCCTACTAAAAGTACTCCCTGGACCACCCACTAGGGAAATAGGAAACTAAAAAGATAAAGCAGAAGATTGTTAAATAGAGAGAAAGGAACTTTTTAAAATGCAGGTAATCACTCACTAAAAGAATCTCAAAATGACTGATTTATTTTGAATATTCAAGACCTTTATTTATGTTGATAACAGGCTTAGGCAACAATCACAGTCTCCTTTAATGTAGGCCACCACTCAATAATAGCATAATTATGCAATTCAGTATATCCTACCTAATGAAAATACAACTGAACCAGCTTACAGCTCACTGTGATTTTTGCAGTCAGCTCTACACTTGATGGATTTTGTGGTCAGCTAACCATGTATCTTCTCCTGGCCTCACTACCATACATACAAGGAACAATATTCATAGAAACAGTTACTTAAAGTACAAAATCTAAATATTGCTGATGCTTTTTACAAATATAAATTGCAAATTTAAAATTGCTATTTAGAAAACAAATTCATTACTGTAAACAGGCAAACTATGAATGATTACACAAAGAGAACAAAAGCTTAATTTAGATAGGATTTAGACGTAGAATTCTCTTAAATAAATAAACAATGGGGGGCAGTTCCAAGATGGCCGAATAGGAACAGTTCCAGTCTACAGCTGTCAGCATGAGCGACGCAGAAGACGGATGATTTCTGCATTTCCAACTGAAGTACCGGGTTCATCTCACTGCGGATTGTCGGACAGTGGGTGCAGGACAGCGGGTGCAGCGCACCGAGTGTGAGCTGAAGAAGGGCGAGGCATCACCTCACCCAGGAAGTGCAAGGGGTCAGGGAATTCCCTTTCCTAGCCCAGGAAAGGGGTGACAGACGGCACCTGGAAAATCGAGTCACTCCCACCCTAATACTGCGCTTTTCCAACAGTCTTAGCAAACGGCACACCAGGAGATTATGTCCTGCACCTGGCTCGGAGGGTCCAACGCCCAAGGCGCCTTGCTCATTCCTAGCACAACAGTCTGAGATCAAACTGCAAGGTGGCAGTGAGGCTGGGGAAGGGGTACCCACCATTGCTGAGGCTTGAGTAGGTAAACAAAGTGGCCAGGAAGCTCAAACTGGGTGGAGCCCCCCATAGCATAGGGAGCCTGCCTGCCTCTGTAGACTCCACCTCTGGGGGCAGGGCATAGCCAAACAAAAGGCAGCAGAATCCTCTGCAGACTTAAATGTCCCTGTCTGACAGCACGGAAGACAGTACTGGTTCTCCCAGCACACAGCTTGAGATCTGAGAATGGACAGACTGCCTCCTCAAGTGGGTCCCTGACCCCTGAGTAGCCTAACTGGGAGGCACCCCCCATTAGGGGCAGATTGACACCTCACACAGCCAGGTACCCCTCTGAGACAAAACAGTCAGGGGAACGATCAGGCAGCAACATTTGCTGTTCACGAATGTTCACTGTTCTGCAGCCTCTGCTGCTGATACCCAGGCAAACAGGGTCTGGAGTGGACCTCTGGCAAACTCCAACACACTTGCAGCTGAGGGTCCTGACTGTTAGAAGGAAAATTAACAAACAGAAAGGACATCCACACCAAAACCCCATCTGTATGTCACCATCATCAAAGACCAAAGGTAGATAAAACCACAAATATGGGGAAAAAACAGAGCAGAAAAACTGAAAATTCTAAAAATCAGAGTGCCTCTCCTTCTGCAAAGGAACACAGCTCCTCACCAGCAACGGAACAAAGCTGGATGGAGAATAACTTCGATGAGTTTAGAGAAGAAGGCTTCAGAAGATCAAACCTCTCCAAGCTAAAGGAGGAAGTTCAAACCGATGGCAAAGAAGTTAAAAACCCTGAAAAAAGATTAGATGAATGGCTAACTAGAATAACCAATGCAGAGAAGTCCTTAAAGGAGCTGATGGAGCTGAAAACCATGGCACAAGAATTACGTGATGCATGAACAAGCTTCAGTAGCCGATTCGATCAACTGGAAGAAAGGGTATAAGTGATGGAAGATCAAATGAATGAAATGAAGCGAGAAGAGAAGTTTAGAGAAAAAAGAATAAAAAGAAATGAACAAAGCCTCCAAGAAATATGGGACTATGTGAAAAGACCAAATCTACATCTGATTGGTGTACCTGAAAGTGACAGGGAGAATGGAACCAAGTTGGAAAACACTCTGCAGGATATTATCCAGGAGAACTTCCCCAGCCTACCAAGGCAGGCCAACATTCAAATTCAGGAAATACAGAGAATGCCACAAAGATACTCCTTGAGAAGAACAACTCCAAGACACATAATTGTCAGATTCACCAAAGGTGAAATGAGGGAAAAAATGTTAAGGGCAGCCAGAGAGAAAGGTCAGGTTACCCACAAAGGGAAGCCCATCAGACTAACAGCCGATCTCTCCGCAGAAACTCTACAAGCCAGAAGAGAGTGGGGGCCAATATTCAACATTCTTAAATAAAAGAATTTTCAAACCAGAATTTCATATCCAGCCAAACTAAGCTTCATAAGTGAAGAAGAACTAAAATCCTTTACAGACAAGCAAATGCTGAGAGATTTTGTCACCACAAGGCCTGCCCTACAAGAGCTCCTGAAGGAAGCACTAAGCATGGAAAGGAACAACTGGTACCAGCCACTGCAAAAACATGCCAAATTGTAAAGACCATCGAGGCTAGGAAGAAACTGCATCAACTAACAAGCAAAATAACCAGCTAACATCATAATGACAGGATCAAATCCATACATAACAATATTAACCTTAAATGTAAACGGGCTAAATGCTCCAATTAAAAGACACAGACTGGCAAATTGGATAGTGTCAAGACCCATCAGTGTGCTGTATTCAGGAAACCCATCTCACATGCAGAGACACACATAGGCTCAAAATAAAGGGATGGAGGAAGATCTACCAAGCAAATGGAAAACAAAAAAAAAGGCAGGGTTGCAATCCTAGTCTCTGATAAAACAGACATTAAACCAACAAAGATCAAAAGAGACAAAGAAGGCCATTACATAATGGTAAAGGGATCAATTCAACAAGAAGAGCTAACTATCCTAAATATATATGCACCCAATACAGAGCACGCAGATTCATAAAGCAAGTCCTTAGAGACCTACAAAGAGACTTAGACTCCCACACAATAATAATGGGAGACTTTAACACCCCGCTGTCAACATGAGACAGATCAACGAGACAGAAAGTTAATAAGGATATCCAGGAACTGAACTCACCTCTGCACCAAGCAGACCTCACAGACATCTACAGAACTCTCCACCCCAAATCAACAGAATATACATTCTTCTCAGCACCACACCACACCTATTCCAAAATTGACCACATAGTTGGAAGTAAAGCTCTCCTCAGCAAATGTAAAAGAACAGAAATTATAACAAACTGTCTCTCAGACCACAGTGCAATCAAACTAGAACACAGGATGAAGAAACTCACTCAAAACTGCTCAACTACATGGAAACTGAACAAACCGCTCCTGAACGACTACTGGGTACATAAAGAAATGAAGGCAGAAATAAAGATGTTCTTTGAAACCAACGAGAACAAAGACACAACATACCAGAATCTCTGGGACACATTTAAAGCAGTGTATAGAGAGAAATTTATAGCACTAAATGCCCACAAGAGAAAGCAGGAAAGATCTAAAATTGACACCCTAACATCACAATTAAATGAACTAGAGAAGCAAGAGCAAACACATTCAAAAGCTAGCAGAAGGCAAGAAATAACTAAGATCAGAGCAGAACTGAAGGTGATAGAGACCAAAAAAAAAAACCTCCAAAAAATCAATGAATCCAGGAGCTGGTTTTTTGAAAAGATCAACAAAATTGATAGACCGCTAGCAAGACTAATAAAGATGAAAAGAGAGAAGAATCAAACAGACGCAATAAAAAATGATAAAGGGGATATCACCACCAATCCCACAGAAATAAAAAACTACCATCAGAGAATACTATAAACACCTCTACGCAAATAAACTAGAAAATCTAAAAGAAATGGATAAATTCCTGGACACATACACCCTCCCAAGACTAAACCAGGATGAAGTTGAATCTCTTAATAGACCAATAACAGGCTCTGATATTGAGGCAATAATTAATAGTCTACCAACCAAAAATAGTCCAGGACCAGATGGATTCACAGGCTAATTCTACCAGAGGTACAAGGAGGAGCTGGTACCATTCCTTCTGAAACTATTCCAATCAATAGAAAAAGAGGGAATCCTCCCTAACTCATTTTATGAGGCCAGCATCATCCTGATACCAAAGCCTGGCAGAGACACAACAAAAAACAAGAATTTTAGACCAATATCCCAGATGAACATTGATGCAAAAATCCTCAGTAAAATACTTGCAAACCAAATCCAGCAGTACCTCAAAAAGCTTATCCACCATGATCAAGTGGGCTTCATCCCTGAGATGCAAGGCCGGTTCAACATACGAAAATCAATAAACGTAATCCAGCATATAAACAGAACCAATGACAAAAACCACATGATTACCTCAATAGATGCAGAAAAGGCCTTTGACAAAATTCAACAGCATTTCATGCTAAAAACTCTCTATTGATTAGGTATTGATGGGACATATCTCAAAATAATAAGAGCTATTTATACAAACCCACACCAATATCATACTGAATGGGCAAAAACTGGAAGCATTTCCTTTGAAAACTGGCACAAGACAGGGATGCCTTCTCTCACCACTCCTATTCAACATAGTGTTGGAAGTTCTGGCCTGGGCAATTAGGCAGGAGAAGGAAATAAAGGGTATTCAGTTAGGAAAAGAGGAAGTTAAATTGTCCCTGTTTGCAGATGACATGATTGTATATCTAGAAAACCCCATTGTCTCAGCCCAAAATCTCCTTAAGCTGATAAGCAACTTCAGCAAAGTCTCAGGATACAAAATCAATGTGCAAAAATCACAAGCATTCTTACACACCAATAACAGACAAACAGAGAGCCAAATCATGAGTGAACTCCCATTCATAATTGCTTCAAAGAGAATAAAATACCCAGGAATCCAACTTACAAGGGATGTGAAGGACCTCTTCAAGGAGAACTACAAACCACTGCTCAATGAAATAAAAGAGGATACAAACAAATGGAAGAACATTCCATGCTCATGGGTAGGAAGAATCAGTATCGTGAAAATGGCCATACTGCCCAAGGTAATTTATAGATTCAATGCCATCCCCATCAAGCTACCAATGACTTTCTTCACAGAATTGGAAAAAACTACTTTAAAGTTCATATGGAACCAAAAAAGAGCCCACATCACCAAGTCAATCCTAAGCCAAAAGAACAAAGCTGGAGGCATCACGCTACCTGACTTCAAACTATACTACAAGGCTACAGTAACCAAAACAGCATGGTACTGGTACCAAAACAGAGATATAGACCAATGGAACAGAACACAGCCCTCAGAAATAATGCCACACATCTACAACCATCTGATCTTTGACAAACCTGACAAAAACAAGAAATGGGGAAAGGATTCCCTATTTAATAAATGGTCCTGCGAAAACTGGCTAGCCATATGTAGAAAGCTGAAACTGGATCCCTTCTTTACACCTTATACAAAAATTAATTCAAGATAGATTAAAGACTTAAATGGTAGACCTAAAACCATAAAAACCCTAGAAGAAAACCTAGGTAATACCATTCAGGACATAGGCATGGGCAAGGACAATGGGAACAAAAGCCAAAATTGACAAATGGTATCTAATTAAACTAAAGAGCTTTCTGCACAGCAAAAGAAACTACCATCAGAGTGAACTGGCAACCTACAGAATGGGAGAAAATTTTTGCAATCTACTCATCTGACAAAGGGCTAACATCCAGAATCTACAAAGAACTCAAACAAATTTACAAGAAAAAAACAACTCCATCAAAAAGTGGGCAAAGGATATGAACAGACACTTCTCAAAAGAAGACATTTATACAGCCAAAAGACACATGAAAAAATGCTCATCATCACTGCACATCAGAGAAATGCAATTCAAAACCACAATGAGATACCATCTCACACCAGTTAGAATGGCGATCATTAAAAAGTCAGGAAACAACAGGTGCTGGAGAGGATGTGGAGAAATAGGAACACTTTTACACTGTTGGTGGGACTGTAAACTAGTTCAACCCTTGTGGAAGTCAGTGTGGCAATTCCTCAGGGATCTAGAACTAGAAATACCATTTGACCCAGCCATCCCATTACTGGGTATATACCCAAAGGATTATAAATCATGCTGCTATAAAGACACATGCACACGTATGTTTATTGCGGCACTACTCACAATAGCAAAGACGTGGAACCAACCCAAATGTCTGACAATGATAGACTGGATTAAGTAAATGTGGCACATATACATCATGGAATACTATGCAGTCATAAAAAATGATGAGTTCATGTCCTTTGTAGGGACTTGGATAAAGCTGGAAACCATCATTCTCAGCAAACTATCACAAGGACAAAAAACCAAACACCACACGTTCTCACTCATAGGTGGGAATTGAACAATGAGAACACTTGGACACAGGAAGGGGAACATCACACACTGGGGCCTGTTATGCGGTGGGGGGAGAGGGGAGGGATAGCATTAGGAGATACCTAATGTAAATGACAAGTTAATGGGTGCAGCACACCAACATGGCACATGTATACATATGTAACAAACCTGCACGTTGTGCACATGTACCCTAAAACTTAAAGTGTAATAAATAAATAAATAAATAAATAAATAAACAAACAATGGGAGAAATTTTGAAAATGTGAAAAGTAAAAATGGCTACAGAAAATATTTAACAGAAAATTCTCCCCTAAACCTAAACACTTATCTAACGATTAAGTAAAAATAAAATAAAATATAATTAAAAAATCAAAAAGGCGACATCAACTGCAAACATTCAGTACAGCACTAAAACCTGAGAATGTCACAAGTCCTGTGTGACTTCACAGAGCACTCTCTGAAATCATTACTGCATATGCAAAACACTATCTTTTTTTACTTTATGGGCAGTTTATTTCTTAAATCAACAATAGTAACATTCATTGAGTTTATTTGAACTTATACATCCTACATATAAACTGTAAGATATTTTGAAGAAACAAAAATGTGACCCTTTAATTTTTCTCTTCTAAATAAAATGTTGTGCCTTTAGAACAAATTAAAATAGCGAAGACAGCTTTTTCTTCATTATGAAGTGGAATGCACACACAAATACACACAGAGATATGTACATCCTCCTGGTTCTCCCTTTCTCTCACATTAAACATCTAGTATTGTAGTCACTTCTCAGTTCTGACTTCAAAATACATCCCAAGACCAACCACTTTCCGAACCTTCACAGCTTTCACCCTGGCTTCACCCACAACCATGTTTCCTCCAGACTCCTTCCAGAGCCTCCTAATTGTTCTCCCTGTTTCCATTCTGTAGCTCCCACCCCATATCAGTCGTAAGGTGATGTTTATAAAATAACCTTCAGTTCATGCTGGTTTTCTATTTGGAACCCTCCAGTGACTTCCTAGCACATTCAGAATAAAATCTGAAATCCTTATCCTAGTCTACAAGTCTCTGCATAGTGGGATCCCTGCCTACTTCTCCAACCTCATCTCCCACTATTCTCTTGGCTGTGTTCACTCCACCCAGGAAGCCACACAAGGTTTCTTGTTGTTTCTCAATAACACCAATTATCTTCCTGTCTCAGGATCTTTGCACTCCCACTATTTCCTTCAAAAAACATAATACACAAAATACACAAAATAGTTACTCCCACTATTTCCTTCAAAAAACATAAAAGAGATTTACTGAGATATAATTCATATACTACACAATTCATCCATATAAAATGTACAATTCAGTGTTTTATAGTATATTCACAGGGATATATAACCATCACCACTATCAATTTTAGAACAGTTGTCCCCCTAAAAAGAAATCCCATATTCATTCACAGTCACTCCCTACTTTTCCTAGCCCTAGGCAAGAATAAATCTACTTTCTATCTCTATATGTTTTCCTATTCTGGATATTTTATATAAATGGAATTATACAATGTGTAGTCTTTACAACTGGCTTCTTTCCCTTAGCATAATGTTTTCAAGATTTATCCATGCTATAACATATATAATATTTCATTCTTTTTCTTGCTGCATAATATTCCATCATATGGACATACCAAATTATATTTATCCATGTATTTGCTGATGGATATTTAGATTGTTTCCAATCTTGGGTGATTACTTATAATGTTCCTATAAACTGTATGTCCAAGTTTCTGTGTGGACATAAGTTATCATTTTTTCTTGGGCATTGTATTAATCTGTTCTCACACTGCCAATAAGGTCATACCCAAGACTGGGTAATTTATAAAGGTAAGAAGTTTAATGGATTCACAGTTCCACATGGCTGGGGAGGCCTCACAATCCCAGCAGAAGGCAAGGAGGAGCAAGTCATGTCTTACATGGATGGTGGCAGGCAAAAAGAGAGAACCTGTGAAGGGGAACTTCTCTTTATAAAGCCATCAGATCTCATGAGACTTGTTCACTATCATAAGAACAGCATGGGAAAGACCCATTCCCTTGATTCAGTTACCTCCCACTGGGTCCCTCCCATGACACTTGGGAATTGTGGGAGCTACAATTCAAGATGAGATTTGGGTAGGGACAGAGCCAAACAGTATCATTCTGCCCCTGGCCCCTCCCAAATCTCATATCCTTATATTTCAAAACCAATCATGCCTCCTAACAGTCCCTCAAAGTCTCAACTCATTTCAGTATTAATTCAGAAGTCCACAGTCCAAATTCTCTTCTGAAACAAGGCAAGTCCCTTCCACCTATGAGCCTGTAAAATCGAAAGCAAGTTACTTATTTCCTAGATACAATGGGGGTAAAGGCATTGAGTAAATATATCCATTCCAAATGGGAAAAATTGTCAAAAACAAAGGGGCTAAAGGCTCCATGCAAGTCCAAAATCCAGCAGGGCAGTCAAATCTTAAAGCTCTAAAATGATCTCCTTTGACTCCATGTCTCACATCCAGGTCACACTGATGCAAGAGGTGGGTTCCCATGGGCAGCTCCACCTCTGTGGCTTTGCAGGGTACAGCCTCCTTCCTAGCTGCTTTCATGGGCTAGCACTGAGTGTCTGCAGCTTTTCCTACAAGCTTTGAGCCCTATTCTCACAGCTCCACTAGGCACTGCCCCAGTGGGGCCTTTGTGTGGGGGCTTCAGCCCCACATTTCCATTCTGTACTGTCCTAGCAGAGGTTCTTCATGAGGGCCTGCCCCTGCAGCAAACTTCTGCCTGGACATTCTGGTGTTTTCATACATCCTCTGTAATCTAGACGGAGGTTCCTAAACCTCAATTATTGACTTCTGTGTAACTGCAGGCTCAACACCACGTGGAAGCTGCCAAGGCTTGGGGCTTGTACCCCTCTGACACCATTGCCCAAGCTGTACCTTGACCCCTTCTAGCCATGCCTACAGCAGCTTGGATGCAGGGCACCAAGTCCCCAGGTTGCACACAGCAAGGCGGCCCTGGGCCCAGCCCACAAAACCATTTTTTCCTTCTAGGCCTCTGGGCCTGTGATGGGAGGGGCTGCCAGGACAGGTTCTGAAATGCCCTGGAGATATTTTCCCCATTGTCTTGCTGATTAACATTTGGCTTCTTATTACTTATGCATATTTCTGTAGCTGGCTTGAATTTCACCTCAGAAAATGAGTTTTTCTTTTCTATCTCATTATCAGGTTGCAAATTCTCTGAACTTTTATGCTCTTTTTCCATTTTAAAACTGAATGCCCAGCCTGGCCAACATGGTGAAAGCCTGTCTCTATTAAAAATAGGAAAAAATTAGCCAGGCGTGGTGGCACATGCCTACAATCCCAGCTACTTGGGAGGCTGATGCAGGAGAATTGCTTGAACCCAGGAGGTGGAGGTTGCTGTGAGCTGAGATCACATCACTGCACTCCAGCCTGGGTGAGAGAGAAAAACTCTGTCTCAAAATAAAATAAAACTGAATGCTTTTAACAGCATGCAAGTCACCTCTTGAATGCTTGGCTGCTTAGAAATTTCTTCTGCCATATACCCTAAATCATCTCCCTCAAGTTCAAAGTTCCACAAATCTCTAGGGCAGAGGCAAAATGCCACCAGTCTCTTTTCTGAAACATAGCAAAAGTCACCTTTACTTCAGTTCCCAACAAGTTCCTCATCTCCATCTGAGACCACCTCAGCACGGATTTCATTGTCCATATCATTATTAACATTTTGGTTAAAGCCATTCAACAAGTGTCTAGGAAGTTCCAAACTTTCCCACATTTTTCTGTCTTCTTCTGAGCCCGTGAAACTGTTCCGACCTCTTCCTATTACCCAGTCCCAAAGTCACTTCCATATTTTCAGGAATCTACAACAGCACCCCACACTACTGGTACCAGTTAACTGTCTTCGTCCGTTTTCATGCTGCTGATAAAGACATACCCGAGACTGGGTAATTTATAGAGAAAAAGAGGTTTAATGGACTCACCATTTCACATGGCTGAGGAGGCCTCAAAATCATGGTGGAAGGCAAGGAGGAGCAAGTCACATCTTACATAGATGGCAGCAGGTGAGGAGAGAGAACTTGTACAGGGGTTTTATAAAGAACTCCTCTTTATAAAACTATCATATCTCATGAGACTTATTCAATATCACAAGAACAGCACAGGAAAAACCCACCCCCATGATTCAATTACCTCTCACTGGGTTCCTCCCATGACACATGGGAATTGTCGGAGCTACAATTCAAGATGAGATTTGGGTGGAGACAGATCCAAACCATATCAGGCACATACCAAGTAGAATTGATGGTTCATATGGTAACTCTATCTTTAACATCTTGCAGAACCACCAAACTGTTTTACAAAGTGGCTGTGCCATTTTACATTCCCACAGGAATAAAATTAAAAAGACTGAAAATGCTAAATGTTGACAAATACTTGAAGAAACCTGAACTCTCATACATTGTTAGTAAGATTGTAAAATAGAAATCAACCCGGTAGTGTCTCATAAAGTCAAACATACAACTACCTCTATGATCCAGCAATTCTACTTCTAAGTACTTCTCTAAGAGAAATCAAAACAGGTATACCCCCCACCACACACACACATTCCTTTTCATAGGCTCCAAGACTGTACATAACGGTGTCCCTGCCTTCTTCTCCAACCTCATCTTCCACCATTCTCTTGGCTGTGTTCACTCCACCCAGAAACCCACACAAGGCTTCTTGTTGTTTCTCAATAACACAGATAACACAACACATTGTGTGGGTATGGCGGGGAGAACCTGTTTTTATTTATCTTAGGCAAATGGCTTGTACAAGAATGTTCATAACAGCTTAATTCATGATAACCCAAATATGATAACAGTTTAATTCATGATAACAAATGACTTGTACAAGAATGTTCATAACAGTGTAATTCATGATAAACCAAACCAGAAGCAGTATCAATGGCCAACAACAGGAAAATAGATTAAAGAATTATTATATATTCAATGTCCATTAATATTAAGAAACAGACATGTATCATGTTACACATTATATGATGAATGACCAACAAGAATAAACCTTAAACACTGGTAAAAGCTATCAGAAATAAAAATACCTATTGTATGAAGTACATATTAGATGAAGTTCTATAACAGGGAAAACCAATGTGTGCTGAAAAAAATCAGAAGGGTGGTTGCATTTCGGGGGAAGGTTTGACTGGGAAGAGACATGAGGAAACTTTCTGGGATAATGAAAATTTTATGTATCTTGACAGACTGTATGTTCCATATATGTGTATTTGTCAAAACTCATCAAATTATGCACTTAAAATCTGTGCATTTCACTAAAAATAAATTATACATCAATTTAAAAATTTAAAATAAACATATATGTATATGAATAATACATGGACTGAGAGCAAGAGACCAACAGTATGTGCCAGGCACTGTGGGCTCCGTGTAGACACTGCTCTGCATCCTAATAGAGCTTGCATTCTGCTGGGGGATATATAAAATCATGAAATATCTGATATTCAAACCTCAATAGAGAATATGAATGAATGACATAATTTTGGTCCTCTAGGAAAAGGAACTGACAACCCTCTTCTTTCATCTATCACTCTATAACATCAGTAAAAATGAGCGTAGACGTAACTGAAGGCAATTCAAAAAAGGAGAGAAAGAAAATACATGGTTCTTTTAAACATTCATTTGTCAATCTATAGATAATTGTTTCCTACAAGTGAGGACTCCTGTAAATGACATCCTCTGAATCTGAGCAAAGCAACTGAAAAAAACATTAAAATAAAAGTAAGAAGTAAACGTATGAGCTTAGAATATCATAAATTAGTGGGGAATGAGCAGGCTGAGTTTACTCTTAGAAAATTATACCAGTTCATTTTTAAATCAGTTCATTAAAATGCAAAACATTAGCCCTATAAAATATATTTTATTTCAAAAATATACTCAAGCAATGTTTACTAAGAACACAGCTATGCAGGAATTTTTTAAGTGTCTCAAAGACTAAAAATCAAAGACAGTGATAAATGAGAACTCATCTTTGGGAGATGTGTTCTGACGGGGGTACTGCAAGGGTAGTATTCAGTCCAAAAATTAAAAATACTTATTAAGGAAGTGGAAGAAATTAACACAAATTAGATTTGTTTTAATACTAAAGTAGGAAATGTTGAAAACATGAGTAAAGACAAGATATTACAACTGGTTGAGGGAGAGTAAGGAGCTTAGAGAAAAAATAACAAAGGAACCGTTATTCTGGTTGCTTCTTTTCAATGAAGAATGATGCATACTGAAGATTTAAGAGTAACCATAAGTAATTTGTGACAGACCTGGGATTCATGTCACTACAAACTTGTAAACAATGGTTGGACTTCTTCCAAGCTATTTCTTTAATAGATTCTTGCTACTCTAGCATTTTCCCTGCAGGGAGAATGAAGAAAAGCACTTTGATTTATCTTCTGAAATGGCCATAGATGTAATCATTGCCCTGCACTAGGTGCTAAGTATTCAGTCACATCTCTGAGGGGAAAAAAAGGAATAAATAAGTGATGGACAGCACGTGCTATTGCATTCTGAAAAAAAAAACAAACTGGTGAGCACTTCCACAAATCATCTTGAACTACCCATGCAGATTCTGGATCTCATCTGGTCTAGGGGACTAGCCTTACCCAAAAGCAATGAGGAGCTGATAAGGTAGAATATTTTTAAAATTATGCCAGATTCATTTATGTGTAGGAGTACTTGAAAAGATCTTACACAAATAGCATAGTAAGAGAAATTTATAGTGTCCCTGGGGATGTATTGGTATTAAAAAGTTACACGGATCCACAGAAACCATAGAATCCCATGACTTTCCAGGTAGGACAGAACCAAGAGCCAACCCAACCCAATTCCATGAGTTTTATAAGAAAATTGTGCCCCTACAAAGTGAAGGGACTGACATAAAAGCAGAATCACAATTTAGATATAGATCACTTCCAGCCCAGAGCTCTTCCCATTATCCTCCACTGCTCTCAAATCACAACCACTCCCTTGGATGGGATTGAGTAGCCATGCTGTCTAAGCTACAGTATCCACTATCTCTGCCTAATTCATATCTGGTCTTGGTATTGAACTATAAACATGAAAAATCTGTTGATCTCAAGAGAATTAGATGAAAATAAAACTAGTAGCACAATAAGAAGCTTAAAAGAAAAAACTCAGATTAATGATTGATTAAGAAGAAACAAAGGACTGAGTATATAACACGTAAAAAATATTCCAAAGGTTGAATACTCTGGAACTAAAAGTAAAACAATAAAATAAGGTTGAAGACATGCATAGTTTTTTCATCCACTAATAGACTGTGCAATAAAATGGTAGAACCAACCCCACTTAACCTATTCAAAATAATTGAATAAACATGGTGATTAATGCTTTGATTATAATAAAAATATTCCTCTGTGCTTGGAATTAAATATGCTATAAAAAAACATTGTTAATATTCAATCAAGTTGTTCTTAAGTAAAAGCTAAGCATCTTCTCATTAAAAATTTTAATATTCAAGTCTTGAATATTTTCATGAAAATTAGCAATATAGGGCATTGGTTGAATCAGGAGACACAATGTTTGTGTCTCCCTAAATTCATATGTTGAAAACATAATCACCAATATGATGTTATTAGGAGGTGGGGTTTTTGGGGGTAATTAGATTATGAGTATGGAGCCCTGATGAATGGATTTAGTGCCCTTATAAAAGGGATCTGAGAAAGCTCTGTCGCCCTTTCTGCCATGTGAGGATACAACAAGAAATAGCCATCTGCACCCCAGAAGAGGGCCCGCACTACAGCTCAACCATGCTGGCACTCCAATCTCACACTTCCAACTTCTAGAACTGTGAGACATAAATTTCTGTTGTTGATAAGTCACCTAGGATACTATTTTGTCGTAACAGCTTGAACTCAAACAATGTTTCTATGTAATTAATATCTAGAACCATTGGAATTGACTTAATACCTGCATAACCAGAACTATGGAATTTCATTTTTCTTTAATACTGCCATTAATCTGTCTTTGTTATATATTAAAGTGCCTCAGGTTCAAAGGTCTCTTCCAGATCATTCTAAGGCAGCTGTGTAGGACTGAGGGTAGTTCATATAATATAGGGATAGGGAGAAAAAAAGTTGTTTCCTACTTCCTTCTACCCACTGGAACTCCACCACTCTCATTCTAGTTTGAAAATAAGTAGAAGACAAACTCAGCATCTGCTATTGAGGTAGATTATTTTATAACCATTTTACAGATGAGGAAATTGAATTGCAAAACATAAATTATCTTTTCCAAAGTTAGAGTAAGTAAGAGATCTGATCTGATTCTGAAGCACATGCTCTTCCATTACATAATTATGACTCTCCATAATGCTAAGATGGATGACGGGGGGCAGGGGGTGGTATATTTAAGAGAACTGTGATAACTTTGACTTTGTTCAGTTGAATTATCTGGAAAAAGTATAAGTAAAAGCAACAAATGAGTCAGTGAGAAAGATCATGACCTTTCGAGCCAAGCAGACAAATTTAGAGTCTAGTTCTGCCACTTACTGGCCATGTTAAATGGGGCAAGTATTAATAACTCAACACCTTCTAAAGTCTCTGTTTCATAACCTGTAAGAAGCAGTACTAGCACCTCTTCCCTCATACCACTGTTGAGAGAAATAAATCTAAAACACTTATCACTATGCTTAGTGCTACTCATTCACTAATGGTAAACTACTTCCCACTTTGCTTTTTGGTTAATTGTTTTCAAATCAATATTGCTGTAATTCTTGATATATTTTTCACATTTGCAGAAAACTTGATCCTTCTAAGCAACATTTAAGATGAGATGGAAATTATTTGACCTATTAGCATAGGGTTAAAGTCATCTTCTCCTTTTCTAGACTTTTCCTAAAATACATACAGGTCTCTTAAAAGAAATTTAAGGTCCAGCCATCTACATTTATAACTACAAGCCAAAGCCTCCAACATGATTTAATTTTTACTAATCATAGTCAGAAAAACTATGTAGTAAAGACCCATTATTACTTGAAAGATTAAACTAGATGGTCTTCAAGTTTCTTGCTAATTTTTTGTCTTAGACTTCTGATATACATTGGTACACAAATGCAATGTATTTTGAGGTGTGGTATCCCAATGGCCATATATGTGTCTATCATGCAGTAATCCACAAAGTGCAAATGGCATTAAGTAGGCTTTCTGGAAAAATGTATGATTTTTCTGACCATGCAAGAGGCCACATCTCAAAAATTCAAAACTTTGATTCAAGTAGAAAATATCCTGTTCCGATCTGACCTCTTATTTCACCTTTGAACTTAAAATCCTGCTTATATATTACCAAGATATCAGAAATATTTTGCGATTGTAACATTAAAAACAAACCAACACAAAAATCACTAGCCCTTTGATGTTTATACTGAAAAGGATTGCAATGAATTTTAGTAACTTGAAATAATTATGTTATTAAATTTTGTATTAGTCAGTTTATCACAACAATGTCTGATTTTTCTCAGTAGACTGCAAACTCATAAGGGGAACATCCTCTCTGCTCTGCAGACATTAACAACAGCACTTGGCGTATAGACAGATTTCAAGAAGGAATTTTAAATGAATAAATGGATTTTTTTATTTTGCATCCTTTCTATTTTTGTATCTTTTCTATTCTGGGTAGAGGTAAATATGGTGTTCCTCCAGTAGCTATTTTGACCATTCATGTATTTATCTGTGAAACCAACTTGTATCTATAACAAGTTGCAAAAGCTTTACAAGAAATTTTGTGTAAATGATTACTCAACAATTATTAGGCTATAAGTACTAATAATAAGTACTCCTATTTAACAGGCTTTGAGAATTAACAAAGTATTTCAAAAAATGCATACGAAAGTATACATATAGTAATAATGAAGGCTACCATTCATTGGGCACTTATTGTGTAATCAGGCCTTGTGAGATGCATTACTAATGAGTCCTACTTTGCTTTTGAGTTTCAAAGAGAGTAAGTGACTTGCTAAAGGCACAAAGTGTTTAATCTGTCTAATGGTTTCTACCTAAAGGTGGAAATTCTGTTTTGTTTTGTTTTGTTTTGTTTTGTTCTGAGACAGAGTCTTGCTCTGTCGACCAGGCTGGAGTACAATGGCGCAATCTCGGCTCACTGCAACCTCCACCTTCTCAGTTCAAGCGATTCTCCTGTCCCAGCCTCCTGAGTAGCTGGGATTACAGGCACTTGCCACCACGCCTCGCTAATTTTTGTATTTTTAGTAGAGACAGGGTTTCACCATATTGGTCAGACTGGTCTCGAACTCCTGACCTCGTGATCTGCCCACCTCGGCCTCCCAAAGTGCTGGGATTACAGGCGTGAGCCACCACACCCAGCCAAGGTGGAAATTCTTAAGAGGGTATCATGGGCACTTTGGGCTGGCCTCGTACATTAAGTCAGGAAGAAACTTCAAAAGTTCCTAACCTGTTCTTTGCTATTTGTAGGTTCCTCTTCTTGAATCCTGTGATGAATTGTGGGCTATTTTCAGCTTTTGATGGTTCTGATACTTCAAGCATCTTCTCTCTTTAGATAACACTCATTTGCAGGCTGGTGACCATGTAAACAGGTTCCAATGTGGTTACCTCTGACTGTAGTCCTTCTGGACCCAGCGGACTTCCAATTTCCCTAAGCCATGTGCTTTCCTTGTGGAACGTGGTTAGATTTCCAACTTCAGGGGAACTTGTTGTGCTGTAAAGATCACTAGATTACAATGGCATCTACCTTTCTTTATCAGCTCTGCTTTCATAATGACCCATTGATGTCTTAAATAACATCTAGTGCCTCAGATACCCAGGGCCCAAGTGAAACATTAATCTTTGATATGTAAATGAAATGATAGAGGCATCATCTCAAAGTTAACTGGAGTCACAGCGTATTACTGTTCTGTTATATGTCCAACTTTTTTTTAGTGAGATTCATTCTTCTGGGATCCAGCATGAGTGATTGTGTTACAGTGATGACACAGAGGTAACCCATGGAGGCTATCCTTTTTAAGAATCCTGAAAGAATCTAAGAATCTTGGACATGAAGGTATTTTTATCAGTTAAATGTCTGTATATTATTGGGGCAAAAATGCTGAAACTATATCTGCTGTTGAAGTCCTTGGTGACTCCAGATTTAATAGTTTATTTTCCTCTACCCTATAAGCTAGATACGTAATCCCAGGGTCATAAAAAATATGAAGATAAACAAAAATCTCTTTGATCATATCTGATTCAACATATAAACTAAACCCATTGAGCTTAATTAATGCCCAAGGAAGTTCTGGAAATCTAGAACTTTATAAAATCTATGTCTGCATTTCCCTAAAGATATTCCTCAGAGCTTTTGTGAAGGACTTTTAAGGGACTCTTTCAGGATTTATTCATTGTTTTATGTTTGTTGTTTTATGAACTCTTAACTCTTGCTGTATAAGATGCTCAGGTTGCTTTTTGTTACCATTTGAGGTTTGGATGATTATAAATATATAGAAAAGAACTCAATGGTCTTAGATGGTGTAGGAGAACTATTTCAATAGCACTGCCATACATGCTAAAAATGGATTAGCTGAAAAATTATAATAAAATAATAATTTATATATTTCATGAGTTAAAAGATGTTTTCATATAGGTAGGATCCTGAAGCTTCTAGAAAGTTCAGATCTTATAGGCAGAGAAATCTGCCTGACAGAAAAGTATATCTAGCTGATGGGTTGACCTGTGCAGTAAACCACCATGGCACACATTTACCTGTGTTACAAACCTGGACATCCTGCACATGTACCCCTGAACTTAAAAGTTGAAAACAAAAAGAAAGTCTTCTTGTCTAAATGTATATATCTTGTGATATTTTTCAGCTGACAAAGTAAATTAAGTTTCTAGGGTTACACAGACACTAAGTGGCACAAGGTTGGTCAACCAAGATTTTACTGGAGTCCTTAGTGAACTGTTAAAATGGAGTGAAGGAAAACAAGTGGAAAAATTACATTATGCTACAGCAACAATGAGCAGTAAAAAACTAAGCAATGAGTATAGATTACCATTTTCTAACATAAATAGGTCTTAATAACCATTGAAGATGAAATGAGATGACGTTAAACTTTTTGTTTTATTTGCTGATTTTTAAAAATTTTCTTTTGGAACAATTTCAAATTTACAGAAAACTAAAGAATTATTCCCCCTTTAAATCATGTAATAAGTTCCCAATCTGATTATTACACCCTAAACATAAGGTCATTCTCTTATATAACCACAAAACAACCATCAAAATTGAGAAATCAGCATCTATAAGGTACTCCCATCTGACATTCAAATCCCATTCAACTTTTAACAAATGCTCCAATAATATCATTTCAAACAAAAAACATCCAGTCGAGGATCACATGTCTTTAGCTGTCATTTCTCTTTAGTCTTAGTTCATCTGAAACAATTTGTCTTGCCTTGGCTTTCAAGGACTTGACACTTTTGAAGATTACAGGCTATTTTTTAGAATGTTCCTCAGTTTGAGTTTATCTTTCTATTTCCTCATGATTCGATTCAGGCTATGCATCTTGGGCAGGATTATCACAGAAGTGATGATGCTGTGCCCTTATTGCATCTGCCAGGTGGTACATGATTTTAATTTTTCCCATCACTGGTGATGTCACCTTTAATCTCTTGATTAAGGTGGTATCTCTCTGGCTTAGCCACAGTGAAGTTACTCTTTTTATAATCAATCAGTGTTTTATTGGGAGGTATTTTTTGACTATATTATATCCCATTGATGAACAAATGTCACTTACTTATATCAATATAAGCTAATGTATTCCTATTTTATAAAATTAGTTATGATCTGTACTACCATCATTTTTTTTTTGGTGCTCAAATTTTGTAATATTTGGCCACTGAGAGCCCCTTGAACCTGGCTTCTCTGTTCTTTGACATGTCCGTATCATTCTTTGAGCAATTCTTGCTTTCTAACAAAACAAAATCCCCAGGCTCATCTTATACCTTTCTTTCTCCTAGCCCTGGAGACAAACGTTTTCCAGAGTCCTGGTTCCTTTTAGTAAATGGTATGTAGAAACCAGATCATAGTACCCTTTCTATTGTAGTGTTGATGCTCAGGCTCTTAAACCCTAATTTCCTGTGCCAAGTTATGTCTCTTTCTTGGATAACTGATGGAGGAGCATTTACCATCATCAGAGAAAATATCCTGCCCATTCATTGGAGCATAACCTTTCCTTACGGACAATTTATTCAACATCAGTACTTTCTTCATCAATCAAATTTATATCATACTGTGCACTGGACATTAGCCTGGTCTAGTTCCTTCTCTCCACTACTCCTCATGCCGGGGCACCTGGTACTCATTCCATATTCTTTCTACAGGTGTCTGATTGCCTTGATTACTTATCTTCTTCCATAACCTCTTGAATGAAAATTCACACAACTCCTCCACAAATAAACAATACTTTGCAAACCTGGGCATTATACATTTATGTAGCCCCCCCCCCGCCCCCCGCAAAAAAAAGTTCTAATCTCCTCCTAACACATAAACAAACACAGAGAAAAAATCTCCGAGATGTTAATCTGCTCCAGCAATACAGAACAATTTCTATTACCAACAGAATGCTTAATTTTTCTGTCTAAAAAAATATCAGATTTGGGTTAATAGTGTTCTGTTCTCCACAGGAACAATAAATGAATGCTTGCTTTATATATAATAAAAAGGTCCAATTAAACATTTTTTACAGAACAAAAGAACATTCTATTTTGTAGGTAGAGAAATAAAACTGCTTGCAATTTTGAAATAACAGAGTTTCTAGTCTTTATTTTTCAGGTTTTAAAAAACTCTGAAGGCCAACTATCTCTGTCAGGATACCCCACAGCACTTTTATGCATTTTAAACATAAAAAAGGCACAATATTGGCCCATATTTAGTATTCATTCAGGACAGGTTGCATCATTTTAATGTGGCAGAGAACTAAGCATATTTACAGGTTGGGAGGAAGAGCTCATGGTGTGGGAGTGGCTAGGTACAAAGAAGGAGAGCATGGATGCTGAAGCAGGTTTCTGCAGAGATGCGAGGGCTGGGATGCAGAAAGTAAGTGGAGAGTTTGGCCCCGGCCCGTAGGAAAAAGGCTTCTTAATCTGAAAGGAGAAGGGCAAAGATGAAGAGAGTGAGAGTAGATGCAACAAAACTTGTGGAGATGATGAAAGGTAAGAGGTTAAAGTATTTCTTCTTGATGGCCCCCATTAAAGGGCCGTTAAGCTTCTCAATAAAGTTGGATGCATGGTTGAGGCATTACAGAAGAGTGGTGAAAATTTTAAATTATGTGAAAAAAAATAGGTACCCTAAGCCAGGTACACAAGGTGAAGCTATGGCCCATCCAAGGTTAGAGGCTACAAATTTGTAGAGTACAAATCTGCTCAATTTATAATTTTCTTGGGCTGCAGTACAGGTGTCAAAAATACCAAAGGCAAGGTGACTACAGTCAACAACAATGTACTGTACATTTTAAAATAACTAAAAGAGTATAATTGGATTATTTGTAACACAAAGAAAGGATAAATGCTTGAGGTGATAGATATTCCATTTACCCTGATGTGATTATTACACATTGCATGCCCGTATCAAAATATCTCATATACCCCATAAATATAGATACCTACTAGGTATGCACAAAAATTAAAAATAAATAAGATATCAGAAGCAGACAGTTTATCCCAGAACCCAGGTGTTGCAGGGTAGGCACAGACTTGGATGAGGGTGACTAAAACATTGGATTTGGGTAAATGGGAAAGCAAATGAATTTCTGAATAGCATAATAGATTGGATGAAGGTGTAGTATGTAATCTAAAATCTGGACATACCAGTAAAAGAAGGTGGATATAATGGGACTAATGGAGTGAAAAGCTATGAAGGAGTAGGATATTATACCTTACAATTTCAGTGAGATAGGGGTTATGGCTGATAACCAGGGCCACAGTGAAACAACAGAAATGGATTGGGGATGAAAATTACTAGTGTTAGGAAGGTCAAGAAAGTCTGATGGAAAAAGGTTGGATGAGCTGCTCACTTGGACCTAGACAGATGGTAAGGCTTCGGATGAAGTGAAAGGCTGTGAACAGGTGTAAAATCTTTGATACATTTGAGGTGAGCAAGAACCCAATATATATGAGTAAACACATAGAAGGGGTAAAGTATGCCATAACCAAGTGGCATAAACATCAGTGAAGGAGTGGTTTTTACAGGAATGTTGAAGAGAAAGGACTTGTAAACAGCATTGTGGAGTTAGGAAAATGCTGAGAAGATGACCCTAGGAAAACGAGCAGCTTTCACAATAGAGATATTCAGAAGAAGCTTTGCCCTTTAGAGAGAGCTGGGTTCCAGGGAAGGCAAGAAGTCAACTGAAGATATTGTGAGTATGTAGGAGTGTCTTCATCACTGATTGAATTTTCCAAAAGAAATGATATGAAAGACTGTGGAGGAATAAACCAGCAAAATGGTAGTTCCAGAAAAAATGAGCACAGGAAATGGAAATAGAATTCTGAAAGAAGAAAGATAAGTAAACAGAGCTACATTTTCGATAGTAGTCAGTGATGACAGAATGGCAAGGATATGAGAGAAAGTGCGATTCCTAGCCTTAAGGTTCTAAATGTAATTTGGGTATAGCATTTTCCCAGTAGTGATTAAGCTGAGCCACCGGATAATGTCTGAGGCTTCCTCAAGTGAGTGTATAGGAGTCTCTGCTCAGACAATTAAAGCAATCCCTAGAGTGTTTTGAAATGGAAAGAGCTCTGGATCCCCTGAACTTGACAGCATGTGAAGATGTTGTGTGGTGTATGACTTGCCATTCACTGGTGAATTGCAATTAATCTCCCCCCAGTTCCATCCCCAGGCCACTAAAATCTCTTGGAGAACTATATGTTGCCAATAGAAGATTGGGAGTCCATTCTGACGTGATTGGATGATTGAAAATAATACCTCTGACAGTAGCAGCTGTGGCTTTAGCAGTAAGAAACTTAGTCAAGTAATCCTTTCTCTTGAAACTTTTTCCTTCATTTTCAAATTATCTTTCTCTGCTTACATAATACCTTATGCAGATATGGAGTCATGATTTTTAAGACTTAATGCCTGTCCTAGCTATAAGACAGTTTAGCCAATAAAAAAGGCAGCAAACATTTCATTCCAACTTTGCTGTCTATTGGATTTTATTTATTACAGGTCAAATGACTTACGGGATTAGTGAGAAGGTTGAAGAAACAGACTCTAGTTTGGCTCCTAGGAATGACTCCCAAACAACATTGCAGAATAGTATCATCAAGGTAACTTCTACATTTGCTACAATCAGAAGCTGCCCCTGTAATTAAGATGTTGCCAGGATAGCCACTAGCTCCGGAACCATACTTATTTTTCCAGGGTTATCCCAGACTCAACAGATTCCAATTCAAGTCCCATGAAGGTACATCTAATTGGGAGATTTCATGTCACATCCTGAGCCCTAGCATTGAGGGGATTCTTACTTTCCAGCATCTGAAGTACAGATGGCAGACACTAGAAATAGAATAAATTGGATATTGAATGGGCCAATATCTACCACAATGTTCTACCCATATTTTGGTAATAAGATTGATGATTATTCCATCAGGAAATATTGTCTCTTTGACCAGTGACTTCCAGAGATTACACTCCCCATTCTTATTGGGGTATTTCCTGAGTAGTAACATGCCCTCCAAATTGGAAAGTGCAAGGAGGAACTTTAAGTTCAAATTTCCTACTCTAGCTCAAGAGATGTTATTTATGCAAGTAAGTGACATGAGAGGGAAATTTGCCATTTACCTGTGACTCCCATCCCCAGGTAACAGTAAATAGGTTCCGAGAGTTTATTTTTTAGCATAAAGGACCAACTACAACCTTCCTAGCATCTGAAAACTGATGGTCATGAGACTTGGTTCTAAGAGACAATAAAACTACATTTGCCTCAAACAAGTAAGCATTAGAAATCAGGCCATTGGCCTAGAAGTGTTCATGTATTCCAAAACCAGTATTTTTTATTTTTATTTTTATTTGTTTTTGAGACAGAGTCTCACCTTGTCGCTTGGATACATTGCAGGTGTATATATTCATGGGGTACGTGAGATATTTTAATACATGTATACAAAGCATAATACGATTTCATTCCCATCCATGTTGTTGCAAATGACGGGATCTCCTTCTTTTATGGCTGAATAGTACTTGACTGTGTATAACTACCACATTTTCTTTATCCATTTGTCTACTGATGGACACTTAAGTTTCTTCCAAATCTTGTATATTGTGAATAGTGCTGCAATAAACATAGGAGTGCAGATATGTCTTGGATATACTAATTTCCTTTCTTTTGGGTATAAACCTAGCAGTGAGATTAGATTGCTGGATCATATGGTTGTTCTTAGTTTGTTGAGGAACCTCCAAACTGTTCACCATAGTAGCTGTACCAATTTACATTATCAGCAACAGTGTATGAGGATTCTCTTTTCTCTACATCCTCACCAGCATTTGTTATTGCCTGTTTTTTTGGATAGAAGCCACATCTTAACTGGAGTAAAAAGATATCTCACTGCAGTTTTGATGTGAATTTCTGTGCTGATCAGTGATGTTGAGCAATTTTTTATATGCCTGCTTGCCGTTTCTATGTCTTCTTTTGAGAAATATCTATTCAGATCTTTTGCTCATTTTTAATTGAATTATTAGATCAATTCCTATTGTTTAATCCATTTTGATTTGATTTTTGTATACGGCAAGAGAAAGCAGTCTAGTTTCATTCTGCTGCCTATTGATATCCAGTTTCCTCAGTATCATTTATTGAAGAGACTGTTCTTTATTCAGTATACGTTTTTGGCACCTTTGTTGAAAATGAGGGTATGGATTTGTTTCTGGGTCCTCTGTTGTGTTTCATTGGTCTATGTGTCTCTTTTTATGCCAGTATGATGCTGTTTTGGTTACTATAGCTCTGTAATATAATTTGAAATCAGGTAATGTGATTCCTCCAGTTCTGTTCTTTTTGATCAGGAAAGCTTTGGCTATTCTGTGTCTTTTGTGGTTCCAAATAAATTTTAGGATTTTTTTTCTATTTCTGTGAAGAATGTCATTGGTATTTTGATAGCGATTGCATTGAATCTATAGATTGCTCTGAGTAGTATGGATATTTCAAGAATATCAATTCTTCCAATCCATGAACATGAAACATGGAATATCTTTCCATTTTTAGTGTCCTCTTCAGTTTCTTTCATCAATATTGTATAATTTTCATTACAGAGATCTTTCACTTTTTTAGATTTATTCCTAGGTATCTTATTTTATTTTTTTGTAGCTCTGTAAATGGGATTACTTTCTTGACTTCTTTTTCAGATTGTTCACTGTTAGCATATAGAAATGCCATTGATTTTTTTTTTTTTTTTTTTTTTTGAGTTGGAGTTTCACTCTTGTTGCCCAGGATGGAGTGCAATGGTGCCATCTTGGCTCACAGCAACCTCCGCCTCCTGGGGTCAAGCAATTTCTCCAGCCTCAGCCTCCCAAGTAGCTGGGATTGCAGGCACCCACCACCACGCCTGGATAATTTTTGTATTTTTAGTAGAGATGGGGTTTCGCCATGTTGGCCAGACCTGATAAAAAGTGATCCTCAACAAAATACTAGCAAACCAAATTCAACAGGTCTGTAATTTTCTTTCTTTTAATGTGTCTTTGTCTGGTTTTGGTATCAGGTTGATACTGGCCTTATAGAATGAGTTTGGAAGTATTCCCTCCTCCTCAATTTTTTTTTTTAGTTTAGTTTGAGTAGGATTAGTATTTGTTCTTTAAATGTCTGGCAATTTAAAGCAGTGGTGAGGCCATCAGGTCTTAGACTTTCTTTGCGGGGAGACTTCTTATTAGGACTTTGATCTCATTACTTGTTATTGGTCTGTTCAGTTTTGAGATTTCTTCATAGTTCAATCTTGGTAGGCAAAGCCAGTCATTTTTCACAAAATTCAGGTTTGAGTATGAAGGTGCTTAGTTTCAGGCACAGTCAATACAGTGCAAATGATTGAAGCTAAAGCCTGAAATATTGAGGGATATAAAAGAAACAACTTTAACACATGTATGTGAAGAGGCTATAAATGGTAACGTTTCTGGATCTTGAAGCAGAAATATGTAAAACAACTCTTATGTACATTTTGGACTTGTTGTATTATATTTTAACATGTTGTCCTGATGAAGTCTTAGGGTAAGACCATGACTATGAGTAGCAGTTGGAGCCTTTTTTGAATGGTAGAAACATTCCCAATATCAATCCTCTTGAAAAGAGATGGACTATCAGACAAGGATATGAAGCTCAGAGAAAATACTGTAAAGGAGAGAGCATGTAGTGCTGACCCAAAGGCCAAATTCAGTCAATAAACAGGTTCTATTCAACCAGCCCCATGTAGGAGCCCACAGGTTATTTTTTATTTTTTTGCTTTCTACTCTATAATTTATTTTATTTTTTTCACTGAGTTATTTATCTAGAAACAAACATTTCTAGATTATGATACTTCATATTTAAAAAACTTGTTTTCCATCTTTCTTGGAAGTTCTTGCAACCTGGGTCCCACATTCCGTAATGATAACAAAGAGATCTGAGACATTGCTCTCCACAGTTTGCTGGGAACTCACCACTCCTTATTGTCTCTTTACCTGGCACACTTCACTTATTTAGATTTTCTGACAGGTCCCTGTATGCATCTGAGTTGGTGATTTCTTTCTGAAAGTGTCAGCAAAAGGAGATCCCACCTTTTGTTAAGCTTACTCTCTTGGGCATGGCCTCAAAGGACTGCAGAATAGAACACCTATCTGGTAGAAGAAGTGAAGCTGGCAGAGAGCTCCGCAGGGAGATAGCCAATACACAGGGCCTGATGCATTGGGGGGCTCAATAAATTTATGTGGAAGGAATTATTACATAAAGCAAATAGAAAAATAAAAATGAGAAAAACAGACATTTTTAGTTGGTTAGTTAACAACTTCACTCATTTAAAAGGTGATTAGTTTTTCTTTCGGAATCTGGATTCTGTTCTTATTTGTAGAAAGTTTTATGTGTTAATTATTGCCTGTAATAAATAAAGCATTATAATAAGTGTTATGAGAATACACATTTAGATTAAATAGCACTTCTCCAAGAAGCTTAATCAAAACATATCTATAAAATGGCCAAAATTATCCCTCTTGAACTTTGTAGTAAATAGTAATTAAAAAATAATTCAACGGAGTTCTATTTATGCTACTTTTATTAAGACTAACCATTTGTTGGTTTTAAATTATATGCCTCCTTTTATTAAAATAAATAACATGCTGACATAAATTAAAATGCTTTTGAACATTACAAATATATTTAAATTTCACACTTTTCTGTTTTATGGTAGAAGAATTAGCCGAATCAACTCTTACTTGCACTGATGTGCAAAATGCAGAGTTTTCCTTAATGGAAAAGATAATAAAAATGAAGCAGCATTTTCCAAATATTAATTCCTACTACGATGCTTACATATCCTTGAGATTAATTTGAATTTAATCACAAGCAGTATAGTCATGGGTAAGAGCATAGATTATGAAGTCAAGCTGCCTACCTTGCGTGACTCAAAATGATCTTGAGCACGTCGCTTAATGTCCCAAAGCCCTAGTATCCCTCTGTACAGAGCAGGTCAGAATACCTATCTGAGTCATGGTAAAGGTCAAAAAAAATGACAAGTAAAGATCTTAGTACTTACTATGTGGCCACATAAGTATTCTGTAAAGTTACAAAATACTGATGAAGGTATCAAATAAATATTTCTAGGTCACTGAACAAGCCACCGAAAGTCAGATAAGAGATGCCAAAAATGCCTAACTAGAATCCTCTAAAGTAAGAGTGGTTTTGTTTTTTTCCTGGAGAGTTTAGAAAATACAAATATTTTAATACAATTAAAGAGTTTGTTGGTTTATTTTATTTTACTTTTCCTCTTTAAGTTTGGCCTCTGAATTTAATTTTATTTCATAATTAGGTAAAATATGTAGATAGTTCAAAAGTCAAATCTACAAAGGAAAATATATTGAAAGAAGTCAAACTAGCTCTGTCTGCTCCTCACAATAGTATCTATCTCTCCCTCTTTCTTAAACAATAACACACTATACACACAATTTTTACCGAGGTTGTTTTTTCTGAAGAATATACCGTGGAGATAGCTCTGCAGCAGTACATGAAGATATTTCTCATTCTATTTTATAGCTGCTTAATACTCCATTGTGTGTATGTAGCAGAGTTTATTCAACCAGTCTCTCGTTAATGAATATTTGGATTATTTCTACTTTAGCAAATAGTGCTGCGATGAATAGCCTTGAATATACATGAGAGGATCTTAGGTTGGATCTCTAAGATGATTTTTAACTTAACTGAAACTTGAAGACATCCTGTAAAGTTTGAGAATTGAAATGCATGAAATACTGAATTAATACCTAGATGATAGGCCTACTCTTGGCCTTGTAGGTTATTGAGACAGTATAGGAAGCTGTCTTTGCCTGTGCAGAAAATTACGTCATTTGCTGAAGTTTTTTGTTCTTTATCAGCTATTTGTTATTGAAGATAGCTTGCATCTGTCTTCAGTAAGATGTCAGGAAGCTTACTTAGCAGAAAGCTGAATACCATGAGCTTATTAAAATAAGTTTACATGGACCTTCATTGTATTTCTCCATTTTAACATACATAATGAGAAGAAAAATATTTTAAAGACGGTGTTTTCCCTACCCCTCCTTTCTTTCTCCAAACTGTTAACCACTTTGGTAAAAGATCCTTTTTTTATATAGCTTTATGAGATATAATTCACATACCATAAACTCCATTCATTTAAAGTCTGTTGTTTAGTGTGTTTTATCATGTGTACAGACTTGTACAACCATAACTACAATCTAATTTTAGAACATTTTTGCAACCTCAAAATGAAAACCCCTATCCATCAGTAGTCCCTCTGTATCTCCTACCAGCCCTGGATAGTCATTAACCTACCTTCTGTCTCTATAGATTTGCCTGTTAGAATCAAACAATATGTAGCCTTTGTGACTGACTTCTTTCACTTAACATAACACTTTCAATATTCATCAGTATTTTAACAAAAATCAACACTTCATTGATTTGTATGGCCAAAAAAAATTCCATTCCATAGATAAACCACATATCCTCCTACCCCTAGACCTTGGCAAACAATATTCTACTCTTGGTCTCTTATGAGTTTGACTGCTCTAAGTACCTCATATAGGTAAAATGATACCATATTTATCTTTTTGTTACTGGCTTATTTTACTTAGCAGAATTTCCTCACAATTCATCCATGTTGTAGCATATGTCAAAATTCCCTTTTTCCTTAAGGCTGAATAATATAGGCCATTGTAAGTGTGTGTGTGTGTGTGTGTGTGTGTGTGTGACATTTTACTTAGCCATTATTTGTCTGTGGACACAGGTTGCTCCCATGTTTCAATTATTGTAAATAATGCTCCTATGAATATGGGTATACAAATACCTCTTTGCAAATATGCTTTCAATTATTTTGGTTATACACCCAGAAGTGGGATTAATGGAACATATGGTAATTCCATTTTTAATTTTTTGAGGAACCACTATACTGTTTTTCACAGTGGCTATAACATTTTGCATTCCAACAACAGTATACAAGAGTTTGCAATTTCTCTACATACACACCAATATTTGTTATTTTCTTTTTTTTATAATAGTCATCTTAACGGGCTTGAAGTAAAATGCTTTGTCTGCATCAATTGAGATGATCATGCATTTTCCCTCTTCATTCTGTTAATGTGGTATAGTATATTTTTAGATTTTTGTATGTTGAAACATCCTTGCATTCAATTCCAAAAATAAATTCTACATGCTCATGCCATATAATCCTTTTAATACATGGTTGGATTTGGTTTGCTAGTATTTTGTAGAGGACAAACATGGTATCAATGTTGTAAGGGATATTGGTATGTACTTTTCTTTTCTTATAGTGTCTGTCTTAGTTCATTCAGGCTGCTATGACAAAATGTCATAAACTGGGTAGCTTATATTAATAAATAGCAATTTATTTCTCACCATCCTGGAGGCTGGGAAGTCCAAAATGATGATGCTGTCGGATTCAGTGTCTGGTGAGACCCTGTTTTGTGGTTCATAGATGGCACTCACTGTGTCTTCATTTGGTGGAGGTGACAAACTATCTCTCTGTGGTCTCTTTTATAAGGGCACTAATCCCATTCATGAGGCCTCCACCCCATGACCTAATTACCTCCCAAAAGTCCTGACTCTGAATACCATAACCTTGGGGGCTAGAATTTCAATGTACAAATAGGTTGTTAGGTTTTGATTTCTAGGATTTTGTCCATTTAATCTACATTCTAAAATTTTTCAGCATGCAATTGCTCATAGTACTCTTGTATAATGAGTATACAAAAATCATAAAGGGGAGACATTACAACTAATTCTACAGAAAAAAATTTTTATTTTTATTTTTATTCTTTAATTTTTATTTCTATAGAATTGGTTGTAATGTCTCTCCTTTGTGATTTTAGTAGTTTGAGTCTCTTCCATTTTTCATTAGTTCATCTAGCGAAAGATGTTAACTTTGTTAAATTTTTCAAAAAACCCAACTTTTGGTTTCATGACTTTATCTTCTTTCTATTCTACATGTCATTTATCTTTGCTCTAATCTTTATTTCTATTTTTCTGGTAGCTTTGAGTTTAGTTTGTTCTTTTTCTGGTACCCTAAGTTGTAAAGTTGGGCTACTGATTTGAGATCTTTTCTATTTTTGAATGTGAGCATTTATAGCTATAAATCTCCCCCTTAGCACTTCTTTTGTTGCATCTCATAGGTTTAGTATATTGTGTTTTCATTTTCATTAATCTCTACATATTTTATAATTTCCATTGGTTGTCTTTGATCCATTGGTTGTTTAAGAGTATGTTGTTTAATTTCTTCAATTTTGGATACTTTTATCTCTTTTATCGATTTCTAACTTTGCTTTGTTGTGGTCAGAGAAGATACCATATATAGTATTTATCTTGTAAATATATTGAGATGGTACTTTTGGCCTAACACCTGGTCTATTCGGGAACCCAGTGAGCACTTGGGAAAAATGTGTATGCTGCTGTTACTTTGCAGAGTGTTTTGTACATACCTGTTAGATCTAGTGGCTTATTAAGTCCTATGATTTCTTATTTTATTCTGTCTGGTTGTTCTATCCATCATTAACAACAGGGTGCTGGAGTCTCCAACTACTATGTAGAACTGTCTATTTCTCCCTTCAGTCTGTCAGTTTTTGCTTTATATATGTGTATATATAGATATATATGCTTTATATATATATATGAAGGCTTATATTACATACATGTTTATAATTTTTATACCTTCTTACTGTTTTATTAATATATTTATTAATATATAATATCCTTCATTATGTCTTGTAATCTTTGCTGATTTAAAATCTATCTTGTCCGATGTATAGCCACCCTTGCTCTCTCGGTTACCAACTGTGCCAAATATCTTTTTCCATTCTTTTACTTTCAATCTATTTGTGTCTTTGGATCTAAAATGAATCTCTTGTAGACAGAATATAGTTGGAATATTTTTTATCCATCTTGCCAATCTGTCTCTTGATTGGAGAGTTTAATGTATTTACATTTAAAGTAATCACTTCTAAGAAGGGACTTACTTCTGTCATTTTGCTGTTTGTTTTCTATATGCCTTACAGTTTTTGAGGTCACTTTCTAATTTCCCCATGTATGCAGCTGCTTTTGAATGCCGTAGTCTTTGGTGTCTGATTCTCAGAAAGCAAGAAAAAAAAAAAGAAGAAGGAAGTAAACAGGGCACTGGGCTTAAGTCCCCTGGAAGCCACTGCAGCTAGAGGTGGAGGAGTTTGCAAAAATTACAGGAGGTGCAACAACAATGAGTACCACCTCTTTGACTGTAACTCTTTTGACTAAGTCCTTTTTAGCCACTCTGGCTCTCCCAAGTTGTGTGAAGGTTGCTCTAGGAACATGTATGTGTACAGCTGTTTGTCAAGGGGTTGGAACTAGGAGATGAGTAACTGCTACTGTGCTAAGAGTTGAAATTTGTCCAAAACTAACCACAATTTACCATCCAATTCTTCCCCTGAAAGTTGCAAGCCTTTAATAGACTTTACAGTTCCAAAACAGTTATATCAGATTCTGTCAGTGCAACTGCTGTCTAGGTAAAGAGATGGATTCCTGGTATTTCCTACTCTGCCTTCTTCCCAGAATCCTGCCATATTAAAGTCTACTTTGTATGACTTTTGTATTGTCACTATTAGTTACAGCTTGCATGACATATCTTCTCCCATCATTTTACTTTCAATCTATTCTTGTCTTTGAATCTCAATTTATCTCAAGTATTGAATCTCAGTCTTTCTCATGTACAACCTATAGTTCAGTCATGTTTTCTTAATCCACTCTTCTGTCTGCCTTTTCATGGAAGGTTTTTGTGTATTTATATTTAATATAATTACTGGTAAAGTAGGATTTATGTCTGCCATTTTGCTATCTGTTTTCTATATATCTTTGTCTTTCTTGTTTCTTCTCTATTAGTTCCCTCTTTGGTTTTTGAAGAAATATTTTTTAGTGTCCTATTCTAATTCCCTTGCTGCTTTTACTATATTTTTTTAGTTATTTTGTTAGTAATTTTCCTAGGGATTACAATTAGCATCTTAACTCAATCTAGTTTATACTGATACCTCCATTTTCTCCTCCCTCCTTTTGGTATCATTGCTATACCTGTTATATCTGTATACATAATAAGTCCATCAACACATTTTTATAATTATTGTTTTATGCAGTTGTCTTTTATATCAGATAGGAGAAGAAATGTGTTACCATAAAATATATTTATACTGTTGTTTATATATCCCTATGTAGTTACCATTATCAATGCTTTGTACGTCTTCATGTGGATTTAAACTACCATTAAGTGTCCCCCAAGTCTTGACTCCTTTATATTTCCTTTAGCTGTTGCTTGAAAATTAAAGATTATTTTTGAACTTTTCCCTCTAAAAGAAACCAGATGTTACTTTCAACGTTCTGCTTAAAAATCTCCTGAGCCAAGTCTATCGGTTACTTAGGTATATCTTATATTTTCCACATAACAGCAGGTAACACGTATCTACCACTACATGTAACACTACAATAACAGGTATCTACCACTACACACAGCAAAAGTCCCCTTTCCTCTAGCTTTCAATAATATGTTACTCCCCAACAGCCTCCATAAGGATTTCTACCAAGACAATCCCCTTATTACAAATATCCATGTAACTTTTGTATTGTTAGTACCAAGTGTATTGGTACCAGGTATTGTCGGCACCAGCAGCAGTGTCAAAGAGAAGTGGCTTATCTATAACAGTCTATGAAATGGAGCATCCCATGTGTGCCAAAAAAATTATACATGTGATCATGGAATAAGGTCTTTTCTAGGGATGGAGACAATAAACCATAAAAATGTGATTTATTACTACTAATGTGACATTAAATGTATCCCCTGCATGGCAAGCAATAGGATACTTACTTTAATAAGTACAATAAATATTGTTTGACTTACAAAGATTCTTCTTTGTTGAGATAAGATAATTAGTTTGTTCTATGGGCCATTATTTCTTCAAATCTTCACAATTATCATTAACAAAAGTGGATAAGTTAAGTAATTGAGAAAAGTTGAAAAGGAATAGGAAGGCAAAAAAAAAAAAAGAAAAGAAAAAAGAGAGAGAACCAGACAAGGTAGAGTTGGCACTCCTAGATGGTTTTGCTCAGCAAAGGCAATTTCCAAGGAATCTCTTTATTCAACTCTCTATTCATAACTCGCTGAAGGTTGGATAAATAAAGAAGTCCCAGAAGTTTGAAGAAAGAAAAGTTAAGTAATAGGGAATAGGCTTTTAAAGTAAGTTTCAGTTTAGATCTGCAAAAGGAAAGAAGAGCTAGGGAAAAACTCTGGTTCAATTGAGGCCTAGTTTAAAATATACAAGTTTGAGCCTGGAGAGACTGATAACCTGAAAAATAGGAATTTTTCCTTAATTTCTATATTTTGATGTCCATTTTGTATTTCACAACAAAGCACAGAATGCTCCAAAAATATTACCAAGGAAGGCCTTCAAAATGCCTAGAAAATAAGGCAAACAGGAACCTCTCCTTGGACAGTTCAGAGATGTGGGAGTTAATCATTTCAATCCAAGGAGGTGTCTAAGGAGTATGATACTGGTTTTTCTCACCTTATCTATCTAGTACTGGACTTATGAGGAAAACTCCAATATAATGAAGTCACTCAACAGAAATTATTTTGATCCACTGAAATGTTCCAAGAACCTGGGTCTATTTGAGGATATCAGAGTTTATTTAGGAATGAAATAGACTTGTAAAGACATCATTATAATTCATTCTAATAAGTACCATTATATAAGAATATGCAGTGTTAAGAAATCACACAAAAATGGTAACAGAGCTGCCAAGAGTTTGGCAAAAACATAGACTCAATTTGAACTGAATCCTGACAAATGAGTTCAACTTAAAAAGAAATGAGGCAGATCTATATATATTGACCAGCAACATTGTCCAAGGCATACTGAACAGCATGAAAGGCAAGTTACAGAACAAAATGTGTATTATGTTCTTTCTCCCGTAAGAAAAATATTGTACTTCATGTGTACACTTACATAAGTATGTATTTATACATATGAAAATACATTTAGGCATATGTCTAAAACAACATAACCCAACAAGTAATAGTAGTTACTTCTTGAAAGGGGAGGGGAGGGGAGAACATAGGGGCACTATAACAAGATTCCCCTATGCTCCTACATTTATAAACAATTAGAAATTTTTTCAGCATATAACTGCACACATTATCTTCACAGCCACCCAGTTTCAGTCTTCCAGGGGTTATCATTTGCATTGAAGTCTAAATGAAGAGCTTGCTTGCAGGGGCTGTGCAGTATATCGTTCACATAAAATACCAAGTGAATGATGCCCCAGGAATTGTGAGACTTGTCCATGATAAGTGGAGTCACTGTTTTTCAAATTTCCGTGGCCTTAAAAAACAAAGTCTCATCAAGTAGTGAGGATATAGAAGAGAAGAGGCAGTGAAAATAGCAGGCCCAAAGCACAGCTTACAAGAGAACTTCAAGTGTTCTTGAAAGTGAGTAGTGAGGACAGGCAATCACAGAAAATGAATCTCTAAATATAGGTCTGGGTCATGTTATGAAGAAATTTCAACTTTTTTGTTTGGGATATGTAATCAAGAAAGTGACGTGGTCTGATTTGATATTCAGAAAGATAGCTGGCCACAATGTGGAGTTTTAGTGGGGAGAAGTGGAGCAAATGTGGTAGAAAGAATGGTTAGAAAGCTGTTGCCATAGGGGAACAAAGATGAGGATAGGCACTAAGAAATAGTGGTAGAGATGATTGGGATAAGTCAAATTTAATCAATTTTAATAGATAATTGAATGTAAGAAGTGACAGAGATGTCAAGGATGACTTCAAGACCCCAAATCAAGATTTCAAGCAAGATATCTGAGAAAATGAAGGATCACGCTGACTTGCATGCTAAGTCGTGGAGTTCCTGACCTAAATCATATCTTGGGTCAGGAATGGTCTCAAAGCCTCAGGTGGGGTCGCGCCTGCCAGTGGGCACTCACTAATTGGTCCCACATTAGATGCACTGAGTCAGATAGGTCATTGCATTGTGTCATAAGCAGCTTACATTTCTCAGTCTTATTCCTAAAAATATTATAACTTGGTCAAATTCCTTACTAAAGTGTGTCTACAGTAGTTCCTTAATCTGACAGTCATGAAATCCTTTAAAAGAAACAGCACATTTCACTTGATTGAACTTATTCTCCATAAACTAATACTGCCTCTTACTAATATGTTATTTCCAATAACTCAAAACCCATTTAAAAGTTATTAAATCATTTTGCTATATATTTACATTAGGATTCTTACTCCACAATTTTCCAAATTATTCTTTTCCTATTAAAAAAAATAGAGCAGGATTTGCCTATTTTCTGCCTCCGGAACATTTCTTATTCTTTTTGATTTATCAAATACCAACAATCATATCTCCAGGTTTTCTGGAGATTATGTATATAAGACATCTGCATCCTGAACTTAAGATGCACGAGTGAGATCTTTAGGACTCTTACCTTAATATTCTGCATTCATTCCCTGAGGCAGATATAAATTTAACTTATTTGAAACACAGCATTAGAAAGCCAGTTTGTCTGGATTCCAATAAGCAAGCTGGAGAGCAATAGACGATGGGATTAGGGATGGGGAAGGGCCAGATCATGTAGGCAAATTAGCATAAACTGAAAAACTAGGCATATCTAGAGAGCCATCAAACCATTACATCATTTCAGTTCTGTCTGAATAAATGAGCAATCAAGTCAACTCTCAATTTTATACTCCCATGCTGGTTTGCTCACTATGCATATACCTAGCATTAGATAGTAACAATAACATTAAATATTTATAGAGGTTTTTTTTACTAAGTACCAGGTGCTGTTAAGTTGTTTACATACCTAATCTCATTGATTTCTCATAATATGCCTACAAGCCAGTATATTAGCATTCACTTAAAGAACAAACTCCATTCTAGCTAGTTTAAATGAAGAATTGTTTCATTATAGAATATTATATAGCTTGCATAATCATGGTAAGAGTTGAAGAAACAGATTCAGAGTTGAGTTTAAAGGGAACAGTTCCAAAAGCCACACCATAAAATCAATGCTGCCTCTTCTAAGATCAGAAAGCCATTGGTGCCAAAACTAACACTGGTTAGGAAGTCACAACAGCCAGGTGGCTGCCACAATCAGAGAACTTCTATCAACCAGAAGCTGCTATAGCTGCCAGCTTATGAATGTTCCATGCTAGCTACATCTGCACTAGCAGAATGGATGTTTCATGTCCTGCCTCTTGACCTCTACAAAGCAAATGACTAGACATGGTGAACTCTGCTTAATCCTACCACAGAACAAGCTAAATGCCTCTACTACCTCTTTACCAGAAAAAAAAAAAAGCAAAAGCTGCAAAAATACATCATCTGCCTCACTTTAGCCTTTCAAACCTCAAGACAGTTCATTGTAACTTATTCGGACCCATAGCTGCAAGAATGAGAGTTGTAGTGCTTTTTAATTAACCTCCTTAGTATGTAATTACCAGAAAACAAAATTCTCCCATTATAAATGTAGAGTTCAATGACTTTTGAGAAATTACAGTTATGTAGCTAATTTTCAAGATGTATGTAGAACACAATCAAAACATAGAACACGCTCACTGCCCTAAAATGTTCCCTGATTGTAGTCATTTGCTTTCACGCTGCTAAAAAGACATACCCAGGACTGGGTAACTTATAAAGGAAAGAAGTTTAATTGACTCACAGTTCCACATGGCTGGGGAGGCCTCACAATCATGACAGAAGGTGAAGGGGAAGCAAGACAGTTCGTACACGGCAGCAGGCAAGAGAGAGCGTGTGCAAGGGAACTCCCCTTTATAAAACCATCAGATCTCATGAGACTTATTCACTAGCATGAGAACAGTATGGGGGAAACAGCTCCCATAACTCAATTATCACCACCTGGCCCCACATTTGACACGTGAGGATTATTACAATTCAAGGTGACATTTGGGTGGGGACACAGCCAAGCCATGGAAAAAAGGATAATCCTTCCCAGTGTTCCTTCCCAATCATTGTTCCTTCCCAGTCAATTATTGCCTGCCATGACATGCCCCAGACAACCATAGATCTACTTTCTATCACTACAGTTTTGGCTTTTCCATAATATTATATAATACAATTATATCTTACACAGTCTTGTGTCTGGCATTTATTCTTAGCATAAGGCTTTTAAGTTTACATGCTGTTGCATAAATCAATAGTAGTTTGTTTCTTTTTATTGCTGAGTAATATTCAGTCACATGGAAATAACACAATTTGTTTATCCATTAACCTAAACGGACATTTAGATTGTTTCCAGTTTGGGGCTACCAAGAATATAGTATTATGAACATTCACTTATAAGTCCATAAACATATGTTTTCATTTGTAATGAATGAACTCCTAGAAATAGGATTGTTGGGTCACAAGTACACATATGTTTGTATATTTAAATTTATAAAAATTTGTCAAACTATCTACCAAAGGAATCATACCATTTTGCATTCCCATCAGCAATGTATGAGATTTGCAGAAACTTTATATCCTTAGCAGAACTTGATATTGTAATTCTTCCCCTATTCAAGCTAGTCAGTGTGTGATATGTTCCAATTTAATTTGCAATTTCCTAGTGATTTATGATGACGAATTTTTATGGCATTTTCATATGTCGGTCACATAACTTTTTGTGTGACGTATCTGTTCAAATGTTATGTTCATTTTTATCATGTTATTTGTCTTCTTAGTATTCTTCTGAAAATGTTGATTATATATTCTAGATAGGCGTCCTTTGTTATATAAATGATTGACAAATATTTTGCTCCAGTCTATGGTTCGTCCTTTCATTTTCTTTCAAAGAGCAAAAGTTTGGATGATTTATCTTTTTTTTTCTTTTTATGTTTCATGTTTTTTCTGAGTTCTTTCTAAAAGACCTTAGCCTAACCCAAGGTCACAAAGTTTTATCTATGTTTCTATCTAGGGTTTTATCTCCTATGTTTAAATCTCTGATAAATTTTGAGTTAATTTTTTTTTTTTTTTTTTGAGATGGAGTCTCGCTCTGTCCCCAGGCTGGAGTGCCGTGGCGCAATCTCGGCTCACTGCAACCTCCACCTACTGGGTTCAAGCCATTCTCCCGCCTTAGCCTCCCAAGTAGCTGGGACTACAGGTGCACACCACCACGCCCAGCTAATTTTTGTATTTTTAATACAGACGGGGTTTCACCATGTTGGCCAGGATGGTCTCTATCTCCTGACCTCATGATCTGCCCGCCTCAGCTTGAATGTAATATAAAGGAAATTTTGAGGTTCATTTTTGTGAATATGCTGTCCAGTTGTTTCACACCATTTGTTGAAAAGATTATCCTTTTTTCCATTGAATTGGCTTCGTATCCCTGTTCAAAATCGGTTGAATATATATATTAATGGGTCTATTTCTGGACTATATTCTGTTCCATTAATCCAGATCAGTGGTTCTCAAAGTGTGGTCTGACTCCCAGAGATCCTTTCAAGGGTCCTTGAACTACAATTTATTTTCATAATAATACTAAAACATTATTTACTTTTTTCTCTCTCATTCTCTCAAATGTTCAATGGATGGACTTTTCTAGAGGATTATGTGTGATATTACAGCAAATGTAATGCAGAAACAGAAATGAGAATCCAGCTGATAATAAAGAGCTATTTTTAAAATTTGCAAAAATATAAAATAATGCTACTTTTCTCACTAATTTGGATGTGCATCTGGGAATTTACAGTTATTTTTATGAAAATGTATAGTTCAACAATGAGATTATAGTTAAAGTGCACATTTAAAATAAATAGATAAAATTCTATGTTTAAAATTTATTTATTTTTTAAAGTTAAATATAAAACATGTGGTAGATATCAACATATATAACCCATATAACTCATATAAACAAAAACTTGACACTTCATTGGAGTGTAAAGGGATTCTGAGAGCAAGAATTTGAAGAAACACTGACATTTATTACTCCTATGCCAATACCATTCTGTATTGATTAATCTAGTATCACAGTAAATCTTGAAATCAGATCATGTCAGCCTTCCAAATATGACATTCTTTTAGAACATGATTATATTGTTTTTATTGTTTCTTTTTAAAGCAGCTTAAAAATATTAGATAACACAAATTTAACTTACAGTTTTGTAGGGCATAATCAAGTTGTCCACATGGTTGTGTTCCTTTATGGAAACTCTAGGGAAAAAAAACAAAAAACAGAACTATTTCCCATTGGCAAGTTGTTGGCAGAATATAATTCCTTGTAAAGACTGAGGATCCCATTTCCTTGCTGGCTTTCAGTTAAGGGCTGTTCCCAGCTCCTAGAAGCCACATTTATTCTTTGGTTTGTGGTCTCATCCTGCACCTTCAAAACCAGCAAAAGTTGGTTCCCATGTTTCAAATCCCTCCTCCTTTTCATGTCTCATCTATCTGATGCAACATTGAAAGGTCTCCTGCCTTTAAGAACCCATATACACAGAGCCATCTGGATAATCCAGGACAATCTCACCGTCTCAAGGTTCATATCATTAGCCACAATTGCGAAGTCACTTTTGCCCATGTAAGATAATACAGTCACAGGTTCCAGGAATTAGAGGATGGACATCTTTTTTTGGGAAGGTGGTGATGGAAGGTATAATTCTGACTACTACAATTAATTATATTATTCTAGATTCTTTGCATTTCCACATAAACTTTAGAAGCAGCTTGTCAATTTCCACCAATAAAAATCTGCTTGGATTTTTATTGTGATTTTGTTGAATTTCTAAATCAATCTGGAGAGATTTTAGTAGAGGACTCCATTTTTTTACATCTTCTTTATTTTTTCTTGGCCATGTTTTATAGCTTTCAGTGTAAAAAATACAGTTTTTGCACGTTTTGTTAAATTTTCTCTAAGCATCCCATATTTTCGGATACCATTATAAATGTTATTTTAAAAATTATTCATTGCTAAAATGTCTATTAAAACACTGTTGATTTTTGTGTATTCATTTTATAACCATTGATCTTACTAAACACTTATTAGTTCCAGTAGCTTTTACGTAAATTCATTAAGTTTTATTTTAGTCAATTGTTTATCTTCTATTAAAATCAATTTTATTTATTATCAATCTTTATGTCCCTTATTTCTTTTTCTATTATTTCCATTTTGTCAGTTTTTAGATCACATATTTTGAAACTCTGTTATTAGACAGTGTGCTAGGTAGGCCATTCTTGTATTGCTATAAAGAAACACCAGAGATTGGGTAATTTATAAAGAAAAGAGGCTTAATTGTCTCATGGTTCTGCAGGCTTTACAGGAAGCATGGTGTGGGCCTCTGCTCAGCTCCTAGGGAGGTCTCAGGAAGCTTATGATCATGGCAGAAGGCAAAGGGGGAACAGGCATGTCAAATGGCAAAGGCAGGAGCAAGAGAGAGAGTGACAGAGCATGGTAGGGGAAGTGCTACACACTTTTAAAAAACAGATCTCATCTCAGGAGTACTCACGATAACAAAGACAGCACCAAGTCATGAGGGATCCGCCCCCATGATCCAAACACCTCCCGACAAGCTCCACTTCCAGCACTGGGAATTAGAATTCAACATAAGATTTGGGTGGGGACAAATATCCAAACTATAACAAAAAGTTACACGTTTATATTTAATTGACCCTTTTTAAATTATGAAATGTCACTTTTTATCTCTGGTAAAATTCCTTGTTCTTAAGTCCATTTTGTTATTACAGGAGATACCTCAGTTTTTTTTTTTTTTTGGCTATGGTTGGCATAATGTATCTTTCACCATTATTTTCCTTTTTATCTATTTTTCTCTTTACATTTAAAATGGGTTCCTTTAGATAGAATATAGTTGTCTTACTTTTTTATCCAATCTGACAATCCTTTGTCTATTTTTAATTAGAATGCTGAGACCACTTACTTTTATTATGATTATAAATGCAGATATTTTACATGTACTATTTCACCATTTGTTTTTCTATTTGTCCCATCTGTTCTTTGTTACTTTTTCTCTCTTTTCCTTCTTTTGGATTGTTTGTTTATTATTCTACCTATCTCCATTAGTGGCTTATTTTCTATACATATTTTTATTTGTTTGTTTTAGGGGTTTGTTTTTACTATATAGTTTAAAATAGGCACCTTTATATTTTTACAGTCTATCTTCAAAAATAACGGCTATAGTTTATGCCATTATTGCAGTATACTTCTATTTCCTCCCTCTCATTCAATTTTCATTGAAATTGCTGTGGCTTTTTCCACATGCACTGATTTACATGTGTATTATAACAATGTGACTGTGCTGCTGTTGGGTGAAGTGTTCCATAAATTTTACTTCTACATGTGTTATAAACCCCACAATACAATCCTATTTTTGCTTTTAATTTTTTTATCTTTTAAGAGATTTCTACCATGAATTTAAAACAATCTTTATTGTCATCCACCCAAATTTTATCTGATACCAATTTTCTTCTGCCTGAGAAAATTCCTCTAACATTCATTGAAGTGCAGGTCTGCTAGCAAATAATTCTTTGAGCTTCCAATTGTTTGAAAAAGATCTTTATTTTGCCTTCATTTTACAGTAATATTGCCTTCATTTTACAGGTATATTTTCTGGCTACTTTTAAGATTTTGCCACTATCACATTTTTTAAAAAATTTTGCTTATTTTGTGCCTTTGTGTAGCCATATGCATTTTTACTAGGCTTGCGATTCTTTGAGCTTCTTGGATCCATGAGTTCAAGTTATCATTATCTTGAAAAGAATTTTGGCTAGTTTTTAAGGGGAATGTTTCCAGCTTTTGCCTATTCAGTATGATGGTAGCTGTGGGTTTGTCATAGATGCCTCTTATTATTTTGAAGTATGTTGCTTCGATGCCTAGTTTCTTGGGGGTTTTAAACATGAAGGAATGCTGAATTTTATTGAAGGTATTTTCCATATCTATCGAGATGATCATAGTTGTTATTGTTTTTAGTTCTGCTTATGGGATAAATCACATTTATTCATTTGTGTATACTGAACCAACCTTGCATCCCAGGAATAAAGCCTGCTTGATCCTGGTGGATTTGCTTTTTGTGTGCTGATGAATTTGATTTGGTAATATTTTATTGAGCATTTTGCATCTATGTTCATCAGGAATATTGACCTGAAGTTCTCTTTTTTCCTATGTGTCTCATTTGGTATCAGAATGAGGCTGGCCTCATAGAATAAGTTAAGGAGGAGTCCCTCCTTCTCAAGTTTTTGGGGATAATTTCAATAGGATTGGTATCAGCTCTTTGTTTGTATGTCTGGTAGAATTTGGCTGTGAATCCATTTGGTCCAGGGCTTTTTCTGGTTGGTAGGTTTTTTATTCCTGATTCAATTTCAGAACTCATTATTTGTCTGTTCAGGACTTCCATTTCTTCCCGGTTCAATCTTGGGAGGTTGTATATTTCCAGGAATTTATCCATTTCTTGTGGGTTTTCTAGTTTGTGGGCATAGAGGTGTCTGTAATAGTTTCCGAGGGTTTTTATATTTCTATGAGGTCAGTGGTAATGTCACCTTTGTGATTTCTGAGACAAGGATGTCCACTCTCACCACTCCTTTTCAAGATAGCACTGAAAAGTCTAGCCAGAGCAATCAGGCAAGAGAAAGAAGTAAAAGGCATCGAAATAGTAATAGAGGAAGTCTAACTATCTCTCTTCACAAACGATATAATTCTATACCTAGAAAATGCCATAGTCTCTGCCTGAAGGGCTCCTAGAACTGATAAACAACTTCAGTAGTTCAAGGATGCAAAATCAATGTCTAAAAACCAGTAGCATTTCTATACACCTACAGCATCCAAGCTGAGAACCAAATCAGGAATGCAATCCCATTCACATTAGCCACCAAAAGAATGAAATATCTAGCAATACAGCTAACCAGGGATGTGAAAGATCTCTACAAGGAGAACTACAAAACACTGCTGAAGGAAATCAGAGATAACACAAACAAGTGGAAAAACATTCCATGTTCATGGTTAGGAAGAATCAATATTGTTAAAACAGTCATACAGAACAAAGCAATTACAGATTCAATCCTATTCCTATCAAACTAACAACATCATTTTTCACAGAATTAGAAAAAAAAATTCTAAAATTTATGTGGAACCAAAAAAGAGCAAGCAATTCTAAGCAAAAAGAATAAAGCTGGAGCCATCACAGGAGAGTTCCCTCATTCCCCTCGCAGAATGTGTGATAGAGGTGTGGCTTGCTCTGCTGCTCAAATCCCTAGTGGAAGCATGCAGATGGGCAGATGCAAAAGCTGTGGGGAGTGCTTTTGGGCTCTAGCCCCATGGCTGCATCTGGGGTGGGTGTCTACCACTCCCAAAGCCCCAGCGGGTGTGTGTTACAGTGCGTTCTTTCAGCTTTGCTGTCTGCAGACAGCTTGTGTTAATCAGCTCAATAGACCCTCTGCCTTATCACAAGGGCAGGGGGCCAGTGTGACAGCCTGAGTTCTTGCCCAGTGTACTGGAAGAATTAGATCACATGTGGGCTGGAAGGATGAGTGCAAGGTTTTATTGAGTGATGGAGGTGGCTCTCAGTGAGATGGATGGGGAGCCAGAAGTGGGGGATGGAGTGGAAAGGTGGTCTTCCCCTGGAGTCGGGCCACTCAGCGGCCAGACTCTTCTCTGACTTCCCGCAGCTGAAATCCCCTTGGTATCCAGACGTCCTTCCTTTCTCTCTTTCTCTGTCACAGCGTTTCACCATTGCAGGTCTGACAGTCTGCTCCTCTCCATGTTCAGCTGCTTGTGTGTGTGCCCACTAAGGTCTCAGGTTTATATGGGCACAGGATGGGAGGCATGGTGGGCCACAGTAGTCTTGGAAAACGCAACATTTGGGCACGAAAACAGAAATGCCTGTTCTCACTTAGGTCCACAGGCACGGGCCTGAGGGTGGAGCCCTTTACAGGGACGCTGCCCTTCTCTATCCAGCACTTCCCTGGCCCCACTCCCATATCACCAACTTCAAACTATGTTACAAGGATACAGTAACCAAACAGCAAGATACTTGTATGAAAACAGAGATATAGACCAGTGGAAGAGGTCAGAGAACCCAGAGATAAAGCCATACACCTACAACCATCTTATCTTCAACAAAGTTATCTAAAATAAGCAATAGAGAAAGGACTCCCTAATTCAATAAATGGTGCAGGGATAACTGGCTAGCCATATCCAGAAGATTGAAACTGAACCCCTTCCATTCAGCATATGAAAAATCAACTCAAGATGAGTTAAAGATCTAAATATAAGGCCCAAAACTATGAAATATCTAGAAGAAAACCTAGGAAATACCATTCTGGACATATTCCTTGGCAAAAAGATTTTATGATGAAGTATCCAAAAGCAATTGCAACAAAAACAAAAATAAACAAGTGGGACCTAATTAAGCTAAAGAGCTTCTGCATAGCAAAAGAAACTATCAACAGAGTAAAGAGACCACCTACAGAATGGGGAAAAAAATGCAAACTAAAGGTCTAATATCCAGAATCTACAAGAAACTTAAATCAACAAGCAAAAAAATAACTCCATTAAAAAATGGGCAAAGGACATTAACAGACACTTCTCAAAAGAAGACATACATGTGCCCAACATGTGTATGAAAAAATGCTCCACATCACCAATCATCAGAAAAATGAAAATTAAAACCACAGTGAGATACCATCTCACACCAGCCAGAATGCTATTTTTTAAAAGTCAAAAAATAACAAATGTTGGCGAGGTTGCAGAGAAAAGAAAACGCTCACACACTGCTGATGGGAATGTAAATTAGTTCAGCCACTGTGGAAAGCACTTTGGAGGTTTCTCAAAGAACTTAAAACAGAACTACCGTTTGACTCAGCAACCCCTTTACTGGGTATATACCCAAAGGAATATAAATTATTCTACCAAAAAGACACATGCACTCATATGTTCATCTTAGTAGTATTCACAATAGCAAAGACATGGAATCAACCTAGATGCCCATCAACAGTGAACTGAATAAAGAAAATGTGGTATGTGCACCATGGAATGCTACACAGCCATAAAAAAGAACAAAATAATGTTCTTTGCAGCAACATGGATGTAGCTGGAGGCGATTATCCTAAGCAAATTAACATAGAAATGAAAAACCAAATACCACATATTCTCATTTATAAGTGGAAACTAAACATTGAGTACTTACAAACTAAAAAGGAGAACAATAGACACCAGGGCTTGCTGGAGGGTGGAAGGTGGGAGGAAAGTAAGGGTTGAAAAACTACCTATCAGGTAACTATGCTCATTACCTGGGTGACAAAATGATTTGTACACCAAACCCCAGAGACATGTAATTTACCCATGTAACAAATCTGCACATGTATCCCCTGAACCTAAAATAAAAGTTAAAGAAAACAAATTTTGGCCAACATTTTCTTCAAATATTACTTCTTCCCTCTGCCCAATCTTTTCCCCTCATTACCCTTTCTCCTTGAGCCTCAAATTAAATGTATGTCAGACACATTGATATTTTCCCACAGGTTGCTGATGCCTTTTAAAATTTTGTTCAATTCCCCATCCCCCATACTTCATTTTCAACTGTATCTACTGCTATGTTGTCAAATTCACTGGCCATTTTTTTCTGCCCTGTCTAAAGTGCTACTAATACTCTGTAGTGTATCTTCATTTCAACTGCTGTATTTTCAATGCATTATGTTCTATTGGGGGTCTTCTTCAAATTCTCATTTACTTCTTAATAATGTTTATTTTTTTCCTTTTATATCCTTGAAGAATTTATAAGATAAATAATAGCTGTTTTATGGTCCTTTTATGTCAATTTCATCATCTCTGTCACTTCTGGATCTGTTTCTATTGATTTTTCTCTTGGTAATGGGTAATACACTCCTACCTCCTTGCATGCCAGGAAATTTTTTCACCAGATGCCAAAAATAGTGATTTTTATTTTTTTTTTCAGATGGAGTCTTGGTCTGTCACCCAGGCTGGAGTGCAGTGGTGCAATCTTGGCTCACTGTAACCTCTGCCTCTGCCTCCTGAGTAGCTGGGACTACAGGCATGTGCCACCATGCCTGGCTAATTTTTGTGTTTTTTTTCAGCAGAGACAGGGTTTCACCATGTTGGCCAGGCTGGTCTCAAACTCCTGACCTCAAGTGATCTGCCTGCCTGAGCCTTCCAAAGTGCTAGGACTACAGGCATGAGTCACTGCACCTGGCAGAAATTCTGAATTTAAAGTTATTGAGTTTTATTGTATCGTTTTAAGGACTGTCCAACTTTGTTCTGGCCTACAGTAAAGCGCCTTTCAGTTTTAGATTGATCTTTTTGTGGCTTTAAGTCTTGTTTGTTTTTAATTGCTTATTTTGGGGGTTTTGTTGTTGTTATTGTTTCTCTGGCATTCACATGTCTTCCCTTTGGGATTATGTGTCTCCTGAGATCTCTATTCAATGGCTCATGTTTTATGAAGTTTAGCGACCCTGGCTGGAAGAAATGCAGGGTATTGCTAGTCTTATATACTCCTGGATTTATTTGGCCTACTGTTGCAGGATCTTTAGGGTGTCACTTTTCTAGCCAGAAGGCTCTGTGGCCAGTGGTGACCTTCCTCAAGTTTTGCTCAGGCCCACTAGGCTCATTCCACCCACTCAGCCTGGTAGGCTGCACTTAGCTCATGCTATCAGCCTGGATCCCATGCCTGTCAAGGGAGACTGTGTGGAGCAGCAATGGGTGTGTGAGCACATTCTCACTTATAAGTGGAATATAAGTGGGATCCAGCCACTATGCAGTCAGACATGCCAGCTGCTGCAATGGGGCGGGCAGCTCCAGGTGTCAGCATGGGCGCTAGCTCTCCACAAGGCTGCAGCTGGACCAGGGGCACCACAAGCAGCTTCCACAGCTGGCACCAGGGAACACAGTGGCACTCAGAAGCCTGGAGATGCCAGGAACCACAGGGCCACACAGAGGGAGTCACAGCCCTGGCTCAGGGAGTTCCCAGGTCTTGGTTCCTTGAAGGGCCACAGCTCCTCTTTCCTTCTCTTCAACCACAACGTGGCAAGCAAGGGGCATGTCTCAGCCTTATTTGTGTTACAGCTCATTTAGCTTTATTCAGTGGGTCCTGAGTTCTTGTCCTGTGCCCAGGAAGAATGAGGTATGCAGACAAGTAGAGGGTGAGCAAGACAGAGGAACTTTATTGAGTGACAATAACTCAGAGGAAGCCCTGGAGTGGGTAGCTCCTCTCAGCAGGCAGGTTATCCTGTCGTCTCTGCAGCTCTCCGGAGAGAGGAGGCCCTGGAGTGGGTATCTCCTCTCTGCAGCTGGTCATCTGATGTCTGCTGCTCTCAGCAGAGAGGAGGCCATGGAGTGGGTAGTCTCTCTTGGCAGCCAGTCTTCCCAATGTCTGCTCGGCTCTGGCTGAACCCAGGGCTTTTGTAGGCCTCAGCGGAGAGGAGTATGCGCAGATTGGTCCATGGGTGGCCACAGGCAGGCCTGGAAATGGCATCACAAATTCCCACTCCAGTCCATGGGACTGACAGCCCAGCCCCCTGCCTTCAGGACCTCCCTGGACTGAAGGTGGAACCTTACTAGGGACCTGCCTTCTTTCACCCAGGAACCTGTCTGCCTTCTGCTGCCATTTATGGCACCCAGGCTGGGGGTGCTAAGGGATGCTTGTAGGCCAGCACCAAGCTGCCCTCAGCCCTCCATCAGCTTCCTATGTATGCTCACCAGCACTCAAAATCCGGAGGGGGCCAAAGCAGCAGGGGCTGGTGTGTCAGCACTGCCCCAAGTGTGTGCACACCTGGCCAGGCCATGACAGCACCCAGGCTCACTCAGCTCTGACTTTGCTCCAAGATTGGAGTGGGGGCTGACAGAAGGGAGAAGCCAGGCAACAGGAGCAGGCATTTCCAAACCTGTGAGGGCAGGGGGGCCTTCTCATGCCCCAAGAGTGCAGGGATGCCTGGGTCCATAGCCTGGTTTGTGTGGCTGCAGCTGGAGTTGGGGTTGGAGCTCCTGCCTGCTCCATGGAACACGAGGCCTGGGTCTGCAACCACGGTTTAGGCGAATGGATGCACCTGCATCTGGGAGGGTGGGGCTGCTGCCTTCTCCCAGACCTGAGAGCACAGGGGTGCTTGGGTCCACAGCCATGACTTGGGTGGCTGCAGTGGCAGCTGGGGAGCTCCTGCCCCAGCAGGGAAGGGGCAGGGCTCCTGCTTGTCCCCAGCTCCCGCCAGCTCCATGGAGCATGCGGCCCCGGCTGCGCTTCCCTGCTGCAGTAAGTGTGATGGTGGCAACTGCTCCAGATGGCCTGTCGTCTCCATCATTACTAACTTCCAAGTGTTGGTTTTTTTGTCTTTCAGTCTCATGAAATTTCACCTCATGTTTACACGAATCAGTATTCAGTCAAAAACTAAGGGGACTCCTCTGGATCTTGTGCTTCCTCTGAAAGCCCTAAACACGTTCTCCTTTCTAGATTTGGCCTTGCAAAGTATAGCTGCCTTTGCCTCCCTGTACCTAACTCTACCTCCTCAATTGGGTAAGGCCACCAGGCTTTCCTTGGTTCCCCTCCCAACACTGTGGCCTGGGAGTCTTGTCAAGCGGTAAGCTAGGGAAATTGTAAGACTCACCCCATTTGCTTTCCTTCTCTCAGACTCTAAAGTGGCTACTGTCTAAATTAGGAAAACAGGTTTTTTAAATGTTTTGTCCATTTTTCTAATTGTTTATGACATAAGAACAATATCTGTAAACATTAATCCTTCATGGAAAGAAGCAAACAAGCTCAGAAATACCATTTTTAGTCTTCAACGCTATATAAGGCAGATCAGAAGGAGATTAGAATTATATCTGAGTACCAATTCACCATATCTATCCACATTATCCCCATGCTGCAAAGAAGAATTCTAGGGCACAATAACTCACAGAGATAGTAAGTGGCAGAATTAGGATTAGAAACACAATCTGATTTCAGAGCCTCTGTCTTCAGTCATTCTTCTCTATTTCTTTCTTAATTCTCAACTATTTTCATCCATCCATGCCTGACTGATTCTTTACCATTTTGGATCTACTGCTTGTATATCCAAACCCAGTCTGACAGAGCAGAGGTAAGGCCCTGGAACACTAGACAAATCATAAAACGAATAACCACTCTTATAGATAAATAAGAGAAAAAAATAAATCCATGGTCCTTTATCATCAGGTCAACCTCACACTCAAGAAAATTGCATTCCTCATTGTTGCTCAAGATATAGCCCCTCTAAATGAAGCTCTCAGCATCCCATTCTCCTTTCATTTAACACCTTTTCCTTTTATTTGCAATTCTCCTTGACTTAAAATAACCAAATAGTGCTGTCCACATTATTACTTTTAGAATTAATGAATAATTAGGAATAAAACTTCATGCAGTTTAATGTCTGGGCTGAGGAACCCTACCCTAGAAAAATTTTTATATAGCTGGTAAATAAAAGTGGCATTTAGTTATTTGTCACTACTGTTTACTTTCCCTCTCCCTCCAACAACCAATATTACTCAATCTTTGGAATCACGGCTTTATAAATCATGTAAGGCAACACAGATTCTATTTATAAACAACTCTCAAAGGCCATATTGTGTCCCCCGTTCACATGCCAAACTCCCACGGAGATCTAGCCATGTGCGGATCAAGGTCACACCGTGGATAATATTCTCGCTTTCATCTCCATGTGAGAAACTAGAGTGGAGGCATAAGTCTTTTACATCAGTAAAGTTCAAGCTCCAGTGTAACTGAATAGGGTCCAAGGCCAAACACAAAGGCTGATTTTTAACAGAATTGTTGCCATGGCTTGGTCACCTCCCAAATGTGCATGCATATCAAAGCAACAAGCACAAACTGATTGAGACTGCTCAGATCAGAACTAACCAAAGGATTCACTCACTCGGAATCCAGCAGAATGACCGTCTTGGAGCTGTCAAACAATAGGTTATTGATCATCCAGAATCAATAGCTATACTCCTACCTCCCTCTCACCCACTCACCTCCAAGCTGAGCAGATGCAGGCAAAATACTATAGTTTAAGCAAAATAGAAGCCCATGAAATTGCGAGTCTTAAACCTGCTTCCTGCAAAGGTAATTCTCTACAGTGATTCTTATCTTTCAGTGTCTTGGGTAATTACAGGATTTAGAAGCTTTATCCTAATTTGTCCGTTGTTTGTATCAAGCAGTATATTATTTTCTTCTCAAGCTACAGGAATCATAATTTCCATGCCACTGTTGTTTCGAAGATAAAATATATTCTTTATTACCTCAAGCAGCACTTGATGCACTATGTTTAACAAGTATCCTAACAAGTCAAGCAGAGGAGAACCCATGATAATGCGGATGTTTCTGTGCATTACACACCCAGGTGAAAAGGTGAAGTCAAGTGTACAGTGTCTCTGAATTTATGACAAGAATTCACCACCTCCACTTGAGAAAATATCACACAATCTCATTCTCCTCTTTCAGAGCCAATATTAGAGGTGATGGCCCATTTTCGGTCACAACAACAACAAAATGGTTGCACTGGTTTTAAATAAGTTTGCTAAAGATTGCAAGTCAATGTTGTATTGTCCTCATTTTTTTTCTCTTTATTTCAATAGTTTTTTTTGTTTTTTTTTTTTTTTTTAGCCTCTGCTGTTTAATGCAGGCTGTATGCCAAAACCATCTTAGAAAGTCTGTTATGCCAGATGTCACCCTTTTGCCCTTTCGCTCTATCTGCAGGTTTTCTTTTAACAACAGCTGAAGCCCAAGTTAGCAAGCATGCATTTTTTTACAGTAAAAGAGGTATTATGAATAACACCTTTTGTATTTTGGATCACACTCTCAAAGAGCACAGCACTTTGTTCATGCACAACATCTTTCAAAAAGGATTATTCATGGTTCTTTAGATTTAAAGGGAGAACTTTAAGGTTTTGGCAGTTTAAGATCAGTTTTTTTACCCACAGTAGAAGCTGATAGGTTTGTTTGCCTTGAAACTGATCATTTCTGGACAAAAGAAAAAAAAAAAAAAAAGACTGAACTCTACGTAAGCGCTTTATGTCTGCTCTCTGTTGTCAAAACAGACGTGTAAACAGTGACATTGCCCTCCAGGAGAGCTAGCTCCCTTGTAAACAGACCTACTCAACAAAGTGTGTCATTCAAACAAAGCATTGGGTGGGGTTTTCTCCACAACAGAGAGAAGAGGCCCTCAGGTCAATGATTAATTGAGGCAAGGGGGAGTTTCTGGATAAGTTGTTGGGCCAAGTTCAGCCTCCCATATGTTTGCATACTTTGTCAACTTTCACCTTTGAAAGTGTTTCTGTTTGGAAGTTGGTCAGCCACTGTAACGGCTAAATGTAATCCAGTCAGAAAGTAAAACATTAGATATTCTATATTTCGGAGAATTTAAAAGATTCCCCCCAAAGGAGAGGAAGGGAAATTCAGGGCAAAAAGAATTCCTTCTCTCAGGAAGAATCTGTTCTAAGCATCCAATTCTGAGTTTCATGAAAATTTACTTCTACCCATCTCCACATTTATTTTATACAGCGGAAAATCTATTTTATACAGCAGAAGCCTAAGCTATAAAATCACAACATTCAGTATATAAGGTCACAGATATTGCTCTTTTAAAACTGAAAGACACCTTAGAGATCATCTAGGGTTAACCTGAGAAAGTAACAATACGTATAGAATGAGCTGGCTTACTGTTTTGTTGTTGTTGTTGTTGTTTGTGTTTTTTTTTTTTGAGACAGAGTCTCGCTCTTTCGCCCAGGCCGGACTGCAGTGGCGCTATCTGGGCTCACCGCAAGCTCCGCCTCCCGGGTTCACGCCATTCTCCTGCCTCAGCCTCCCGAGTAGCTGGGATTACAGGCGCCCGCCACCACGCCCGGCTAATTTTTTGTATTTTTAGTAGAGACGGGGTTTCACCGTGTTAGCCAAGATGGTCTTGATCTCCTGACCTCGCGATCTGCCCGCCTCGGCCTCCCAAAGTACTGGGATTACAGGCGTGAGCCACCGCGCCCGGCCTGGCTTACATTTTTTAAAACTACCCAACAGCCATTAGCTAATGCCCCTAACTGGTACAACAAAGCCATACGTGAGCAAGATCTCAATAAAAAAGAAGAAACACTGAAAAGGAACTAGCCTTTTCATTTCACACGTGAGGAACATGAAACCTAGAGATAGGAAATAATCTCCTCAAGGTCGAATAAGTGGTCTCTTCCCTTCTTCCACACTTTTCCCACGATACCACAACTACAGATCATTTTGTGAGGTGGTTCTGGACAATTAGCAGTGCCACTTTGAATCACCCTTCAGAGGAAAGCCATGAGGTAAGGGACATAAATAGGCTGATGTTTATCTACCACCAAGATACCCTCCAGAGAACACTCCTGGGCTAGCAGTATGGCCCTGTACCCAATTCACCTGTGCTATATAGACCCAGATATAAAAGGTAAAAGAATGAATTCTGCTGATTTTTTATCTGAACAGGAACATTTTCTTTTCAGTGCAAGTCTGCATATACCCTATTAAGAATCAAATCTCAACTAGATTAACTAGAAACTTACAAAAAGAAAAAAAAAGTGAGGCCCAAAAGGAACTTAATTGACTTTAATTGAAGCACTTGCAGTTACTTGAGCATTTATAACACTTTTGCTAATCCTAAACCAATCTTCAGCTTCCAAAATCTCAGTCACCCATTAAAGCTAAATGCCACAAAATATAGTTTGTTAAGCATATCCAAACCTGTGTTCATGTCAGTATCTGTGTTTCTTAAGCCAGCTGTCTAAGAGAAAGAAGTGCTGTCTTTAATCTGATTCTATTCACGCTGTAGTATCTAATCTCTGCTGAGGCGGAGCAGCTTTACATTGGAGGTGAGAAGTTGACCCACTAAAAGGTCTCTGCTCCTCCCATACACTTTTGCACAGTCACTGGTTCCCAACCCTGGCTAAGTTTTAGAATCACTTGAGGGAGTCTTTAAAACATACAACTTCCTGGCCTACAACCCCAGAGATGCTTATTTAGTAGGTGTGGGCTGAGAAAGCTTTTTGATTATTTTTAATTAAGTTCTCCAGGTGATTCTTTTGCAGCTAGTGTCTTTGAAAACCAGAACTGTAGCTCTCTCATGAGCAGGAAAGGTGTTTATCCCCACTGAGCTCTTGTTTGTATCCATTCATTTCATCCTTACCACTTTCTAGTAATTGTGACCATCAGAGAAAGCACCATGCATCAGAGGAAAAGCAGGGAAAACAAAAGTTGAAAAAGCAACAAACCAACAAAATCATATATCGTAGGACCTGGAAGGCATTCCAGAGACAATATTCCCCAAAGAATGAAAACTCTTGCACCTTCAAACTTTGATTGACTTGCCGTAGGATGTATGTGACTTCTCTGATGACACTGGATTGTTATCTCCTGGCCCTATTAGTACAGTGGTGTTACTGCCTGACTTTCCTATAGACAGGGCCCCCAAAATGTACACCTATAGAAGGCCATGTTCACATAGTTGTGCCTCAGGGTTTTCCATTTACATAGACCATAATGTGAATATCAGAACTTGGAGTTGTACTCACCTCGTGGCTCTGACCATACGCATTCGAGTTCTTGATTTCTAATCTCGTCCAAGCCTCTTGTGTTTCATGTCTGGAAACTGAAGTCCATAGACATGATGGGACTTACCTAAGATTATAGAGCAATATAGTGTCAGAGTTAGATAAATACTACTTCTTAATTCATAAGAACAGGTACCTGGGTCAATGCAAACACCACACTCAGCAGTCCCAGCTCCAGAGGAAATAAGGACAGTGTTGAGATTAAAGAGTCCACCCAGGGAAGATAAATATCATGCCACAAAAGTCCTGCCACTGAAGTCTCCACTTCCCAGAGTCCTACAGTCAATCTGAGGGGATCAAGAGCAATGAATTCAGCTCCACTGCAGTAAATGTTCCCATTCCAAGAGATTTGGGTACTTGACAGGGAAGGCAAGGGAGGCAGCCATGTCACTCAGTCAGAAAGAAGAGATGATAATAACTTGTTCCATAGGTTAAAAACAGAGATTATTTTTCCTAGGACTTCCACTTGGATGTTTTGGTCTTCATCATCATAGAAGAAAAATACTCATATTATGAAGTCAGAAGTATCTTAGCAGATTCTGAGGGACAATAAAAGGATTAACTGACCAATGGAAGAGTAGCCCTCTTGATGTCTTTGGACAAGCTGGATAGGGTGACTGATTATGAGGTACACTGTGTTTCTACTGAAGTATGAGATGTTGAGGGACATTTCTCCATAGGTGTCTGGTGTTATGAGAAGAGGCACTTAGTCCCAAACTATCTTTTCGAGGATATTTGTAGAAAGAACACACTTGGAAGATGGTGATAGTATCTCCCTCCAGAGCAAGCAGAAAGTTTATTTACTGCCCTGTATAATAAAGATAATGTCTTCTGGCCAGGTGCGGTGGCTCATGCCTGTAATCTCAGCACTTTGGGAGGCCAAGGCGGGCAGATCACAAGGTCAGGAGATCGAGGCTATCCTGGCTAAAACGGTGAAACCCTGTCTCTACTAAAAATACAAAAACATTAGCCGGGCATAGGTGGTGCACGCCTGTAGTTCCAGCTACTCAGGAGGCTGAGGCAGGAGAATGGCATGAACCCGGGAGGTGGAGCTTGCAGTGAGCCAAGATCTCGCCACTGCACTCCAACCTGGGCGACAGAGCGAGACACCATCTCAAAAAAAAAAAAAAAAGATAATGTCTTCCTCTGGGGAAAAGGACAGGCAGGCTTACTGTCCCTTATAAAATATTCAAGTTCCCTAACTCAGGATTCCTCACCTGTGATGCAAGCCCCCTGTGTTTACAGCATTCCTCTGGATCTCTTTGAATTACCTACATGGGACAGGGAGAGGAGAGGAACTGATGCAAATAGGATGCTCATTCCACTTGCTATTGTTATAAGTAATAGAGTCCTCTGTCTCTGACCACAAATCACACATCTTCTGCCAGTATCCATGGAACTATAGCAAGCAAACATGTTAGCTTGCAGGTAGGGTAAAATCTCAGACACATCACAGTTCTTGAGACAGGGAAAGTCTTCAAATTCAACACACAAAACTGGATTTTTTTTCACTATTGTATGAAAATAAAAAGACAAATTTCTTTTTATTCACACAGATAGTACTAATAAATAAAATTAACATAGACAAATAGTAAGCTTTTGTTTTCTATTGATATGTCACAAAAATACCAGACTACTTTCTGAGACATACTAGGACCAGGCTAAAATGTAAAGAAAATAACCAGGACCTGCGTTGGATTCCAGAAAGCCCAATTAGTAGATCAAGGCATCTAGCTGAGGCAACAAGAAAGTACTTGGTGCAGAGTCAAAAGGGGTAGAGGAACCCAGATTATCAGAGGAATAGAGGGGCAGCTGGTTCCTGGCAAGACAACAGGTAGTAGCATTGTAATGTAGAGGATTGGTTTCAAGAAACATAACCTCTCTCATCTATAAATTGGGGAACAGGATAGAGATTGGCCAGCAAGAACCAGACTATATTAGTGGAACAAATTCAAGTTGGGACCCCAACCCATGAGAGAGACTAGAAAACTGAGCAGGCTTACCAGAGAGAAACAGATTAGGGGAAAAACTGAAGTTCAATTGTAGAACTGGGCTAAAAAGACACAAGAAAAACATGGAGAATGTTGAGCAACTCAGAAGCTCCATAGCCTTCCGGGCCATCCTTGGCCCACCAGATGTTAGCATGAGACTGAGACTTCCAGCATCTTTCTACTCCATCCTGAACTGCCTTAGCAATTGACTGAGCCTGGATCTGCTGCTGGAGACTTCTATAGATTCAGTATGAAGATAAAGACAGAGGGAAAGAGGCAGCATACTGAAAAGTAGCGGCTGAAAATGGTTGTTGTGTTTTACAAAATATCAGATCACTAAGCCACTTGACAGTCTATCCAATCAGATGAATCATGCCATTTTTGTCACAGGACCAACCACTGTGACACTAAATTGGAAAAATTTGTACAAGGTTTAGATTTGACCTATGGAACATATGGCTGTTTAGATGCTGATGGAAGTTGATTTTTGCTTTTTTGTTTTTGTTGTTATTGCCCCAATACAAATTCATTCTTTAGACTTAAAACCCACTGGCCCATAAGTCCTTTGGTAAAAGGCTGGGAGAATCGTTACAACATATATTTGTCATGGTGTTGCCAGGTCCTTCCTCTTGGAAACCTAGCCACCACTTCAGTCAATGAATTCTAGGTCTGGAAAATGGCTTAGGTTTGGAAACTGGATACAGAGTATGAATTTTTATTGGGGAATTTTCTCTCAGTCTCTTGCCCATTCATTCTTACTTCCTACCCATCAAATTCCTTGCTATTATGTATATTCATGAGAACCTATTGGCTATCCATATGTTTTTTCCCTGAGAACGTCATGTCTATTGATCATCTTTACAATTCTTTGCAGGTCAAGCCCACTTGGCTGCCCCTTCATGACATTTGGAGGTTAAGTGCCACCACCTGGCCTCTATTACTTTAGGGCCCTGTCATTCACATTGCTATCATCAACAAGTCAATCTCTATAATAGTGTCTCCTACCATCAGTCCTGCTTTCCAGAGGAAAGCCACCACTGAATCTCTTGGTGATGCTTGTTCTCTTATCATCATCACATTCCTGATGACCTTGGTGAGTGGTGTGTCCTCTGGGACTTTCCGTAGAACATAATCCTCTAGCAGGTCTTTTGGCTTCACATATTATAGCCATTCCAATATGCCCACTTCCGGGGACATTTTAAACCTCTTGCTCTGCCCTTTACTATTGCAACTGAGATATTTCCATTTCACTCAACATGAACAACGACTTTCTCTAGGTTTTTAGGAGCAACTAAGAAGTAGTTTGCACCATTTTCTGAAGTCCTTGTCAGTGTTGCATGTTGCATCCCAAGAGAGTTCTCTCAAGTCAATAAAGTCTTCTTTATTCGGTCTTATGTTTTGATCCCTGTGGTCCAGCACCCTCAAAATCCAGTCCCGTGGGTTCTCCAGCAGCTTCTTCTAGTACATACTGGCTAATTCTTGCAGTCCTTTGGAGTATAGCTCCATTCTCCTCTTATGAGACCCAGCATGTCCCTAGCTGGGCTATGCCGCAACTTAACCCCAGCTATTGATTGGGCAGCCAGGAAAAAAAAGTAGGAGCAGATGTCAAGAGGGATTCTTGCAGCCTAGAGGGGCAGAGTGTCTTTCCCTGGGAGAGTGGGTTTGGTTCCAGTTGGTTTTCTGTTTTCCTGTAGCAAGAAATACTGGCCTCTTTATAAGCTCTACCAAAGAAGCCTTTTGGACTACATAGTTTTTAAATTATTTGTCAACTGTCCTCAGCTTTTTATTAACACTTTGAAGTGATCAATAAAACTCAATAATGGGCCAGTTCCGCTGACTTTGTATACACTATTCTCCCTACACAAGTTCAAAGCATGAAAGCCTGAATCATTGCACAACATCGTTGTGTTTGGGCACATTGTTTCTCTTCACTTTCCACTGAACAAATTCCTATTTCTCATGAGTTTGGTGGCTTCTGGTGGTTGGTTCCCACATGCCTGTACTTTGGGCTATGGGGTTCTTGGGATTGTGGTGATGCCTAGTATTGTTGCCAGCATCAAACATGGCTTTTTGCTTTTGTTTTCTAGTCTCTCTGTGTTTTTTTTTGTTTGTGTGTGTGTGTGAGTGTGTGTGTGTGTGTGTGTGTGTGTGTGTGATGGAGTCTCGCTCTGTCGCCCAGGCTGGAATGCATTGGTGGGATCTCGGCTCACTGCAACCTCTGCCTCCTGGGTTTAGGCAATTCTCTGCCTCAGCCTCCCGAGTAGCTTGGATTACAGGCATGTGCCACCACACCCCACTAATTTTTGTATTTTTAGTAGAGATGGGGTTGCACCATCTTGGTTAGGCTGGTCTTGAACTCCTGACCTCGTGATCCATCCACCTCGGCCTCCCAAAGTGCTGGGATTACAGGCATGAGCCACCGTGCCTGGCCGTCTCTCTGTTTCTATATGAGGATTCAGATCCAAAAATTATGTTGCCATTGATGCTATCTTCCCAGAATCAGGTGTGAATTTTATTTTTTAATCTATATTTTTTAAAAGTAAAATGTAGAATGCAATGAGAAATTTGATATCTGCTTTAGCATTTACACTGAATCAAGCCTCAGAAGGAATGTTATCAGGAAAGAAGATATTTAAGACAGAAAATTAAATCACAAGCTATCAGTTTTTCTTAACCCAAGAAAGTAATGTTCCTGAAACTGATTCAAAGAATAATGAAATGACCTTGTGCCTTTTTCTACCTGTCACATTCCACAGCTAATAATAGGAAGTCTGAAAGTCACAAATTACATAGAAATGGGAGACTAAAGAATACATACAGTGGCAAACAAAAAAAAATTCTGGATTTGCACAAATGTTCATTTTGAAAATGGAAGAAAGTTTATGCTTGTTATTTCACACAAATGGATTCACCTAACCATAATTAAAGGTTCTAGCCAATTAAAGGTGTAATAAAACCACAGATAGCTGTAAAATGAACAGAAGAACTCTCCTGAGGGTCTGGAAACTGAGGGTTGATTACAGCTCTCTGTCTTCTTCCATTTTTGAGTATTTTCCCCTTTTTAAGCATTTTTCCCTTGTGTTTATGGCATGTACAATCAGACGTGCAGCAACTGTAATTCCCACACAAAATAGGCTTTGGGGACCTGACATGCCTTTCTTCTCTCAGGTTCTCACTTCCAATAAGCAGTCTTTCAATCTGGGTAGGTCTCAGGATGGTTCAGTGGAAGGTGAAGTTTGGCAACACTAAGCAGACCTCTTTAAATTTTGACTCCACTCTTTAAAAAAGAGGCTTTTTAACAGAGAGGTGTTGGGCAAGTGGCTTAACCTCTCTGAGCCTCAGTTTCCTCTTCTGTAAAATTAAGTTTATACAAGTCACCTTGGAGAGATAGTGAAATAATTCAAGATAAAGATTTAATCTTCTGACATTTAAGAAGTGTTTAATAAATGTTTATTATTATTGATTATTTTATAACCCATTAGTTTGGAAAAAATATTATCTACAGTATCCCAAAATTGTTACTATCTATATGCCATTATAAAATATTATATTTTTCTACAGAAAAAGTCAAATCAGCTGGCTCTTTTCTTGCCATGTAGACACAGACCTCCTGGGGAATCATCAAAGCGGGAATAGATTTAGACTGTGACTCTGAATTTTGGAAATTGTTTGTTTTAGACTGGACATGAAGAGGTTACAAAAACAAAATAAAATGGGGAAAAAAAGTCTTCTGCCCATATTATCTCTTTGAAACATTTGAAGAACAGATTCAGAATTTATATAAAGGAGGAAGAAAACAACACCACCACCAAAGGCTGCAGGTATCTTTTTTTGTTTTTCATTCCTCTGAAATATAGTCAGCCTCTGTATCTGTGGGTTTCACAACCACAGATCAAAAATGCAGCTGGGCCTAGAATGGTTGAGTCTGTACTGAACATGTACAGACATATTTTCTCTTGTCATTAGTCCCTAAGCAATATAGTATAACAGCTATTTGCATGACATTTACATTATATTTGGTATCATAAGTAATCTAGAGGTGATTTAAAGTATATGTGAGGATATACATAGGTTACACTATGCCATTTTATATAAGGGAGTTGAGCATCCATGAATTTTGGTATCCTGGGGTGTTCAGGGTGGGGTGCAATCTGGAACCAATCCCCTGTGGATACTGAGGGATGACTATACTAACAATTTTATCTAAATGAAACTGATAATCCATGTTTCCACTGAAGCATTCCAACCAAAATGCTCAAATATGTCTATTATTGTTGAAGTTTTGGTTTTCAGTTATTCTGTTTTTTTTATAGAAGTAATTGAACCTCATGATTAAATTAGAAATTTATGTTTAGATTTACAAGATAGTATACCAATTCAAAATTATTTTATAGAAAGTTCAGGTCTTGTCTGCTGTTGCTACTTTTGTATGTGAGTGTGATATTTTTAAAAGAGAAAGCATTAGAACAGTATTTATCTTGCCAAGAATAAAAGTCAAAGTCATAGCTGCAAGAAGGATATTGAACTTTTTGTTGAAGGCCAGCTGCCAAATGCAAATTAACACCTACGAAGACATATCTGACAATTTCTTTGAATATTACTACTTTTCCACCAACCTAATAATAAGTATGAACCTAAAGCTTGATAGGTGTTCATACAAGATATAACATGTATTTGTGAATATAATATGGTAGTAAAGATAAGTATCTTTTGTAGATTTTGAGAGAAGCCTGTGGATTTTTATATTTTTATTAAATAAGTCGATAAGTAGATATTGAGTCCCCACCCCAACTGTGTAGTAATTAGAGGTATCTAATGAGAAACGGATGGCTTTTTCAGGCAATAAGTTCATTGAGAGTGAAAAGTTTATTTAAAAGCTGGATGTCCATCTGTTAGGGGACAAATATATCAAATAGATTTCCAGCCCTAATTGAATGGTAGATGTATTAGTCTGTTTTGTGTTGCAGTAAAGGAATACCTCCGACTGGGTAATTTATAAATAAAAAAAGGTTTATTTGGCTCACGGTTCTGCAGACTGTGCAAGCCTGGCACCAGCATCTGCTCAGCTTCTAGTGAGGCCTCAGGAAGCTTTTACTCAGAGTGGACGACAGAGGAGGAGGAGGCATGGCACATGGCAAGAGAGGGAACAAGAGAAAGACAGGAGGAAGTGCCAGGCTCTTTTAAACAACCCAGCTCTGGTTCTAACTAATAGAGCAAGAACTCATTCATTAGAGAAAAAACACATTTATAAGGGATCCACCTCCACAACCCAAACACCTTCCACCAGGCCCCATCTCCAACACTGGGGATCACATTTCAACGTGAGATTGGGAGGAGACAAACATCCAAACTGTATCAGTAGGGACTGCCTAAACCTCAATATGGAGAATAATTCTGATGCTACATCTAGGTTCATTAGGAACACATGCCGTAACCTCTTAGCAAAGTACGTACAAGACACAAGAGTGGGGCACGTTATTTATTCACCATTCCTGTGTAGCACTGATCTAGGTAACCACTGTTAACAATAACAAACGTCATCAATACACAATATTAATAAATTAATACCATATGTATTCTAAGCACTTTACATGTATCATCTTGTTTTATCTTAACAGCCCTCTGAAAGATGTGCTGTTATTATCCCTCTTCTGTATGTAGAGAAACTGAGGAATAGAGACATTAAATAATCCCCCAAGTGTGTATTAAATGGTAGAGGTGTTACAGTGGGTAGCTAGTCAGGCATGAACAGGGCAGGAGAAGGCTCACACACACACACACCAGGAGTGTCAGGCAACCATTAGGTGATGGTCGAGCAGTTAACTGTCTCTCTAAGGTAATAATTGGTCACAGCCAGCTCCAGGGAAAGGCAGTCTCCCAATAGATAGAAAATACCTGAAACTGGTGATCAGCAGCTTCCTAATAAGATCTCAGGAGTTGGGCTACTGGGCTCAAGCATGTGCATTAAGAGGCAAAATGGCAGAGTTTAATAGGTATATGACCTTCCTCTAGGAATGCTAGACTGGTAAGGAAGGAACGCCTCAAGTGAGCATGCGTACAACTCCAGTAAACACACTGCACATGCATCCCCTCCCAAGTACCAGCACACAACTATGCATGTGGACAGCCCACCCCAAGGAAAGAGTCAGGAGAGAAGTAACCCAAGACCCTGGAAGTATCCCAACATATAAAACTCCAAGTCAAAAGGTCGAACTGCACACTTGATCTCTCAAGTCACCCGCGTGGCCCTCTTCCAAGTGTACTTTACTTCCTTTCACTCCTGCTCTAAAATTTGCCTCGGTCTCTCCTTCTGCCTTATGCCTCTCAGTCAAATTCTTTCTTCTGAGGAGGCAAGAATTGAGGTTGCTGCAGACCCATACAGATACATTCTGCCACTAACAGAGGTAGGATATGAGTCTTGTTCTGCCTGGAATCAAAGCTGTACTCATTAGCCCTCAAAGAAGTCATGTTAGGCCCTGCCTGGCTCCCACACTCATGATAATAGAAGTAAACAGGAAGCTAAGGCCACCAACTACTTGCCCTGTTTCATTGAAAACCGATGTCCAGGAATTCAGGGAACAAACCCAACACTCATCATTGAGCCACATTTGCTATGTTTTATCAGCCTTGGCGTGCAATACTCTTAAACAGACCCCTATCTTCCAAAAAACGTAGGCCCCCTTTCTATTCTAGAATTGGCACTCAGATCCCTCTCCTGTTCCCTGTGCCTAAGTCCCCTAATAAATTGTCTCATATACTAGGCCCTTGCCCTGGGCCTCACCTTCTTCTTGCTAGGTTCTTACCAACACCGAATCCTGGACCCACACCCAGTGTCTACGGCCACTGCAGCTAGATCTGTGTTCTTGCCATCAACCCAGAGGGTGACAGAGCTCACAGAGCCCCACATGCCTGGTTTGACTACCCCACACAGCAGATAACTCAGCATCCTGGGCTCTGAGCCAAGGAGTGGTGAGATAACCCCTGAAGACACTTCCAACTCTAACATTCTACCCTGTAAGCCTGAATACTCAGTCATAAGCTAAGAAGATATTTTTTTAATGTTAAAAAAAAAAAGAAAGAAAAGAAAAATAGGTTTAACTTACAGTCCTAGGTTGTACTGAGTCAAGGCCAGGGTATCGTCTTAGAACACAGAGAGTTGACAATTAAATAAACACGAAGAATACCAGGCTTCTCCCCGGGGCCTGGGCAGGGTTAGACAGTGAAATAAGCACAAGCCCGGGCTTGTCAGCCTGGAACAAGGAGGCATCTGCCTAGAGTTAGCCTAATATTTGCTGAGTAACTCCTGCATTCTCTCACCAGGAGGCACAACATCTAGAGACAGCACCAGACAAAACTGAGATGTCAATAGAGATCTTCAAAGTCAGCGAATGTCTCCTTCTCTCCACCCTTTGTCCTACTTAGTGAATTATCTGAGATCAGGAGTTAAACAGACTTGGGCTGAAATCCAAACTCTGCTATTTACCAACAATGGACAAGTCATTTAAACTCTTTGAGCCTTAACTTCTCAACCTGTAAAATGGATATGATGCCTATCTCACAGCAATGTTGTAAAGATTAAATGTTACTAGCATGTTTGGCACCCTGTAGGATTTCAGTAAAAGTTATTATAATTCTTCTTTCCTTATCCCCTGCTTCAGCCCAACCCTTTAGTACCAGAGATCTTCCTACTGTCTTTAGTTACTCAAAGTTTCCCATGCAAATTTTCCTCCTGTCACTTTATATTACTTAGATGGACAAACTCCTAAATCACCTATTTTTCCTCCCTACTTACTACCTGCCAAAATGCTGATAACTTTAATGCTAATGAGTAATCTTTCATAGTAAAAACATTATAGAGAAAACCTCTTACGGTTTTACTGGCTTCCCAAACACTGCCCTAAACTTCAAAGAGTTTAAAGTCCAGAAGGTAGAAAAAAGGACCCCAACCCTTAGCAGAGCACTACCACTTTAATCCATCTTATTTATTACATTTCTGGATTAAGCTTTCATTTAGAATATGTAATAGATTCTCCCCATTTTTAAAAAGTGAAAGAAGAAAAACTCCTGCTTTATAATATTAGGGGGATCTTCAAGTCTCATGAAAACCCTAATTCACATTAAATCTATTTTCTCTAAATCTGGCTTTATTAGAAAAGCCTGTTAGTATCCATTATTGAATAATGCCATCTCCTTGAATGAATCAAAGAGGGAGAGCCAATATAGAATCTTAAAGGTATCAGAAAATAAATCTATTTTCATCAGTCCACTGCAGCTTTCCAGTGGCCCTGTGTGTAGCATGTCAGATGCCCTCATTCTTAGAAGTTTATTATTTTTAGATTGTGCCTAATTTAGATCCTTCTACAAAATTATGACCCACTTCACCATCCATGAATTTCTACTGGGAATGTGCAAGTGGGAAGAGTAGAAAGGATGGGCTTTTAATGATGTGGATATTCGAAATAGGTTGTTGAATGCTTTTTTCTAATTCAAAATGAAGAAAGATTTACAAAAAACAAAACCTCTACTACATATGAACATTAACTGGCTGTCTGCCAAGTCTTCTAGATTCCCTCAGAATAAGAGCCCAATATGGACAAGGGGAAACCACTCTCCGTCAGGTTCATGAGGAATACCTGGGCTCTGATAAGTTCATTCTCAGTGTATGTATGTAAAATTAAGATGATAGAACATGACATTAAAAGGTGATAATTATATATATGACTTCATTAATGAGAAAAAAGGGTTTCTTCACTTTCAATTAATCATGTTATATTTTATTGCATAATATTATACACATTAGTAAATGCTGAGTCAATATCTTAGATTAATTCCTGATGACAATAAGAAAGAAAATTGATCAGTTACTCTTAGGCACGTACAGTGATTTTTCTCAGTTCACTTGGAAGCAGGTATTAACTTATTACTGCAGTGGATGAAGGAGTAACTTAATGACTGGGAAAAAATACGGTGATGGAGTATTAATAGTAAAGTTACAACATTAATTAAAATGTAAATAGTATATCTAATTATTCATGGTAATTTACACTAAATTTAGCAACTTCTGTGTGCCTAAAACAAACATAGAAGGGGACCTCTAAATTCCTTTTCTTTTCTTTTATACGGAAACTGAAGTCTCCAAAGATTAAGAAACTTGCTAAGGTCACATAGCTAGTAAGTGGTAAGGACACTGTTTTAGCCTGGGCCTTTGTGAATCTAATCTTGTTGCTGTTCTGAGAGCATGCACTGCTGTTTCCTGTGCAGTCCCTCCTCAAACTGTCCACTATAACTCTATCCATGGAATCACTCCCTCAGCCATAATATAGTTGGGTCCATTAAGTAGCCTGAGCCTCTGACCAAAAAATATTCTTGTTAAATAGCTGAGATGTCACTCTGGACCTTCTGCAAAGGAAATGGTTTCCTTTTCTTCTCTTATTTGGCTCTGTCTTCTCCAGTCTTTCTGTCTACAAACACACCAATCCCACACCATCACCGTCACCATCTCACACACACACTCAGTTTAAAAATCTTCCCCTTTCTTGCTATCATCTCAAACTCAAGTTCTATTTTTTTATCCTTGCTACTAACCTTCTTTCCAATAGTCTATATTCATTTTTTCTATTCACTCCTAAATCTCTTACATTCTAACTTCTACTCCCAATGCTTTTTCGCACTGTACTTTCAAAGCCTTTCTTTTTACCAAATTTAAGGGAAGTTTCTTGGAATCCTCATCCACTTGACATTTTTGTGTCTTGGGTAGACATCTCCTTTTTCTCCAAACCCCTTGTTTCTCTGGTTGGTTCTCATGAGACTGTGTTAGTAGGTTTATCTTGGTATGTTCTCCTTCTTCCTTGATGGGCCCCACATGAAGATGATCCCCAGAATTATGTTCTCAGCCCTCTTGTCCCTATACAGTAGCCCATGGTGATGTCATTCCCTGCAAAGTCCTTAACTATCACTTCTCAGGAGATGATTCCCAAGCTCATTGCACTAACTTCAGCCTCTCTTCTAAACCTCAGACTTGTATTTCCAGCTGCCTTTTGAACATATCTAAGTGATATGTTAATATCCAAACCACAAACTCGGTATGTCATAAATCTAATTCATCTTCTCCATGAGAAAAACTTAACCTGGCTTTGTAATATTTCCTCCTCAAATAAGATCAAATTTTGGAGTTACCCTTGACTCTTCTCTTTTCACAATGTCTTGTAAAAATCTGTTTTGCTAAGTCATATAAATTCAATTTTCTCATTGTTTATCTCTTTCTAGCTTCTGTATTGGCCTTTCTACCATTAGTATATCCTTTTCCAAATCTACTGTATACATTGCTGTTAGATAAATCTCTCCTAATCACAGCATCAATAACAACATCAATCATAAACATTTAATGATCATCTACTTTGTACAATGAGCAACATCATTATCTTATCAGATTATCATAATTCCTGGAGGTAGGTACTAAAAATCTTTATTTTTATTGTAGAGAGGAAGATAAATGTTCCAAGAAATATAATCTTGCTCAAGGAAATTCATCACATAAAGAGCAGGCTATGGATTTACATCCATGGTCTATCAGATACCCACGCTCATGTACCAAATCATCTGCCTGTCAAAAGCTTTCAAGGGCTCTTCTGCCTGTTTTCCTTTCCTGTCACTCCAGTTCCCCATCTGCAAAGTCCCAATAAACCTTCCCAGCGTGGTTTTTCACTGATGCCCTCTAAATAGCCTACAATTGAATCCAATTCTAGTTCAGCACTCCCAACCCTTTCAATTCATTGCAATCTGTAATCTCTGTTTAGACTCTACCCAATATAACTCTTTTATCAAGATTCTACCTCTTCTTTAAGACCGATCTCAAAGCCCCATCCTCCAGAAAGCCCTTCCTTGTTCTCTGTGTTAAGTGAAATCTCTCCCTTTCTGAGTCTGTGCAGTACTATTTTTGAGATGAGAAATTTCTCATTTTGTGCTTTATATTATTTTTATGTCTGCCCCTTTTATATCCTTCAACAAAAGGTAAATTCCTTGAGAACATGGACTCAACCTGACATATCTGGGTGTCCTCTGTAATTATTGCACCAGGGCCTCTGGAAGTGTGCACTAGACAATGCATGTAAGTTCTGTTCAAGCTCTGCTGAACTAAAAACCAGAAGTCCTAGGATTCTGAAGCAAATGGGCATCTGGCCTAGTTCCTGATTTTACTTTAGCTTTCTTTTCATAAAACAATTCTCTGATCTATTTAAAATCTCAATTCTAATTCTACTATTTTTCAGCATTTCTTTTATCCCAAAGGAGACCCCCTTCCTCAATGAATAACATCACTCCAGTCACAGAGTAAAGAACTGGCACTTTTATTCCAAAGCACTCTTTACATAAAGCCCAAAATAACCTTGAACTCTCAATTTGCCATTTCCTATTGTGCTTCTTTCCAATGCAGTTAGCAAATCAAAGGGAAACCATTTTTTAAATGCTTATCTTTTAGGTTGTTCTCACTTGGATGACAATAAGACACCATGATATTTTTTTTTTACTAGTCATGTTCTTGTTGCAATGCAGAGCCCCCACTGAATTCTTCTGAATATAGTTCAGTTATATCTTTTGCCACTTAACATCATTTATAATCTCTATAAATAATTCTGAATTAAGTATGCAAAGTATATTAAAAATATCACTTTCATCTGCTTCTTACATAATGCAAAACTGTTTTTCCAAACAGTGCAGTGTGTCTTTTACTAGAGCAGTGCTTTGCCTAAATATAAACATGGAATTTAAGAATACTCCTATGTGAAATTCCTCATTTTTTTCTACTTTTTATTTATTTTTTAGCACACTCCAGCCTCATATATAAAATTCTTTAGATGACCTGGTTCTTGTGAAAGCAAGAACACACACATCATTCTGCTCATGGCATTTTTATGTAAACCTACTGTGGTGAATCCAGACTGAGTGTTAAAAATGTTACTCAACCCTCAAGCTCTAGCTGTTTGTATGAATGGATGGGTCATTTGGCCAGGCTCTCTTATTACTAATATCCACAAGTAAATGGGTTTATTAACATGATAGTTACTTATTAGTAAATAAACAAAATTATCAAACTTGTAAATATTATACTTAATTTTTCTTTTTCTTTTTGTAACCCTTATTGGAGGATCAATTTCCTTCCATAAAAGTGACGTTTCCTAAAATATTGCATTATATATTTTCATTTCCTAATGCTATTGAATTTACTAATATGATTCATCATTTTTAATCAATGAAATTGTGTTGTGGTTTGGCTAAACAGCAACTAAGGTTTAATTAAGTTTTTAGCTTCTGTGAAGGGAAAATCATCATTCTTATAAGGAAAAGAAAAATTGACCACTTGGGAGATTTTAGGAAATTAAAACATGCAACAATTTGACTGGGCATTATTTCTTTGATAAGCTTTTCCAACATATCAATGTAAGAGCATTACATTTTTCAACGTCATGTTAATATGCAAAGAGGAAACAATGATTGTCCAAATATTTGATGTGTCTAAATGACTCAGTCTCTTAAGCCAAGAAAATGAAAAGAACACCTGTTTCACGTTTCTGTTGTAAGAATCATGAATGACGTATCAAAATTTTTGTAACTTATAGAGTTCTATAAAGATATGAAAGACATCCTTTTCATCAACCACTCTGTACAAATGAAAGTTCATTATATTTAGATTTTTTTTAGGCATCAGTTTTTTGTTTTTAATAAATTGCTATTTCCAACAAGATCTTTACCTTTGTCCAGACAAAATGAAGAAATACATACTTTTTTCTTGGAACTTTGAATAATATTTACTGGTATATTAACAATTATATTTTCTGAAGGACCAATTTCATTAAATGTATATGTCAAGCTGCCTAGCGGAAAATAATTTATATTACCTGGAGAGGTAAAATAAATCAAAAGTCAGGTAGTCCAGTGGTCTACTGGACAGGCTTTTGAATCAGAGACCCAAGTTCAAATCATTTCTCTAGGACGTATAAGCAGTGTGACATTGGCCAAGTTACTTAATGACTTTAAACCTGAGTAAATACCTATCCCACAGGATTGTAGCAAGAATTTCTGTAAAGCACTTAGCCCAATACACCCAATAGATTGTAGCTACCATACAATTGTGAAAAGCAATGTATTTGTTTCCAACACCATGTTACTTGTTTCTCAAAACACCTCTGTAGAATGCATAAGGCAGGTAGAATACATTGAAGACTTCTACAGCTGGATCAGTAACAGAAATCTGCTAATCTCCAGACCTCCGTATCCAACAGGTACAGACCATATCTTCTCAGATATGCTATAAGCATGTCAAACTCTGCAAGTTAAAGACAAGTTCATTGCATTACTTTAAAATAACCTGCATTTATACCTCTATTTTCTCTTTGTGAATGGTTCCAGTATTCTCCCATCTGGCCCAGATGATTTGGGGAATCAGCCTTGACTTCAACTCACTTATCTCAGTGCCAATCCATCCAGTCACCTGGACCTGCCCATCTACCTCCTTAATTTCCCTTAAATAATTTACCTTCTCCTCATCCCACTGCAGCAACCTTAGTTCAGGTCTTCACTGTTCCTCTATTGGCTCCCAGCTGGTCACTCTAACTTGTCTTAGCAACCTCCCCATGCTGCTACAAAAGTGATCTTTCTAAAATGTTCACTAACCCCTTCATGATTTGCTTCACTCTCTTCCTCTACTCACATTCTTTGTTCAAACTATATGGAGTTAATTTGAACTTCTCCAGATACATCATATTATTTAATGCCTCTGTGACTTCGTACCTACCACTGCCTCAATCTAGAATACTCTTCCACCATTTCTCATTAATTCTGTTTGTCTTTCAAATCTCAACTCAGGGACTTTCTCCTTCATGAAGACTTTGCTGACCCCACCAAAGTGTCTTAATTACCCCTTTGGGCACCAGTTGCCCCTTGGGCATTGTATCTATTATGAAATTCTGCACAGTGCTTACTACTCTATATTATATGCCCTTTAGAGGCAGGCATCAAGGTTTTTTGGGTTGTTTGCTTATTTGTTTGTTTGTTTGTTTTGTCTCTGTCTCTAGCCAAGAGTATGACAAATGCATCAATTTTTATATATCATACATCAAATGTCAAAGGAGGAAAAGAAAATAAGCTAAGGAAGTCTAAAATACTGGTGATATCTCATAAAGTATTCCCATCAGTTAGCTCCTATAGGAAAACAACACCAGTATAAAAGAGCCAAGAAATATTTATCTTACAAAATCCCCTTTAGACACTTTATTTGGAAAGGTAAAAGGAATTTGGTGGATAAAGTAGAAACCGTAATGCAAGATGGGTTAAAAGTGATTCTTTTTTATTGTTTTGATGAGCAAGCTTTTGTTTTTTTTGTTTGTTTGTTTGTTTTTTGTTTTTTTCCCTTTGCATTTGGATAAAACTCTTTAATTTGGGAAAGGTAAAATGCCAAATATCCAATAATGAAATAAAGCTTACTAATAGAGACATAGTCATTAAAACAGTGAATTCTAAATGTAATGTGGAACCTGATGGTAAGCATATTTCTCAGATTATTCCAGACGTTGGAATTTTAAAATACTATAAGTGGAATGAATACTTTCGTACCACATAGGAGGTATCTATTCATTAACTGTAAAAACAGTGACTAATCATTTGCAATAACTGCACCTTTATGAATTTGTCTTTTCTTAATTACTAACATTCCTTTGAAATGATGAATATGAAAGAAACATTCTTGAGTAAGATCCTAAAAGCCTACTTAGGTCTTTTAGATAAACAAGACATGATTTTTCATGAGATCTAATATCCACTTTTTTTCCTCAGAATGGTAGCACATTGAAATCTGAGCAACCATATAAATTCATACTTATGCTACTTATTACTAAGGCAATGGTGTTTTCTGCTTTGTACTGCAATGTAAAAATAAATTCTTTTCTAAATTTTTGATTGTTTCATAGCTTAATGGAAAGTAGCCTATGTCAAATGTTACTTTTGTTTATCTGGTAGGTTTGTACAGAATAGCAAAAATCATTGATGTTTCTTTTGCATAAAAAATCTTTGGTTTCAACCGAAAATAAAAAAAACTTTGGAAGTATAGTCTACCAACCAGATTATTTGCTGGCTTTTTTTGATACAGTAGATGCCACAGCACAGCAAGATTCTATTGATATCTAACAGGAATGTAAATAAAAGGGCTTGCCAATTGGAAGCACTGTAGCCCAAGGGGCAGGAACATGTGACTGTGCATACATGTGCATACACACATACCTACATGCATAGCTCTTGACAGCCCAGAAAAAACAAGAGAACTTCCCAGGTCCCTTTTGATCCCTAACTCTTCCATTGTAAAATCTAGTGAGATACACTGCTAGTCTGTCTACTGTGGACTCCAGCTTTCTGTCTTTTTCTGTGCCCCTTTCTTTAAATCTCTCTATGGTTCACAGTTCAGAATTACGTTTAGGCTCATTCTAAAAACCACTAGAACCCCATCTCTTGAGGATGAAGCTGAAAATATGGGGCAAGGGTATGTTATAAAATGTTTGAATATTAATCTTCCACACTAATTCCAATTTTTAATCAATTACTATGTGCAATCCAAGAACTTTGATCCAAGAGTCTTAAGTGCAAGGCACATCTGAGAGACTGTCAGGTCTTGATATACAATGAGAGTCAGTCTGGCCTAATGGGAAATGAGATTTAAACTGGCACATATTCTTATACATGGAGACTGTAGAATAAGACAGGAACCCCAATAAATCTAACTCTCAATCATACTTACCTCCAGAAGATTTTCCCTACAAAATCTCATGCCTGCTAGCCTCATGATAGAAGCCACACCTATGGCTGAATCTATGGCAATTTCCCCAAGGACAATTAAGTGAGGCTCTAATTAAGGAATCACCTAAACCTGACTTGGGCTCAAATAACCCTTATCTGAAATTGAATAAACAAATTCATACCTTAAAATAGCATGGGATAATTTAATAGTAAAGGTCTAGCACACTCCATTGAGAACTAGTCAATGCCAGGATTATAGCGTCACTTGGCATTTGGTTAACCTTGAGAAGAGAAGGAGACTTTTTTTCTATATAATAATCATTAATGGTATTAAAATTATTCAATGCTATGTGTTCAAGCCACTTACTGCTGGGGTTTCTGGGATTCAGAACCCTTTGGAGGTAGACTAGTATCTGAGGGGAAATTACATGAAACCCCCAAAAAACCTGTGAGTTGCTTTATTGAGTAAGGTGATAATAGTGGGATAAGAAAGACAGTAATGAGAGGGTGAAGAGAGAGAGTGTATAGGGTCACCAAACAGGAAGTCAAAAGGCTAGAGTTCTAAATAATGGCATGACCTTAGCCGAGGCACTTCGACTGTTGAGTATTTATTTGCAACTCTTCAGAAAGAGGGGACTGTAACTTCCATTTCTAGCAAAGGCCATTGAGGAAACTTTCTCTCTACTGGTAAGTGGATATACAGGGTACAATATAACTTACGAATCATGCTTGAGATTTTTTAGAGTGGTGAAAAGAAAGCAAAATTCTCAGATAGCAAGCAAGAAAACAAAGTTGAAAGCCAGAGTGGCAGCTCTGGAGTCTCAGGAATGGCAGGAGGTAACTTTTTACTCCCCCATGGGACACATTAGGAGACCTTGGGTGTTGAGGAGAAGTAGGTATTAAAATCTTGCATAAATCTAGGCCCCTCTGAGGGTTGCAATTCTAGTAAGGAAGGCCTAATACATCCTCAAACCTACAGCTCAAGGAAAAGACAAGGAAACTGCTCTGTATCCTGGCTCTAGATGAAAAAATAAAAGCCTTTAGAGAGAATTGTAAACTCTAGTTTTATGTTTCTCATGAGTTTGGAATGCAAATTTACATTAGACATGTGGTGCAGGAAACTCCAAGGCCAGAAATTGATAACAGCAACAACAAAAATGGCCCTGTAGTGGTGCTACACTCAAGCCTGCCTGTAGCAGAAATACATGCAAAACTGCTGTGGAGGGACCTTTCACCACCCAGCTTTGTAGTCATCCCACAGAGAAAAAACAATTTTCCTCATTGAAAACTCAAAATCACGTTCAAAAATTTCAAAGCCCCAAAGGAAGCCTTCTGCAACAAGGGGCTCAGCATACACGAAAACCAGGCAATTAGTACCCCAAGATCTCAAATTTTAGAACCATAATTTAGTGAGGTAATTATGCATTGGATTGTGTTCCCCCTCAAAATTCATATGTTGAAGTCCTAACTCCAAGTATCTTACAATGTGACCTTATTTGGAAATAGGATCATTGCAAATGTGACAGGATAAGGTCATGCTGAAAAGAGTGGGAACCTAATCCAATATGACTGGTGTTCTTTTAAGAAAAGGAAATGCAGACACAGAGTCAGACACACACACAGGGAGAACAGCACAGGAACATGGAGGCAGAGGCCAGAGCTATGCTTCCACAAGTCAAGGAAGGCCAGAGATTCCAGCAAAGCACGAGCAGATAGATTCCTCCTCACAACTTTCAGGTGCTGACACCTTTTTTTCAGACTACTAGCCTTCAGAATTGTGAAATAATAAATGACCATTGTTTAAGCCTCTTTGTTAAGCAGCCCTAGAAAATCAATTCAAAAATTATAAAGTAGGTGATATGGTTTGGCTTTCTGTCCTCACCCAAATCTCATCTTGAATTGTAATCCTCATGTGTGGAGGGAGGGACCTAGTAGGAAACAGTTGGATCATGGGGGCCGTTTCCCCGATGCTGTTCTTGTGATAGGGAGTGAGTTCTCATGAGATCTGATGGCTTTTGTAGTGTTTGGCAGTTCCCCCTCCCCATCTCTCTCTCCTGCTACCATGTATGATATGCCGTGCTTCTGCTTTACATTCCACCATGATTATAAGCTTCCTGAGGCCTCCCCAGCCATGCAGAACTGTGAGTCAATTAAACTTCGTTTGTTTATAAATTAACCAGTCTCAAGGAGTTCTTTAAAGCAGTGTGAAAACTGACTACTATAGTAGGTATGCTAAAAATGAGTAAAGAGATGCAGAAATGTTAAAAAAAAAATACAAGAAAAAAAGACATTGCAAAAAAATAGATGTTGCATAAGGATAAATATAGATGTTCTCAATTAAAATCTCCATAAGCAGGTTAACCATTATGTCAAGCACAACTAAATAAACTCATTTATATTGATATATTAGTGAGGATACTAGCTAGATTGCAGCAAGAATGATAAAGAGATTAAAATTTGAAATAAAGAGTATAAAATGATAGGGTCTAATATCAAGCCAAATAGGAGACACAGAAGGAGAAGATAGAGAAAATGGAGGATACTCCAAGAAGTAACAATAAACAAGAATTTTTCAGAGTTCATGAAAAATATCTGTCTCCCAATTGAAGAAACTTTACTTGATCTAAGGTAGAATAAATAAAAATAAATTCCCAACAATATGATTATAGGGAAACCATAGGAGATCTAAAAGCAGCTAATGAGAAAAGATAATTCACTTAAAAAGAGATAACAATTAGACCGACAGCTGACTTAACAACAGCAGTGGAAGAGGACAGCAGAAAAAACTAACTTTAATGTGCTGAAAGATAATTAACTGTCAATACTAGCATTCTACATGTAATTGCCTAAAGGTTGTATTTCTGAAAGAAAATTGAATACAAAATGAAAGAAGCAATAAGGAGCAAAGGAATTAAAAGCATGTAAGTAAATTTAAATCCAACTATAATACACATTTGGTTGAACCCTATTGGTAATTACATGTGATTTGATTTACTTGTAATGACTAACTTTGAGGATGTTAAAAGTCAAATGAATGGGTGTATATATTTGACAATATTCACCCAATTGTACACTTAACATGTATGCATTTTATTTTATGTAAATCATGGCCCAGAAGTTTATTTTTAAAACAAACAGAACCGAAAAGGTATATAACAACAAATTAGATAAAGGGAAGGATGATGTTTTAGGCATTCTAATATATTAAATTGTTAGAGAGGAGTATAGGGATATGGCTAACTTTAGATTGTATCAAGGTGCACATGCACATTGAATATTCAAAGGTACTACTAAAAGAATGATGGGAAAAGAATGTAAGTCCTAAGGGTAAGGGATGGTGTGCTCTTCATTCTTCCTTTGGTGTGACTTTACAAAAGTAACACAGGCATGGAAATCTTGCAGCAGTAACCAGTCAGGAGGAGTCACATAGATAATCTGGAAAGCCGTTATTAGAAAGTAACTTAAATGAAAACAAAAAATAGAGAACAGACATACAGATACTTGAGGATATGCTTACAGGTCAGAAATCAAGAGTTTTTTTTTTAAGATAATGAAGGAGAAACGCCAAGCAATTCACGATCTCACAGAACACAGAAAATAATAAGATGCAATAGGGCTGGAATAGGGACATTGTTGCAGTTTGGTATTAAAAAAGTGAAAATTAGGAGAATGCATAGGTGCCTGTAGACAAAGCAATTTATTGATCACAGTTAATAGATACATGATTACAAGAATTTGGAGAAGGAGAAAACTTCTGTAAATTTCTAGGTCAGTTTCTTTATTTAACAGATGAATACACAGGGGTCTGGAGAGGCTAGTAATTCATGCTACAACATTTGTATTCCTGAACAATCAACTGCTACCATATTCTTTCGTCCAATAGTAATTACATTTTTCACACCAGAAACAAAGATTTATGTAACACCTTGAAAAATACGTTTGAAAAAATGTGCTATTCAGGACAATTATTTCAGTTAAGATAGCTAATTGGGTACTTACAGTAGTTAGTGTATTTGCACACTTAATTAACTATAATTTATTTAAAAGTATTCTAATATGAAAATACTGGGAGAGGCATTTGAGGCTTAAACTATTCTTTTAAAAAGTTTTATTTTTGTTCATTTCTTTTGCAGTACCAAGTAGAAGTAAAATCTTATTCCATTAAAGGAAAATCATCAAGTGGAACTAAAAATACAAAATGAAAAAAGTGAGTAGGGATAAAATGTTGAAACTAAATAAAAACAGATCATTTGCCACTCTTTCAAAGATTACAAAAAAAACAATTTAATCTAAGTAAGGATAAGTTTCAAATAAAATATAATAATAATAGCTGTGTGATATGGTAGAAAGTGTTGCAAACGAAGACTGTCCAGATTTTAACACCACTTTATCACTGACAAAGTCCTTATGTCGCTTGATCTCAGTATTCTCAACTGTGCAACAGGATTTTGTGGTTACCTTCAAACTCTAAAATTCTGAGATTCTAATGAATTACAGATGCTCTTCAACTTATGATGGGGTTACATTCTGACACACCCATAATAAGTTGAAAATATTGCAAACTGAAAATGCGTTTAATACAAATGCACTTCTACCAAAGATCATAGCTTAGCACATCCTACTTCAAATGTGCACAGAACACTTAAAAGTAGCCTACAGTTTGGCAAAATTATCAACATAAAGTCAGTTTTATAATAAAGTGTCGAAAATCTCATAATTGTTATATACTGTGCACTGTAGAGTACAGTATCAGTTGTTTACCCTTGTGACCATGTAGCTGACTGGGAGCTGTAGCTCACTGCTGCTGCCCAGCATCACAAAAGAATATCGTACCTTACATTGTAAGCCCAGGAAAAGATCAAAATTCAAAATTGTATGCATATTCGAAGTACTGAATGTGAGTGACCTTCACACCATCATAAAATTAAAAATTCCTGTCAAACCATCTTAAGTCAGTGACCGTGTGTAGTTTGATTAAATGAAAACACTTTTCACTGGGGCCAGTTTATCACCTAATAGGTCTGGATCTTCATTCAATCAACTTAGATGGCCTATGTATCCACCTTTGGTTTATGGTAACATGTGCTTATTACTAAATGCCCAAATATTATCTGTGGAGCTAGGAAAAGCAACTGGAGGTGTGTGCAGCTGCAACTGACATATATGAATGTATTTACTCTACCAGGTTGGGAGGTAGGGAAAGCAAAAGCCTCATTATCTTCCTATTTAAGAAACAAACCCTGTAAGGAAGTGCCCTATACATAGTTATTGAATGTTTCATGCCCAGATACTTAACATCTCTGGAATCTGCCTCCTGCTCTCCATTCTTACTGCCATGCCTTAAGTCTGGCCCTGTCAGTTCTCACCCAGAGGCTATAGCCTCCTAATTAGTCTTGCCCTCCTCCCTGCTTTCTCTTTTTCTCTACCAAACCATTTCTCTCAAGGCTATCAGAAGGAGCATGAGCATATCTAAATGAGATTGTGTAAAAGCCTTCAATGGCTGCCCAATACTTCCAAGTAAAGTCCGAAATCCTTAGAGTGGCATCCAAGATCATTAAAGATCTGATTCATGCCTATTTCTCTAGAGTCATCTCTTACTGTTCCCATTTCTTTTTTTTTTTTTTAATTGTACAAGTCAATTCTTTATCCATTCCAAACTATTGCCAGAAGCAGTAAACTTGCACTCACTGCTGCCTTCCTGAGAGTCTCTGCTTTTTCCATTCTGCGTATTCCTTTTCCACTTGGTTTACTCCTAGACTTACCTAATTCCCTCCCTGCCATTTATTTAGGTAAGATGTCCAGAGTACTGTGTGGATACTTATTGGAACTTACCACACTGCACTGTAATAGTTTACTTTTTACCATTGGACTATAGACCCTTGAAGTCAAGAACCACATCTTATTTATCTGTATTCTCTGTAGCTACTATAATTTTTATCTGTGAGATGAATATAAGTAATATTTCATAAACGAATAATTATCTACTTCAGTACATTGTCACAAGATGATCCCTCCTCAAACACAAAACTCTTCACACAAAACCCGGAATACTCAGATTTAAATATTTATACCTTTGTTGCAACTTCAAAAATTCTAAGTTACATATGTATGAATAATGGGTTATGGCAATAAAAGGTTATAGCAATCTGAGAGAAATAAAATGAAAAACATAACATGTGGATAAAGAATATATTTTCTGAAATAGAGCTTTTCATGGAAACTAAGTGACATAACCTGAATACTTCCTGATAGTGAATAAAAATTTGTCAGTAACTATTATTATTATATTAATGTATAGCCTTTACTAAAAGGGTGATATGTTTCATTCTATTGTAAAATGTAACAATATTGATAAGGATGTCTTCAAAATATTGTTTCATTAAAAAACACTAGTTGTGAATAGCAGGTGGAGAACAGTGCCTGTGATTTTAAGATCAAGAGTAGATATGATTTCACATCAATTGTTCTGAGTTCATTACATTTTTAATTACAACAAAAGAGGTTTAATTGGCTCACAGTTCTGCAGACATTACAGGAAGCCTGCAGATAGTGGCATCTGCTTCTGGGAGGCCTTAGGAAGCTTCTAATCATAGTAGAAGGCAAAGGGAAAGCAGGCACATCGTGTGGTGAAAGCAGGAGCAAGGATTGGCAGGGAAGGTGCTGCACACTTCTACATAAACAGATCCTGTGTGAACTCAGAGCTAGAGTTCACTTACCACTGAGGGGATGGCCTAAGCCATTCATAAGTAATCAGCCCTCATGATCAAAACACCTCCCACCAGGCCCCACCTCCAATATTGGGGATTACATTTAAACATGAGATTTGGGTGGGGACAAACATACAAACTATATAATTCTGCCTCTGGTCCCAAAAATCTTATGTCCATCTCAATTGCAAAATACACTCATGCCTTCTCAACAGTACCCCAAAGTCTTAACGCATTCCAGCATCAACTCAATCAAAATTCCCAAGTTCAAGGTCCAAAGTCATAGATGGAGATGAGTTTCTTCCACAAATGAATCTTTAAAATCAAGACAAATTATTTACCTCCAAGATATTGGGTAAGCATTCCCATTTCAAAAGGGAGAAATTGGCCAAAAGAAAGGGGCTACAGGCCCCATGCAAATCCAAAACCCAGAAGGGCAGTCATTAAATCTTAAAATTCCAAAATCATCTCCTTTGACTCCATGTCCCATGTCCAGGGCACACTGGTGTACAGGGAAGAATAACAAGGCCTTGGGATAGATTCCATGCAAGGAGTAGACTCCATGTCCCATGTCCAGTGCACACTGGTGCAAGGGGTAGAATCCCAAGGCCTTGGTAGATTCCCAAGAATCCACCCTTGTGGCTTTTCCATGCTGAGGTTGCAAACTACTGGTTATTCTACCATTCTGGGGTCTGGAGGATGGTGGCCCCTATCCCACAGCTCCACTAGGCAGTGCACCAGTGGGAACTCTATGTGGAGCCTCCAACCACACAGTTCCCTTCCACACTGCCCTAGTAGAGGTTCTCTCTATGGGTGCCACCCCTGCAGCAGGCTTCTGTCTGGACACCAAGGCTTTCTTATACATCCTCTGAAATCTAGGCAGTGTCTGGCCTCCTTTACTTTCACACTCAGCATGCCCACAGGATTAACACCACATGGAAGTCACCAAGGCTTATGGATCACACCCTCTGGAGCTGCAGCCTGAGCTGTACCTGGGGCCCTTGAAGCCAAGGCTGTAGCCAGAGCAGCCAGGATATTAAGGAGCGGCCTCCTGGGTGATACAGAACAGTGCTGCCCTGGGCCTGGTCTCTGAAGCCATTCTTTCATCCTAGGCTTCTGGACCTGTAAAGGGAAGGGCTGCCTCAAAGGTCTCTGAAATGCCTTTGAGGCCTTTTTCCCATTGTCCTCGCTATTTGCACTTGGCTGTTTTTTAGTTATGCAAATTTCTCTAGCAAGTAGTTTCTCCACAGCCCTCTTGTGTTCTTCCCCTGAAAATATGCTTTTCATTTCTACCACATAGTCAGGCTGCCAAGTTTCCAAACATTTGTGTTCTGCTTCCCCTTTAATTATGAATTGCAACTTTAAGTCATTTCTTTGCTCCTATGTCTGAACATAGGCTCTTAGAAGCAGCCATGCTACCTTTTAAATGCTTTGATGCTTAGAAATTTCTTCCACCAGAGACACCCTAAATCATCACTCTTGAGTTCAAACTTCCACATATCCCTAGGGTATGGACACAATGTAGCCAAGTTCATTGCTAAAGCGTAACATGGGTGACCTTTGCTCCAGTTCCCAGTAAGTTCCTCATTTCCATCTGACACCCCATCAACGTGGACTTTACTGTTCACATATTACTTTGAATGGCAAAAACCACAGTTACCTTTGCACCAACCTAATACTATTAGCATTTTGGTCACAACCATTTAACCAGTCTCTAAGAAGTTCCAAACTTTCCCTCATCTTCCTATCTTCTTATGAACCTTCCAGCTTCTTCTAACCTCTGCATGTTACCCAGTTTCAAAGTCATTTCTACATTATGAGGTATCTTTATAGCAATGCCCTCCTCAGTACCAATTTTCTGTGTTAGTCAATTATTGCACCACTGTAAAGAACTACCTGAGAATGGGTGATTTATAAGAAAAGATATTTAACTGGCTTATAGTTCTGCAAGCTGTATTGGAAGCATAGCAGCACCTGCTTCTGCGGAGGCCTCAGGAAGCTTCCAATCATCGCAGCAGGCAAAAGGGGAACAGGCACATTACATGGCAAAAGTAGGAGCAGAAGCTGTTCATTGTTGTTGTTAACACTGAGTTACATGGCTTTGTGACCACAGTAAAACTTTCCAGAAATGTTAGCTATCCATTCAGTAAAATAGCCAAAATTTATTAAGCATTTATTATGTGTCCAACATGGCTCTAAACATGTTACATACATACTCATTTATTTCTCATGACACCCTACAGGGTAAGTAAAGTTATTATCTCCATTTTACATATGAGAAAACGAAGGCACAAAAAAGTAAGTGATAACAGTCATATAACTAATAAGTGGAAGAGCCAGCAATAGACCCAGTACAGTCTGGCTTTGGATGCAATAGTCTCTATACTACCCTTCTTCTATTTTAACAGATAAGGAGTATTGAGTGTATCTACCTCATGAAGCTGTTGCCAGAATTAAGTAAATACCTGTAGTATATTGCATTATTTGCTCCAATTCTTCAGCCTTCCCTGTCTCCATGTTCTTTACCACATGTCTTCAGTGTCTTTCTCTACAGGAATAAATTTTTTCCCTACCCTTTGACTTAAGTGGGCCATATGACCTGCTTTTGCTAATAGAATTGGGAAAAAGTGATGGTGCCTATTGATGTACTTATTCTCTGCCATCACCCTGGGAGAAACATGCCCAGAGAAGAGCAGCCCCTGGTCCCAGGAGGAGGATGACAGAAACATGATACAGAGCTGCCCAGGTGAATGCAGCCTGGATTAGCTAATTCCAGCCAATGCTCAGATAAATGAGGTGAATAAATGTCTATTTTTGTATGTCTCTGAGAGTCTGTCATTGTATACTGCACAGCAGTATAGAATACAATACCTATAAAATTATGTAGACCAATGGCTGGCGTATGGACACTTTCTATAGGCATTAGATGTAATTATATTCTGCAGTCTCTTTGTCTTCGTGGTTCTGTTTTATACAAATGATTCCAAAAGAACACATAGTTCATAATTCTGCTTTTTAACTTTGAGATAAGAGCACATAGGTACTGTGTAGCATTTTTTACTAGACTATAACCTCCTTGAGGACAGGAAATCTGGATTTTTAATTTTTTATTCTCAGTTCCTCAAACAATGCCCAGGGTAAGGGCTCAATAAATGTCGATGAAAAGACTATTTTTTTTCTGTTTCTCAATTCAAGCTTTTCCAGGGTTAAGCTACTATTTCATAGAAAGATAGGACAAGCACTTTGGAACCCAGTTAGCCACATACTGCATCATATCCATAGTTTCTACAGGATAATCTTTTATGTTAAGTCTATTACAATGAATGTATTTTATTTCTTCAGTAATAAATTTCCAAAGAAAATCAACTTTGGGGTTCTAATCTGTTACTGAAATAGTAACTTGTTGCAAAGAACTAAAAAACACCATTGGATGAGTCTATCGTGCTGCCACCAGTTACAAGGAAACAGACATGCCTCCTAGCCTGCTCACCAAGTTAAGAATCTCAAACTACGCCACCCTGCCAATCTTTACTCTTTTCAAACACTAATAAAATTATACACTATATCTACCAGCTCTATCTACTATGACTATATCAAGTAGAAATTTACAAATAATTGCTGGAAGCAGCATACCCCCTGCTTCACCATCTGTATTTGGAGTTACCAGAGGAATTACTCTGCCCAGGCCCTTTGAGGTTCCTGGAGGTCCCCTCCTATCTAGACCCTAACTATCCTAGCACTCCCAAGGATTTTTGTTTGCATGTCAAGCTTCCAGTTCCCAAATCCACACTCATTTCTACCTTGTTGGGTCTGCTCTGGGTCTCTGATTCTCCATAACTAGTAAATACCCCTAAATACCTGCAATTTAGTAGGGAAAAATAGCAAAACTTCCCATTTCCTTTCCTTTAGCATTTCTTTTTCTTCTTTCATCTATTTTTATTTTCCTCCAGGAAAATAAATTTTAAAAATTGCCTTACACTGTTCATGGAAGCCACTAGCAAACACTGCAGTACTCTTAATGGTGATGATTCTCAGTTGAAATATTTAATTATCCCCTTTCACCCCATACACACACAATACAGGCCAATGAATCTCTACAACTATGTTGTGTTACAGAAGTGATGTGAGCTGCCCTGGCAGACGGACAAGAAAGAAAGTGAATACTATTTCAGGTACCTTTATTTCCTTCCCTAAACCTGTTAAAAGTGTTATGTATAAGACTTTAAAAACTATATGAGTTACTTATTTCACATGTTTATTGCTGACTTTTGTTGCCTTCTCTTAAGCTAAAGTTCTGTCTTATGAGGCGAATCATATAAACAGTGAAGTTTTAAGAGTTCTTCTATGAATAAACCCTGTAAAACCACCAAGAAATTAGCATTACTCAAAATTCTTCCAAATATCAGTATTTTCATCATCCTACTCAACTATTTAATAAAAAGCTCATATTCAAGAGATACATAATCAGCATAATATATATATTTAAAACAAGAATAAAATATGAAAGGTCTGCTTTCTTTCTGCATCACTGATTTTTACTGTTTCCTTTACCCTCAACTTTAAGGTATGTTCAGTTCCATATAATTACTTATGTAATATGCATTTATAAAGTGCTTGAACATTTTAAAAGTAAGTATCAAGAAACTATCAATGGTAATGTTTTAAAGATGCTAAAAAATTATTTTCACCTAGGCAAACCATATAAACATCCAGTTTTCTTTAAAAATTTCAATAGGCATCCGTAATTAGGGGTATTTCCTGATTTCCATCCTAAAGGAGATTGCCTTTTTTTTGTTTTTTTTAGATGGAATCTCACTGTGTCACCAGGCTGGAGTGCAGTGGTGCAATCCCACCTCACTGCAACCTCCGCTTCCCGGGTTCAAGCGATTCTCCTGCCTCAGCCTCCCGAGTAGCTAGGACTACAGGCGTGCGCCACCACGCCCAGCTAATCTGTGTATTTTCAGTAGAGACAGGGTTTCACTATGTTGGCCAGGATGGTCTCGATCTCTTGACCTCGTGATCTGCCCACCTCGGCCTCCCAAAGTGCTGGGATTACAGGAGTGAGCCACTGCGCCCGGCCCAGACTGCCTTTTCGGTGAGAAGAACAATTTGTGGGGTTGAACTACCTGATGTCAAATAAGAATTACAGCAGGAGTTAGTTATATAAAAATAGTTTCCCACAAATACTAACATAAGAAATATCAAATATCTTGTCATATTTCTAGTATTAAATTTCTTTTGCTTTTACAGTAAATTGTTTGGAGGATATAAGGTTTACTTCTAAGGAGATAAAAAGCAATTGATGCTTCCTCAAAATAAAAAAGTTGACTCCAGCCATGTTTTTATTTGTTGAGAAATATTCTATATCTACACTATGGGATACAGACTAACAGTTATTTACCTGTCTATTGAGTACTTGTCACCTAGGAGTCATCAGTAAGTTGCATCCATTAAACAAAGAAAAGTCATTCAACCAGCCATCTGGAGACAACATGGTAAGCAGAATTCTAAGAAGGCTCCCAGGATTCCTGCATCATGGTATAACATACTCTATATAATGTCCTCCTCTTGAGGGTGGGTGGCACTATTTCCCTATTGATTTTCTGTATAGATGATCTGTCCATTGTTAAAAGTGGAGTACTGAAGTCTCCAATGTTATTGTATTATAGTCTACCCTACCCTTCAGATCTATTAATATTCGTTTTATATATTTAAGAGCTCCAATATTGGATACATACATATTTAAAATTGTTATATCCTCTTGATAAATTGACCCCTTTATTATAATATAATGTCCTTCTTTGTCTCTTTTTATAGTTTTTGACTTATAGTCTATTTTGTTTTATATAACCATAGCCATGCTCACTCTCTTTTGGTTACCAGTTTCCTGGAATATTTTTTTCCAAACCTTCATTCTCAATCAATATGTGCTCTTAAGGCTAAAATGAGTCTCTTTATCCATTTAGCCACTGTTTCTTTTAGAGAATTTAATTTATTTATGTCAAACGTAAGTATTGATAGGTAAGGACTTGCTACTGGCATTTTGTTAATTTTCTACCGATTGTTTTGTAGTTCTTTTGTTCTTCTCTTCCAATTTTGCTGCCTTTATAATTTGTTATATTGTTGTAATACTATGCTTTGATTCTTCTTTATCTTTTTTGTATCTACTAGACTTTTTTGCAGTTTTCATAAGGCATACATAAAACATCTTATCGTGTCCTAATTTAAGCTGATAATACCTTAACTTCAATTGCATACAAAGACTCTACAATTTTACTTCTCCTCACCACCATATTTTATGCTATTGATGGAATACTTTATATTTATTTCTATTGTATATCTTTTACCAATTATTTGTAGCTATAGTTATTGTAATACATTTGTTTTTGAACTTTTGTACTAGAGTTAAGAGTGATTTACACAGCACCTTTACAGTATTAGAGTATTTTGAATTTGACTATGCATTTGCTTTTATCAGTGAGTTTTATATTTTAATATGTCTTCATGTTGATACTTGTCATCCTTTTGTTTCAACTGTAAGAGCTTCCTTTCATATTTCTTGTAAGGCCAATCTCATGATGATAAGCTGCCTCATCCTTTTCTTGTTTTCGAATTTCTTTATCTCTCCTTCATTTCTTAAAGACAGTTCTTCAGTGTATAGTATTCTTGGCTGGCAATTTTTTCTTTTAGCATTTTGAATGTGTCATTCCATTCCCTTCTGGTTTGCAAGGTTTCTGTTGAGAAGTCTACTGATAGTCTTATGGGACATCCTTTATATTTGACAGTTTCTTCTCTCTTGCTGCTTTGAAGATTCTCTCTTTGCCTTCGATTTTTGATAATCAGATTATAATGTGTCTCAGAGTTTCCTTTTTAAATTGATATTGGTTAAGGTCTTTTGAGCTTCCTGAATACGTATGTCCATATTTCTCCCAAGAATATGTCCATATTCCTTCCAAGGAGTGTTGATGGGTATGGCTTCCTTCAGGTTTCTGGGAGGGCTCCTGATGGGTCACTGGATGGATCCCCGGGATGTCTGTATGGCTCCAGTTTGTGCCTGAGACAGGCTGTAACTGAATCCCTAGATTCGCACAAACAGATTTTTGTTGTGGGTAGGTGCAGAAGGAGGGAAGATGAGCAGGTGACCTCCTATTCCACCATCTGCCCAAAGTCATCTCTCATTGATTTTTAAATTTGTGCTTTCTCCAAACTCTTTTTCTAAAATTCAGTTCATGTTTCTTTCTAACAACCCCAAACCTTAATACTCTATCAATTCCCTTTTTCTCCTCTTGTATTATCTATCTCTGTGAACTGCCTCCTTCACCACACCCAAACCCCATGTCAAGGTAGGAATGTAGGAGCCATCCTAGACTCATTAGTCATCAGAGAGGTGCAAACTAAAACTAACAAGTTATAAAAACACTCGAATGTTTAATCATGCCACTGTTAAGAGAACATTGGGCAACTGGGACCCCTATACACTGCTGGAAAGCAAATAAAATGGTGAAACCAATTTGGAAAATTATTTGGCAGTTTCCTTTTTTTTTTTTTTTCGACTTGGATTTTTTTTTTTTTTTTATACTGTAAGTTTTAGGGTACATGTGCACATTGTGCAGGTTAGTTACATATGTATACATGTGCCATGCTGGTGTGCTGCACCCACTAACTTGTCATCTAGCATTAGGTATATCTCCCAATGCTATCCCTCCCCCCTCCCCACCACAGTCCCCAGAGTGTGATATTCCCCTTCCTGTGTCCATGTGATCTCATTGTTCAATTCCCACCTATGAGTGAGAATATGCAGTGTTTGGTTTTTTGTTCTTGCAATAGTTTACTGAGAATGATGATTTCCAGTTTCATCCATGTCCCTACAAAGGACATGAACTCATCATTTTTTATGGCTGCATAGTATTCCATGGTGTATATGTGCCACATTTTCTTAATCCAGTCTATCATTGTTGGACATTTGGGTTGGTTCCAAGTCTTTGCTATTGTGAGTAGTGCCGTAATAAACATACGTGTGCATGTGTCTTTATAGCAGCATGATTTATAGTCATTTGGGTATATAACCAGTAATGGGATGGCTGGGTCAAATGGTATTTCTAGTTCTAGATCCCTGAGGAATCGCCACACTGACTTCCACAATGGTTGAACTAGTTTACAGTCCCACCAACAGTGTAAAAGTGTTCCTATTTCTCCACATCCTCTCCAGCACCTGTTGTTTCCTGACTTTTTAATGATTGCCATTCTAACTGGTGTGAGATGGTATCTCATAGTGGTTTTGATTTGCATTTCTCTGATGACCAGTGATGATGAGCATTTTTTCATGTGTTTTTTGGCTGCATAAATGTCTTCTTTTGAGAAGTGTCTGTTCATGTCCTTCGCCCACTTTTTGATGGGGTTGTTTGTTTGTTTCTTGTAAATTTGTTTGAGTTCATTGTAGATTCTGGATATCAGCCCTTTGTCAGATGAGTAGGTTGCGAAAATTTTCTCCCATTTTGTAGGTTGCCTGTTCACTCTGATGGTAGTTTCTTTTGCTGTGCAGAAGCTCTTTAGTTTAATTAGATCTCATTTGTCAATTTTGTCTTTTGTTGCCATTGTTTTTGGTGTTTTGGACATGAAGTCCTTGCCCATGCCTATGTCCTGAATGGTAATGCCTAGGTTTTCTTCTAGGGTTTTTATGGTTTTAGGTCTAACGTTTAAATCTTTAATCCATCTTGAATTGATTTTTGTATAAGGTGTAAGGAAGGGATCCAGATTCAGCTTTCTACATATGGCTAGCCAGTTTTCCCAGCACCATTCATTAAATAGGGAATCCTTTCCCCATTGCTTGTTTTTCTCAGGTTTGTCAAAGATCAGATAGTTGTAGGTATGCGGCATTATTTCTGAGGGCTCTGTTCTGTTCCATTGATCTATATCTCTGTTTTGGTACCAGTACCATGCTGTTTTGGTTACTGTAGCCTTGTAGTATAGTTTGAAGTCAGGTAGTGTGATGCCTCCAGCTTTGTTCTTTTGGCTTAGGATTGACTTGGCAATGCGGGCTCTTTTTTGGTTCCATATGAACTTTAAAGTAGTTTTTTCCAATTCTGTGAAGAAAGTCATTGGTAGCTTGATGGGGATGGCATTGAATCTGTAAATTACCTTGGGCAGTATGGCCATTTTCATGATATTGATTCTTCCTACCCATGAGCATGGAATGTTCTTCCATTTGTTTGTATCCTCTTTTATTTCCTTGAGCAGTGGTTTGTAGTTCTCCTTGAAGAGGTCCTTCACATCCCTTGTAAGTTGGATTCCTAGGTATTTTATTCTCTTTGAAGCAATTGTGAATGGGAGTTCACTCATGATTTGGCTCTCTGTTTGTCTGTTGTTTGTATGTAAGAATGCTTGTGATTTTTGTACATTGATTTTGTATCCTGAGACTTTGCTGAAGTTGCTTATCAGCTTAAGGAGATTTTGGGCTGAGATGATGGGGTTTTCTAGATATACAATCATGTCGTCTGCAAACAGGGACAATTTGACTTCCTCTTTTCCTAATTGAATACCCTTTATTTCCTTCTCCTGCCTGATTGCCCTGGCCAGAACTTCCAACACTATGTTGAATAGGAGTGGTGAGAGAGGGCATCCCTGTCTTGTGCCAGTTTTCAAAGGGAATGCTTCCAGTTTTTGCCCATTCAGTATGATATTGGCTGTGGGTTTGTCATAGATAGCTCTTATTATTTTGAAATACGTCCCATCAATACCTAATTTATTGAGAGTTTTTAGCATGAAGGGTTGTTGAATTTTGTCAAAGGCTTTTTCTGCATCTATTGAGATAATCATGTGGTTTTTGTCTTTGGCTCTGTTTATATGCTGGATTACATTTATTGATTTGCGTATATTGAACCAGCCTTGCATCCCAGGGATGAAGCCCACTTGATCATGGTGGATAAGCTTTTTGATGTGCTGCTGGATTCGGTTTGCCAGTATTTTATTGAGGATTTTTGCATCAATGTTCATCAAGGATATTGGTCTAAAATTCTCTTTTTTTGTTGTGTCTCTGCCTGGCTTTGGTATCAGAATGATGCTGGCCTCATAAAATGAGTTAGAGAGGATTCCCTCTTTTTCTATTGATTGGAATAGTTTCAGAAGGAATGGTACCAGTTCCTCCTTGTACCTCTGGTAGAATTCGGCTGTGAATCCATCTGGTCCTGGACTCTTTTTGGTTGGTAAGCTATTGATTATTGCCACAATTTCAGCTCCTGTTATTGGTCTATTAAGAGATTCAACTTCTTCCTGGTTTAGTCTTGGGAGAGTGTATGTGTCGAGGAATTTATCCATTTCTTCTAGATTTTCTAGTTTATTTGCGTAGAGATGTTTGTAGTATTCTCTCATGGTAGTTTGTATTTCTGTGGGATCGGTGGTGATATCCCCTTTATCATTTTTTATTCCGTCTATTTGATTCTTCTCTCTTTTTTTCTTTATTAGTCTTGCTAGCGGTCTATCAATTTTGTTGATCCTTTCAAAAAACCAGCTCCTGGATTCATTGATTTTTTGAAGGGTTTTTTGTGTCTCTATTTCCTTCAGTTCTGCTCTGATTTTAGTTATTTCTTGCCTTCTGCTAGCTTTTGAATGTGTTTGCTCTTGCTTTTCTAGTTCTTTTAATTGTGATGTTAGGGTGTCAATTTTGGATCTTTCCTGCTTTCTCTTGTGGGCATTTAGTGCTATAAATTTCCCTCTACACACTGCTTTGAATGCGTCCCAGAGATTCTGGTATGTTGTGTCTTTGTTCTCGTTGGTTTCAAAGAACATCTTTATTTCTGCCTTCATTCCGTTATGTACCCAGTAGTCATTCAGGAGCAGGTTGTTCAGTTTCCATGTAGTTGAGCGGCTTTGAGTGAGATTCTTAATCCTGAGTTCTAGTTTGATTGCACTGTGGTCTGAGAGATAGTTTGTTATAATTTCTGTTCTTTTACATTTGCTGAGGAGAGCTTTACTTCCAAGTATGTGGTCAGTTTTGGAATAGGTGTGGTGTGGTGCTGAAAAAAATGTATATTCTGTTGATTTGGGGTGGAGAGTTCTGTAGATGTCTATTAGGTCCACTTGGTGCAGAGCTGAGTTCAATTCCTGGGTATCCTTGTTGACTTTCTGTCTCATTGATCTGTCTAATGTTGACAGTGGGGTGCTCAAGTCTCCCATTATTATTGTGTGGGAGTCTAAGTCTCTTTGTAGGTCACTCAGGACTTGCTTTATGAATCTGGGTGCTCCTGTATTGGGTGCATATATATTTAGGATAGTTAGTTCTTCTTGTTGAATTGATCCCTTTACCATTATGTAATGGCCTTCTTTGTCTCTTTTGATCTTTGTTGGTTTAAAGTCTGTTTTATCAGAGACTAGGATTGCAACCCCTGCCTTTTTTTGTTTTCCATTTGCTTGGTAGATCTTCCTCCATCCTTTTATTTTGAGCCTATGTGTGTCTCTGCACGTGAGATGGGTTTCCTGAATATGGCACACTGATGGGTCTTGACTCTTTATCCAATTTGCCGGTCTGTGTCTTTTAATTGGAGAATTTAGTCCATTTACATTTAAAGTTAATATTGTTATGTGTGAATTTGATCCTGTCATTATGATGTTAGCTGGTGATTTTGCTCGTTAGTTGATGCAGTTTCTTCCTAGTCTCGATGGTCTTTACATTTTGGCACGATTTTGCAGCGGCTGGTACTGGTTGTTCCTTTCCATGTTTAGCACTTCCTTCAGGAGCTCTTTTAGGGCAGGTCTGGTGTGATAAAATCTCTCAGCGTTTGCTTGTCTGTAAAGTATTTTATTTCTCCTTCACTTATGAAGCTTAGCTTGGCTGGATATGAAATTCTGGGTTGAAAATTCTTTTCTTTAAGAATGTTGAATATTGCCCCCCCCCCCCCCCACTCTCTCTGGCTTGTAGGGTTTCTGCCAAGAGATCTGCTGTTAGTCTGATGGGCTTCCCTTTGAGGGTAACCCGACCTTTCTCTCTGGCTGCCCTTAACATTTTTTCCTTCATTTCAACTTTGGTGAATCTGACAATTATGTGTCTTAGAGTTGCTCTTCTCGAGGAGTATCTTTGTGGTGTTCTCTGTATTTCCTGAATCTGAACATTGGCCTGCCTTGCTAGATTGGGGAAGTTCTCCTGGATAATATCCTGCAGAGTGTTTTCCAACTTGGTTCCATTCTCCACATCACTTTCAGGTACACCAATCAGACGTAGATTTGGTCTTTTCACATAGTCCCATATTTCTTGGAGGCTTTGCTCATTTCTTTTTATTCTTTTTTCTCTAAACTTCCCTTCTCGCTTCATTTCATTCATTTCATCTTCCATTGCTGATACCCTTTCTTCCAGTTGATTGCATCGGCTCCTGAGGCTTCTGCATTCTTCACGTAGTTCTCGAGCCTTGGTTTTCAGCTCCATCAGCTCCTTTAAGCACTTCTCTGTATTGGTTATTCTAGTTATACATTCTTCTAAGTTTTTTTCAAAGTTTTCAACTTCTTTGCCTTTGGTTTGAATGTCCTCCCGTAGCTCAGAGTAATTTGATCGTCTGAAGCCTTCTTGTCTCATCTCGTCAAAGTCATTCTCCATCCAGCTTTGTTCTGTTGCTGGTGAGGAGCTGCGTTCCTTTGGAGGAGGAGAGGCGCTCTGATTTTTAGAGCTTCCAGTTTTTCTGTTCTGTTTTTTCCCCATCTTTGTGGTTTTATCTACTTTTGGTCTTTGATGATGGTGATGAACAGATGGGTTTTTGGTGTGGATGTCCTTTCTGTTTGTTAGTTTTCCTTCTAACAGACAGGACCCTCAGCTGCAGGTCTGTTGGAATACCCTGCCGTGTGAGGTGTCAGTGTGCCCCTGCTGGGGAGTGCCTCCCAGTTAGGCTGCTCGGGGGTCAGGAGTCAGGGACCCACTTGAAGAGGCAGTCTGCCGGTTCTCAGATCTCCAGCTGCGTGCTGGGAGAACCACTGCTCCCTTCAAAGCTGTCAGACAGGGACATTTAAGTCTGCAGAGGTTACTGCTGTCTTTTTGTTTGTCTGTGCCCTGCCCCCAGAGGTGGAGCCTACAGAGGCAGGCAGGCCTCCTTGAGCTGTGGTGGGCTCCACCCAGTTCGAGCTTCCAGGCTGCTTTGTTTACCTAAGCAAGCCTGGGCAATGGCGGGCGCCCCTCCCCCAGCCTCGCTGCCGCCTTGCGGTTTGATCTCAGACTGCTGTGCTAGCAATCAGCGAGATTCCATGGGCGTAGGACCCTCCGAGCCAGGTGTGGGATATAGTCTCGTGGTGCGCCGTTTCTTAAGCCGGTCTGAAAAGCGCAATATTCGGGTGGGAGTGACCCGATTTTCCAGGTGCGTCCGTCACCCCTTTCTTTGACTCGGAAAGGGAACTCCCTGACCCCTTGCACTTCCCAGGTGAGGCAATGCCTCACCCTGCTTCGGCTCGCGCACCGTGCGCGCAGCCACTGGCCTGCGCCCACTGTCTGGCACTTCCTAGTGAGATGAACCCGGTACCTCAGATGGAAATGCAGAAATCACCCGTCTTCTGCGTTGGTCACGCTGGGAGCTGTAGACCGGAGCTGTTCCTATTCGGCCATCTTGGCTCCTCCTCCGGCAGTTTCTTACAAAGCTAAACACACATTTATTCTATTGCCTAACAGTTCTACTTCTGGATATTTATACAGATAAAATGAAAACACAGATACACAAAAAGACTTGTACAAGAATGTTCAAGCAGCTTTATTCATAATAAAGCCTGTGTTAGAAATAATGCTAACCCACATACCCATCAACAAAATAGACTTAAAAAAATAGACCTGTTATATTCCCACAATAAAATACTTCTCAGCAATAGAAATGGAAAAAGTATGGCTACGCAAAACAACATGGATGAATCTCAAAAACATGTTGAACAAAGAAAGCTAGATACAAAACACTGTATATCATAATGATTCCACTTACATAAAGTTCAAGAATAGATAAAAATTATCTATCATAATAAAAATCTGAAAAGCATTTGCTTCTTGAGAGTGGAAAATTTATTGAACAGAGGGACACTTTCTGAGTTGATGGAAATATTCTACCTCTTGATAGGGGTGTGGGTTAGACAGGTGTACACATTTATCAAAACTCATAGAATTATTCACTTGAGATACATACATTTCACTGTATGTGTATTTTACCTCCAAAAAGTAGTATTTGAAATTACTGACAGAAGTTATTTTCTTTGTTCCTATAAAATATACAACAGTAGGGAAAAGGAAATAGTAAACTGCTCTTGATTATTTTATTCAGAAGGTGATATTTCCCATCTAGGAGATCATCATCTTGAACACACTGAGAACTCACAAATTCTATTTAAATGTTTTGAATCAAGCACTTTACTCTCACTTCTTTAGGACAGTAATATTTACCAACCCAGAGTCATTTTTCTTAGTGTCACTGAAAGCTTCTATTTTTAACTTTTGGTTTCTAAGTTCCAGGGTCCATTAGGGACAGATTGAAGAAGCAAAAAAAGGAATAAAGCACCAGATGTAGGAAAGAAAATAAAATGCACTGACAGTCTATTTTTTTTTCCTTGGAACTAATACTGCTTTCAATAGCACCAGATGTCAAACAATCTACCAGCCATCAAACATGTAGTCCTGAATCCTTAGAAGTAAAAAATACCAAACATGGGATTGACTAATTGTGGCCACAGCACCTCAGGACATAAATATCCCTCAGTAGAACCTGAAACAAGGTTGGTTCCCCACGTATCCCCTCCAGATAGACAAGGATTCAGCTGCAATGAAATGATGGTCAGAGTTCATGGAGAGTTGTCCATGCTGGAAATTGTTGAGTTTGAGTTTGCAGTTGACTGAATCTGGGCGTAATTGCAAGCCAATTTGTATGAAAGCCAAGCACAAACAAAAAATACCTGGTAATCAGTGATGGCCAATTCAACTTGGATCATACCCCAGACCTTGTCACCACTTGTTATTCATTTAAAAAACCATTAAGACTGTAAGGTATGTTTTATTACTGCCTATATTTGTTCATTCCATGTACCACCATCTCATTCTATTCATTACCATCTCCTCTAAAGCACTGCATATCATTACTAAAAAGAAACTTATTTTCTTGCTCCAAATAACTGCTACTAGAAGCTTATATGTTTTCAATTCCTGGACAAAAACATTTGTCCCTCACCTTAACAAGTGCTTACTTATATAATAAGTGATGAAAGGAAGTAGCACATATTTTGAATCCAATAATACAACGTAATTCTGGGACACCACAGAAGAACCAATCTTGAGTTTAGCCCGGAAAGCATGACACCTTTATTTGGAAGGCCCTCAAAGCACCCTGGAGATGTGGATCTTCATGCACATAAGCTATAAATATCTTATTATATTGACTAAAAACATTAACATTTCTCCAGGGAAACATGAATTTGGGGATAAATAAAGACTTGAAATTGCCTCTTGTAAGTTCAGGTCAGGATTTTTTTTTTTTTTTTTTTTTTTTTTTTTTTGAGACGGAGTCTCACTCTGTCGCCCAGGCTGGAGTGCAGTGGTGCCATCTCGGCTCACTGCAAGCTCCGCCTCCCAGGTTCATGCCATTCTCCTGCCTCTGCCTCCCGAGTAGCTGGGACTACAGGCACCCAACACCACACCTGGCTAATTTTTGTATTTTTAGTAGAGACGGGGTTTCACCGTGTTAGCCAGGAGGGTCTCTATAGCCAGGTCAGGATTTTTTACAAAAAGAGTTTGCCACGAACATTTAAAAAATCTTTTCACTTTTCAGAGATTTTTGAATTTTGGATTTACAAAAAACCTATGCTAGGTATTTGTGTTTGGCTTTTATTCAGATTGGCTTGCACTGTTAACTCCTCATTAACTCTGATCATTATTTTCTTGCGGTAAAATCCTGATATAACTGGAGGCAGCACATAAAAAAAAACTAGCCTTGTTTCAGATTCTTCTAAAAGCTGTGAATTTTCATTTTTGTGATCTGATGAAATAACAGGAAACACACTAAAACTCACCGTAGAGGTGAACAAGAAACTTCTTACACAAAGATTTCCAAACATATTTAGGCTACAATATATTTTAGCATGATAAAGAGTTCCATGGACTCTTACCCTTGTCTGTTTGCTAATACTCTCTCAGCAATTCCTCCTTCTACCAAAAAAAGGAAAGAAGAAAGAAAGGAAAATTTTACCTAAATAATAAAAAAAAAAAGTCTGTTATCCTGAGAAGCCAGAGTGGCTATACTTAACTTCTCATGCATTCATTCATCAACATTTTATTGAGTACCTTATAGATGCAAGAAACTACTATCCCTAGGAATATTACTATAAGCAAGACAGACAAATACCCTGTGCTCACAATGCTTGCCTTATGGGAAGACAGGACAGTGGAGATGAATGAATGGAAAATAAACAGCGAGTAGATAATTAGAGAGAGTGATAAGTATGAAGTCCATAAAAAGGTTAGTGATAGAATAGAGATTGACAAAGTGGAGGTACACTTTGGATAAGCTGGACAAAGAAAACCAACAGTGTATTAAGATAGACAACAGTGTGCTAAGGATGAAAAATAAACAACAGTGATGAAAGAAGATGGATGAAAGAGAAACAACAGTGTACTAAGCCAAGAGCCAAGCTTTCCAAAGAGGGAATTTCAAGTGCAAAGACAAGTATGAAAGAGTTTGATAAATTTAAAGGCCAGAAAGGATGGTCGTGCACCTAAACAGGAGTGAGTTAGGGAGACAGAACTACAGCATGTAACTAACAAGGTTGGTAGGAGTCAGATCATGGCCTTGTCAACAATGTATTTTACTCTAGGTAAAACAGGAACTCGGTAAAATGTTTTAAATAGGAGAGTTCCATAAATCTACATACATTTTTAATCACTTATTTTCGTATGGATATTGGAGGTCATACAGAATAAAAGGAAGAAAACATGTTAGAAGACTGTTGCAGCAGTTTTAGTGAAAGATGATGGTGTTTTAGGGGAGAATGGGATGGTCTGGGGCTGATGCAGGGGGAAGTGGGCAGAGAAGTGACAGGACTTGTTCATAGACAGATGTAGGTGGTACGGAAAAGAGAAGAATTGATAGGATTTAGGTTTTAGGATGAGCCATTCAGTGGGATAGTCTTGTCTGGAAACAAAAATCTGTGAGCTATGGGCATAGATAGCTTGCAGAGCCCTAGGAGAGAATGAGATGAGATAGGAAGAGACAATAAAAAGAAAAGAACCTAGGACAATGCCCACAGGCTCTACAATATTTAATGTTCCAGTTGAGAAAAAGAAGCTAGCAAAAAGTGAGATAGGAGAAAATATGAAAGTGTTATCACAAAAGTCAAGAGAAAAAAAGCGCAGACAAAGAACAGAGTGGGAAGTTAAGAAATGGTCCAGTGTCCATTAGATCTGACAAAGTAGCCAATTATTACTTCAGTTAATAATTTAATTATACTCTTACATCACATAAATACTAGCACTAGACCCAACATTTCCATATTTCTGTAAAACCTCTGCGTGTGTGTGTGTGTGTGTGTGTGTGTGTGTGTGTGTGTGTCAGAATCTAAGTCTTCAGAGCCAGAGCACTGGCAATGTAAATGCAAGCAATGCCAATTTCTATCTGAACACGAGGAAAAAGGACATCTGACCCAACTTTACCACCCAACATCACACATCCTTACTAGAGAGACACAGTGACTCAACCAGGCTCTGACCTAGGACTTAAAGCGGATCAAGGTTGGGATCTACAGAATGGAAACCAAGAGAAGGAAACCTTCAGGCTATAGAGACAAGCCAAGCATATAACAAAACCATGCATGACAACTGGCTGGGAGAAGAGAAAGAAAGGGGCACCAAATCAGGACAAGAGAAGGCAGTGATCAAATCAAATAGGTAAACCAGAGAGACTGGTTGGAGTGAAGACATGAGAAATGTCTTAGGTTCAGATCAGTCACCTTTCAAAACAACAAAATCTTTGCCTACCCTCAGGGTTGAGTATATGTACATAGAAACACCACTGCTAAGATGCTGCCGTTCTGATGTCCCCTATCCCCTTGCTGGGCCCAAACTCACTAAAACTCTAGCCTTTCCTCCTTTTTCTCCTTCCCTGGTGCCCAATTCAAGGAAGTTGAAAAGCCTAGGTGAGACAGCTGGACATTTGTCCACCAACGTGCTCCCTGTATGTACAGTGCCTGGTGTCTGTCCTCAGATCACTCTCTAGGTGGAAGCATTTTCAGCATGAAAACCTTAAGCAAAATCATGGCCTGAGACAGCCAACCATACTTCTGTCAGAAATTGATGGAAAGCCACTCAGTAGACTTTTTTTTTTTTTTTTTGGTCTAAACTAACTCTGGGACTGAAAGAAAAGTTTGACATTATAAATACAACCTAATCAAAAAGATTATTTCAAGTTCCCAAGTTTTCACATACACAAATCATGTATTGGTTCCTCTAGGAGAATTTATTGCCCTAGTCTAGAAGAAATTTTAATACAGCAGAACCCAGCTCTTCAGCATAATTTGGTATTATCCACTCATCAACTCACTCACAGGCAGCCTCGCCTTGGGTCTCCAGAGCAGACAGCCAGCATAAGGTGGTGCCAATAAGTTAGAACCTTGTTTACTCTCAACAAATATGTGTTTTCAAAGGTGTGTAGTTGATTACGTAAGTTCTGTAGTATAGCAGTCTCCCATTATCTGCTGGGTGTATGTCCCAATACCCTCAGTGGATGCCTGAAACCATGGATATTTCCGAACCCTATATATACTATTGTTTTTTTTAACCTATACATACATGCTTATGATAAAGAATTTATAAATTAGGCACAGTAAGAGATTATCAATAACTAATAATATAATGGAACAATTATAACTACATACTGTTCATACATAGATTTATTTTTACCAAAGATCTTAGCAACCTCAGCAATTGATTTTTTTTTCTTTCCTTATTAAGTTGAGAATGTTCACCTTTTCATTTAAAGGAAGCACTTTACAGCTTTTTGTTGGCAGCTCTGAATTACCAGCATCACTCTCTGGGCTTTCAGGCCATTATTAAGTAAAATAAGGGTAACTTAAACACAAGCACTGCGATATTGTGACAGCTGATACGATTACCTAGACGGCTACTAAGTGACTATTGGCTGGCAGCATAGACAGCATGGATCTGCTAGACAAAGAGATAATTCATATCCCGGGCAGGACAGAGCACGGTGGCACATGATTTCATCATGCTACTCAGAATGGCATGCAATTCAATACACAATACACTTATGTATTGTGAATTTCTGGTATTTTTCATTTGATATTTTTGACCATAGTTGACCACGGGTAATTGAAACCACAGATAAGGTTTAGTTCAGATACATGCAAATCATAGTGAAACAAATATTTAATAGAAAATTTCTTGGGGTAGAGAGTTGTTTGTATATTAACATCCTGCTGTGGTCACACACATGTACCACACACATATACAAGTATATTTCTTTCCAAAATGTTTTTTTTTCTGTCTTTTCTTTTATATTATGTGCATAGAATCCTGGTTTCCCCAAAAGAAAATCAGGACAAAAAGAAAAGAAAGATGAGGCAAATTAAATGACATTTCCTCTCAGAACCTCCTTCTTTCTGCTTGTCAGTATTTCCCGATTTCCAGGTGGACTCTCTCATGCCCATTTCCCACGAGCACCCGAGTCTCTGAAGATTTATTTTTATCCCAGATCACCTCGTGAGGGAAGAAAATAAACAGAGGATGATTCTAGAAAGTTTTATAAGCTGAGTAACCAGCTTAATTTAAATAAAATGTGTATAAATATTCCCATTCAAGTTTTCATGGTGAACTCTCCATTACATTAGGAGTCATTAAAAATTCCATGGCTTCAAAGCTGATTTTGCTCTAAGGTGCAGTAACCCTGTTCAAAGTGAAGACAAAACCATTAAGAACAGGCAACCCAGGATGGGCTTCAGAAAGCTTGTTTCAGTTTGGCTGAACACTGCAAGGACTCTGTGCAGTATGAGAAGATAATTTATGATAAAATGTAGACTAAAAGGCATGCTGTTATGAGGTACCAGATGGACTCTGTGTTAACTCTTCAGAGAGCAGTACACACAGCTTGGCAAAGTGAAATTGCTAAAGAAGAAGTAAAAGAGCTACAGAAAATTGTGAGTGCTGTGTTCCTGGAAGAAAGCGACAAAGTGAATCCGGATGTCTTAGTAAGAAAGAAAGAGATGAATAAGGAGAGTCAAAGGAGCAGACCTTTCTGGGGCAGTCTGTCAGGAAGGTAAAAAGGCCATCATGAGAAGTGAAGTTACAGAAAAAAACGAGACACCATGTTTGGGAAAATAAGCCCCAAACAACCTACATTTTTTTCTCTAGAAAGGCTTTTGAAAAAATTACATGTCATGACTTGAAAGAGAATCAGCTGTATTTTTAGGAACCTACAATGTGATTCTTTAAAATTTGTAAGTATCTGCTATAAACAAAAGCCATAAAGAATACTCACAAATGTCTGCAGCATAGAAGAGCCAACAGATAGTGTCAAATTTTAACATTTGGCTTATATTTTACTTGTTAATTGGATATAGTATTTGTACATACTCAAAAGGATGCATAAATAATATATTTAACAGAGAAGTAACACTTTAATTATAATTCAGAATTAAATTCTATTAAAGCAGTAGAAACAATAACATTAGCTACCATTTACCAAGTGCCTTGTTTCAGATATAGGCCTGTATCAGGCATTATGCCAAATGATTTCTACATTATATCATTTCACCTTAAAATTTCCCTGAGAAATGGATATTGTTAGTCCTATTTTAAGTATTAGGAAAATCAGACACAGAAATTTAAAGAGCTTTCTCAAAGTCACACAGCTGTCTAAATCTAAAGACTACATTTAACCATTACATTATACTACCTCCCAACTGCCAAATATTTTAGGCACAATCAAGTTGCTTAAAATGTCAAATTGATGTATTCTTTTAATCCAGGATTTTCTATTCTATAGGGCCAATGTGATATTCTAATGTAAAGATATATATTCATGCATGCACAGTATCTTTCACATTTAGTTGAACTGACGTAATTTATTGGACACATACCATTTTGAAGGAACTATGCTGGCATCTGCAGTGTATATAATGAAAATTAGCAAAAAGTCTCTGTTCTAAAAGAATAACAATAATAACAATAGTATCAGGATGCTGTGCTGGAATTCTATCTCCATTAACTTAGGATAAGACACCAAAGACTAAGAACGAGAAATAGGTGCCAAAGTGCCCACAACCCAAATGCTAGATTACTGATGACAGTAATGGACTGTCCATTCTCAGCAAAGAGGATGGAGCCCAGTTTGTAGCCGTCACTTAATAACTGACTCAGACAAGAAGTTGATGCTAAGATATTTAGATGAATGGTGGTTGGGAAACAGGATTTTCACCCCATCTAAATTATAACCACCAGATTACCTACTAATTACAAAAGGAAAGATAACTACACTATAGAGAGATCTGGTAGATACCACCTTACCAAGTGTTGTTATAGAGCTTCCCCAATATTGAAGAAAATTGACATTATATATCCCCTACTGTGATGCCACAGAAGGGACACACAGTTATCTATGTAGGACTCTTGACAAAAAAGTTTACTTGGAACTTAACATGAGAAAATAATAAGTCAGATCCAGATAACTGGCCTTCAAAAATATTAATGTCTTAGAGCAAAAAAGAAGAGCAGGAAGCGGGCAAGAAGGGAAACTGTCCTAGAAAGAGAGTAAAGAAGACCAAAGTGATCAGACAACTAAATTTGGTGAGTGATTATTTTTATTATTTTCTGAATTTTCTTTTAAAAATATAGCGATGAAGAATATTATTGGATATTTAGAAATGGAAATGTAGGCTGTATATTATGTAATCGTATTATATCACTATTAAATTTCTTGAGTGTGAAAACGATCAAGGGCATCCTATGAGAAGAGCATCCTCATAGATAGAAGATACATGTGAGGTATTTAGGACAAAGTGTCATGATGCCTGTAAACTACTCTCAAGCAGTTCAACAAGATAAAAATGGAGATAGATGATGTATTATGTAATAAAGATTATATAATATATAGAAATAGATATTCTTATGTATAATATGTCACAAATTAATGATACTTTGTATATAACATATAGTGAATAACTATTGAAAATATATTAGTATACAAGTATACATGTAAATTGTATAATATATGCTACATAATATATACTAAATAATTCACTAAAAATATAGAGTATATAGCATATACTATATAGTATACCATGCAGAGTAAGATTATAGATTATATAAATTAATCTATAACTAATATAATAGAGCTTTTAAGTTAAATATATCTAGTTATATATAGCTTAATAGAATATATATTTAGTTAAATATATTCCATATTATATACAATGAGATTATGATATATTTTATATAGATTATATAAAGACTCCATAGAGATATTATATTGAGATATATATATTAAAAGATTTATAAAGTAGAAATATATAGAGATTTTAAGTATATATGAGGGTGTGTGTGTGTGTGTGTTTGTATTTTAAAGAAATATAGTGACATACCATTGGGCTGTTCTTTCTACTTCAAAAGGAGATTCTCTCCTACTCACCTTCATCCAAATGAAGGAGCTTAAAGAGATCCACTGAGATAGGCTGACATATGTTCCTAGGTGTGTAATTCTCTGGGAGACTTTAAAGGGGAGTTGTAGATGGAGCAGCATTGAGAATGTACTGACCTAATCACCAATGGTGCAAACATTCGTAGTGCTCTTGGAACAAATTTAGACCTCACAAAGGACCTTAAAGAGGATCAAAAAAGCCCTAACAGAGAGGGTGGACCTACCAGAATCTCAAAATCTCAGATGGATGGTTGTTCTAACGTGGGACTAGAGAAGACATTGCTTGAGTCAAAATAAACAAAAATATACAATATCTCTGTCCTCATAAGGCTTACAGTCTAGATGAGGAGATGGGCATTGTCTTGTTCGTTTTCTGCTACTTTAACAGAATACTACAAATTGGGACATTTATAAAGAAATGTGAAAGAAATTTATAAAGAAGTTTCTTTATAAATTGTAAATAAACTAAACTATAAATAAAATGTCATTTATAAAGAAAAAAACTTTACTTGGATTATAGTTTTGAAGGATGGGAAATCCAAAAAGTAGCACTGGTGTCTGGTGAGGATCATTTCATGGCAGAAGGTAGAAGTGGGCACAAAAGACAGACAAGACAGAGAGGCACCAGAGACCAAACTCACTTTTCAACAACCCACTCTCATGATAACTATTCCACACTTGAGGTAACATTAATCCATTCATGAAGGCCCTACCCTCATGATCCAATCACCTCTTATTAGGCCCCACCTCCCAACACTGGTGCATTGGGGATTAAATTTCCAACTCATGAACTTTGGAGGGGACACATTTAAAAGGGTATGTTAATTACCAACCTATACCTTTTTTAAGCTCAAAAGCATGTGCCAGTCCTAGAAGATATATACAGTGGTCTTTTGGAAGTGGGGATGTTCTTGTAGAGACCAGGTTTGATGTTACTGAAGAGCAAAGGACGAGAAACTGAAAAAAAAAAAGAACACATTGAAATAACATTTTATTCCTGCAACCCTGACTTCTGATGAAAACAGGATGGTAAGTAGTGTAAAGAAGGGATAGAAAGCAGGTTCTAAGTGGCCAGCAAATGCACCTTAGATACCCTTTAATCTACAAGGCTCTGCTGTGACCCACAATTGGAAATTAAATTGGTCTTTCATTATTGTGTTAACATATTGTTTCAGAGAATAATTGAAGCTTTAGACTTAGTAATTTCTGATGCAACGATTCCAGGCCTGATAAATATATATTATATGGCATGTCAAAGAAAAGTCATACCAGGCAGAGTTAAAACAGGCAAGGAAAATTTTATTCAAGATTATTACAACGGGGGAAGAGATTGAACTCAACTCCACGGAAACAGGAAAGAGAATTTTTAAGCTCTACGGTGAGTTTGTGGAAAAGCACTGAAGGATGTTAAAGGCAGAGTGAGTCAGCATGATTAGGTCATCTGTGTTTGCCAGTTGGAGCTTCTTGAATTTAGTCTCCTACCTTCCCACGGAGACTGAGAAATGGGAGCATCATCTTTCTTGATGATCACATTTCAAAGGAATGGGTCCCAGGTTCATGAGAAAGACGTTCCTGGGTTGTAGAAGATTTACATCTCAAACTGGGCAGAGAAAAAATTTACAATAGCAGATTTTTTAAAGTAAACACGGTAAGGAAAGAGAGACCAGAGACCTAGAGTCAGAAAGAAACCTGTCTAAAGTTCAGTCAAGGTGAGGGGAATGGTAAGTCTGTCTTGGTCACTCATGTGGTGCAGAAGCTCACTGGTGATGGCTGCAGAAGACTCCTGAGCAAGTCTGTCCCTGAAGAGCTTGAAAACCAAATTTAAGAAAAAATAGTTTTTTCAGATTTATTTCTCCAGGCACATTCATGACATGGCTAGTAGCCAGAGACTAAAAGCCCCCATTCAGCACTTCCACTGACTGAGGCAAAGCTTTTAAACTCTCACTTGGCTCAGTTAAAATGGAGATTGAGCACTGTTGCTTCATACTTCACAAAAATGTAGTCAAGATTAATAGGTAATATTTATAAAACCTTCCTAGGTATTTTTGATGTAGAAAAAATAGCATTTAAGTACAAATATGTTTCCTATAAATTACAGATGAAAATATTATCAGCATGCTTACAAAGAGCCAAAGTAAATTAAATCTGAAGAAAAAAAAGAACCTCAACTAGTATTTTATGAAGACAATATTTGCACAAGAGCTTCATTATATAGAATTTCTTTGTGGTTGTAAATGAAGAATTGTCATAAGCTAAGTATTGTACAAATAACAACAGAAGAGCAGCACCGGATCTAGAGTATTCACATCAGTTCTGTGAAATGGAATTGGCTTTATTTCTGAGGTCTTGTTACAAATTTCCTATATTTTTAATTTGAATGAAGCATACTAGGTTATTTTTCTGTTTTTTAAAAATAATATGTGGCAAATTATAGACAATTTAAAGTTACAGAAATATAGAAGAAAATAAAATATCCAATTGTCTTGCCACTTTGGAAAATAACCACCCATGGAAGTATTTACTTATAATCTTTTTGTTCTGAAAATATTTCTCCCAGAGTTCTAATCACGTGGCATGATTTTATATTGGTACACTATAAAATGGTATACATTCACTTTTATACAAAATTTGAAAATAGGAATTTTTAAGAACCTCACTTCACAAATAAGGACTGATAATATTTTTATTAATCCCATGTAGATTTTTTTTATCAGGGTCAGCATTGCATTTTTGGTACCATGTGTAATGTTCCTTCCCACCCCCACCTTCCATCTACCTCCTCTACCCTTCCCACCCTCAATCTTTCCTTTCTTTAAATGTGCCTTTTTTTCTGTCACTTTTGTCAAGTGAGACCAGAGGGCTTAAATTTAATAAAGTCCCCTTGTTAAGGGAGAGCCTGTTTTTAGCCCATGTGCTAGTGCATGTAGCACATTTTATTGATTCCTTTAAAGTATTATTATCTCAAGGACACTTACTGGGCTTAGATAAACTGTGATATGTTAAGGAGCTTGGTCATAGGATAAAAATCTGTCACTGGCTTATTTACCACTTTTTATTAATTAAATAGCATGACCCAGGTCATTCAGTCTGTATTTGAAGATGGAGAAAGTCATTATTCAAGGTCTTTCACAATCAAAATGGTCTTTATGTTGTTCTGAACAACTTTTGTGGGAAGAAGAGACACAGCAGTTTGTTTAGTAATTCTGTCTACAGTGTATCATACTGGTAGCCCTTTTGGTGCCTCCAGGAGAAGTAGCAAATGGCATCCTTCCTAGGTAAATGAATTACAGTGGGACACAGCCCTGGGGCCACAAGACATGGAATTCTCATGAAGAAAAGTCACCTCATTGACTTTCTCCAGGGAGGAACAGCTCCCTGCTAGGGTGTACCTTGTGAGAGAACCAAGGACCAAATTTCAGTTCCCTCTTAACATTTTAGTCACATGTGTGGAGGCATAACCACTCAATTCTAGGCAGCAACCCTTGTGTTCATGACACCTATAAAAATATGCAGACATTTCTTTATATATTTGTATTTATATACACTTACCTATTTATGTATTTATGTATATATACTGCTGATAGTTACAACCAAATTATTTTAGGCGATCTTCAAAGAAAGCAAGAGATTATACCTTAACTATGAAATCAATCACATGATTTAGCACTTAAGGTATAAAAACATGTTCAGAATCCAAAGGGGAATGATTTAGTAAAATACAGACCACAGATTTGAATCCAGATTACAGAGTGATCTGACAACTCCTAATCTGATCATATATCTTAATTTAGTATCAAATAAGAACTCAAGTGAGCTTGATATTCTTATATTTAAGTTATTTAATTTCTGAGTAAGCATTATGTTCAGTGGTCTTTAAGAAGATTATATGGATAATAGTGGATAATATATCTTCCCTCCTCAATCTTTGCATACCTATTGATACTTCCTTTTGCCTTTACATATAAAAGACAATCACTATAGGTTAAATCATCCCCATTCTCTCCCCCAAATTTAACTTTTTCCAAATATTCTGTTTTATTTATTATTATGCAAGTCACATTGCAGAAGAGCAGTCTAAGGTCCACCGGATTTGTTTGTTACGTCGTAGACAATAATAATCTAACTCAATAAAGGCTTAATTTTTTTCTTAATCTTTCCTAAAAACTTTTAGTGGTATAGGTTTAGAGATGTATCTCTTTCCTTAGATTTTTACATTAGTTATGGGAAGTCTTTTAAGTTTGCATCCTCAGATATTTTATTTGGTTCAGTAAAGATTTTTTTATTATATTCTTAAATATTGTTTTTATTTTAATTCAGAAATACCTTTACTTTTTAGAATATGTCTTTGTTCTCTGTTATTCTGCTATTATGATCTCTATCATGATAATCTCTTTATTCTTTTCCCTTATATTCTTGGATAACTTCACTTTTGTTTTATACTGATTGTATTTCCAACAATGCCATTCTACTATGCATAAGTTTTAATTCTGCTATTACATTATTTCTTTGTAACACTTCTTCCTTTGCTAACCATCTCATTTTTTACCTCATTTTGTTCCACTTTTTACAAAAATATCTCCTTTCCTTCAAATACACTATTGAAGCAGGACATTACTATTGTTGTTTTTCTAGCTCCTGTGTGAATTCTAAAAATCAGTCCTTTTCAGTGTTACTCTTCGAAATAATTAAAATGCTATTCCCATTCTCTTATTTTGCAGATCTGTTGTTGTGTTTGCTGTCACTTGTTGCTCTTTTTATAGACTCAACTTGTTTATTTGTTTGGAATTTTATCCCTATGTAATTGCCTGTATGCTTTTTAAAAACTCTACCCAAACTTAACATTTGCCAGCAGACAGGATAGACAATGCCTGTGTTCAATATCCGTTTAGGTGCTTGTGGAACATCCTTTCTCTGATTTAAAGTCAGAAGACAAATTTACGAGCCCAGGTTGTTTTTTGATTTTCAGTGTTTAGCAGGCATTCATCTATACATTCTACCATGCTAAGCATAATTTTCTCCATGCCAATTTTTTCGATCTCTAAAACCTTTAAATTATGAAGTACATGAAAACTCAAATCCTCAGCATACAGTGCTACCAAGATTTTTATTATTTCATCCCCTACCTAGAGCACCATATCTGATGTGGTTACAGCTGCCAAGATGCTTAAGGAGTTACCAGTCTTCCCTACTTCCCACCCTGTTTATTTGCTGAAATTAATTTCCAAATGGATGTTAGAAATTTGGAGTCATGAAACAGAGAACAATGCCCTGGTTACCTTAAAAAGCAGCATCTTCTCCACTGGCAGCCGTTTGCTCACCTTTTTGCTTGATCCGAGCCTGGTCTAAGAATCTAGAAACTAATATTGAGAAAGAGAAAGGATATTTCTGGCTTCTATTAGGTAAATGGGTTGTTCTCTTTATTAGGCAAAGCCCAGGCAGCCATCAGTTGTTTTTCTCTATCCAGTTTTATTGCCCTTATGGTTAGTGGAAATGGAGTGAAGCAATCAATTGCCTGTCAGCTTTCACTTTTTCGATGGTTGTGAGTGTTGATCTTTTCTAAAAATTGGCATTTTATTCCTCTGCTTGTTCCTAATCACCAGTCTTATCATTGCTCAAGCTAAGCCTGCATCAAAAGCCTCAGTTAAGTGTCCTTGCTGTTTCCAAGCCTTGCTGATGTTGTCTGAGATTTTTCTAAGGTCAAATGATAATCTACTAACCAGAATCCCCCACAACAGAAAGCTAGGATTGTCAGCAGTTTCATAAATAAATGAGTCACCAGAGCTTATTTCTAACCCTTTTTATACCTGGAATTCACTTAAATATTGCCATATAAGGCTACAATAAATGTAGATAATTAGCGTAGAAGGATACTGTGCACAGGCACATGGCCTCATGAACACATACACACACTCTCTGTGTGAACACACACATCTTGTCATGTATGAACACAAGCCAGTCCTTACACGTGAGCGTGTACATGGTCTCACAAATGAGCATATCGATAGCCTCATGCATGAACACACAGGAATAAAATGGTTCAGTACAATTATACCACAACTGAAAAAACAACATAAATCCCATCAAAGGCAAATACAAGGTGTAAAATATAACTGAGAGGAAAAACAAAGAAATGACAAGAAATGGATATGTGTGGTGCGGAAAGTAATGATCCAATCATTTTTACACATATCGTTTGTTAACTTCATAATAATCTGACAAGGAAGGTACCAGGAATCAAATGAATTCAATTAATTATCTATTCATGAAATGTATCAGTTACCTACTATGTGCTAGGCACTAGCACTGACACTGAGGCTCAGTAAGGCAATTACTGGTAAACTATTCAGTGATATTGGTGAGTGCCAAATTCAAGCCTAACGATATTGCCCGTGTGTTCTCCACTACCCCACACTAAAGTACAGGATTGATTTATTCTTATTTTTTCCTAGAACACTATTTTTGCAGAAGCTTTTGTATAGCTAATTTAAATAGAAATATAATATTTCTTTACATAGTGAAACTCTGAGTTAGTTCATGATGCAAAGTTTCCATATAGTTTTTCCATATCAGAAATTTTGAGTAAAATGTATGTTTAAAACACTAGCTTGGTAAAGTGATAATAGTGGCAAGGTTTCTGAATATGTCTGAGTCCCACCACTCTGCATAATAACTGACAGAACAGCTAGAATAATAAGACCAAAAGCCCAAACACTACTTCCAGAAAAATGTAGCTGCAAGGCATCCTCCAAACCTAAAAACACAAACTGGGAGCTACAAGCTACCAGTACAACAAGATCCATGTGGCCTCGCAACTGTAAAAGAAGAAACAGAAAACAAGAGGATTTCAGATGGCCATGAGACCCAGAAAACCAACAGTGCTAACTAGAATGCTCAATAGGCCACGCTGAGTACAGCAGCCAAAAATGGGTGGGAAGTTTATGGGCTCCAATTTGCTGGGTAATGGAATAGAACCACAATAAGGTCAAATGGTGGTGGAGCAGTGTGGGCCTTTTAAACTCTGGAAACTAATCAGCTAAAACTTCCTTTCAGGGCAAAGGTTAACACTGAGGAGAAACTGCTGGAAGTAGAATCCAAATTAAGTAAGAGAAGAAACAGAGACCAGATCCAGGTGAAAGTGGGCCTCCACATTTTGGAAAGTACAGGGTCATTCATATATATATATATATATATGTTTTTTGTTTCTTGTTTTTTTTTTTTGAGACTGAGTCTCACTCTGTCACCCAGGCTGGAGTGCAGTGGCATGATCTCTGCTTACTGCAACCTCTGCCTCCCAGGGTCAAGTAATTCTCCCACCTCAGCCTCCTGAGTAGCTGGGATTACAGGCGCGTGCCACCACACCCAGCTAATTTTTGTATTTTTAGTAGAGACGGGGTCTCACCATGTTGGTCAGGCTGACCTCGAACTCCTGACCTCGTGATCTGCCTGCCTCGGCCTCCCAAAGTGCTGGGATTACAGGCATAAGCCACCGTGCCCAGCCCAGGGCCATATTTTTAACACTGTGAAAATAACAGGAGAAGGAATTCTGAAGCTGTCAGGTGAAGAAAATGATTCTGATCCACGTCTCCTTATAAGAATAGAGAAAAAATAATCACCCTGAAACACGGATAACAGAAAAGGATTATAATAAAACAGTATTCAAAATCTATGTTTCAGAAAAATAGAATAAGATACACAAAAAGATCCTATAAACAAATAAATAAACCTCAGAAAATTTGCCTGAAAATATGAAAATTATAATCTAATACTTAAAAATAAACTATAATAAATTAAGAAAACAATGAAATATTGACAAAAATATGATGCAGAAAAACTTAGAATTTATGTTATTAGAGAAAAGAAAGACTTGAAAAGATAGCTGGGAAAATATAGGAAAGATTTAGAAATAAAAGGAAAAGATTTCCAGATCTAAAGAATGAACTAGAAGAAACACAAGAATGAACTTGAGATAATATACTAAGAGAAATAAGATAAATGGAAAAATTATGAAAGTTAAAATAAATGAAGATATATACAAGATACAAGAGACAGTGACAGACACAGAATAAGTAAAAGTAAAATCATATATATATATATATATATATGTATATATATATATAGGAAGGAAAACAGCAAAATGCAGTAGAACAAATACAAAAAATTTTAATCCTACAAACTTGGAAATAAACAAAAACCTAACTTGAAAAGAAAATTATTGCTTGAAACTGCAACCAGAATGAACAACACAGAGACATATACTAATAATATGATGAAACGTAAAGAAAAATAAAACGAAATCCACTGGGTGCCAGGCAAAAAGACCAAGTCACTAATAAGGGCAACAGCAGATTGTCAGCTATTTTTTCCCAGCAACATTTCATGATGGAAGACAATATAGCAAAGTATTTGAGAAACTCAGGAAGAAAATGTGAGCTAATGATTTTATATGTAGCACAAATGACATCAAGTATAAAAGCCATAACAAAACATCATGAAAATTTAAGAATTCAGAGAATATTGTGCCCATAAACCCTTCTTCAGGCATTTAACAAGAATGGGATTCTGACAAACAAAATGACTAGAATGACAATGATGTTAGGACCAGTGATGAACACTGGATAAATATTTACCTGAAAAACTAAAGCAAAATGGCAATTATAATAGAGAAATTATAGTATGTCATGGCTATATATTCTTACCGTTATCATCAAATGTAGGCCAGGCACTTTGGCTTACGCCTGTAATCCCAACATTTTGGAAGGCCAAGGTGGGAGGACTACATGAGGCCAGGAGTTTGAAACCAGGGCAACATAAACAAAACGCTGTCTCTTCTAAAAATAAAAATAGGGCCCGGCGCGGTGGCTCACGCCTGTAATCCCGGCACGTTGGGAGGCCAAGGCGGGTGGATCACAAGGTCAGAAGATTGAGACCATCCTGGCTAACATGGCGAAACCTCGTCTCTACTGGAAATACAAAAACTTAGCCAGGCATGGTGGTGGGCACCTGTATTCCCAGCTACTCAGGAGGCTGAGGCAGGAGAATGGCCTGAACCTGGGAGGCAGAGCTTGCAGTGAGCCGAGATCGCGCCACTGCACTCCAGCCTGGGGGACAGAGCGAGACTCCATCTCAGAAATAAATAAATAAATAAAAATGAAAATAAAAATAATTTACGTGGGCATGGTAGCACATACCTGTGGTTCCAACTACCTGGGATGCCAAGGTGAGAGGACTGCTTGAGCCCAGGAGTTTGAGTTTACAGTGAGTTATGATCACGCCACTGCACTCCAGTCTGGGTGATAGAGAGAGACCCTGTCTCTAAAAAAATAATAAAAGTAAAGACTGAAGTATATGAAATTAATGATTAATCAAAATTAATTTTCAAAATTAATGATTGTCTTATGTTTATTAACCAAAAAATTAATGCTTTACATTAAATGTTAGGAAAGAATGGGGAGGGAGGAAATAGGCTATTTGCTACTTTTAATATTGCTTGTGATAGGACACTAAAAGACAACATTCAGAAAGAAAAGGACTACAGTTATTGTATAAGAATATTAGTATAAAATAAACGTTAGAACAAAAATACCAACTTTCCTAAATACCAAATAAAATACTTATGGAGAGATCAATAAAATATTTTCAAAGTGATTATCTATACAGTAGATAAGGAATAGGGCCAAGAGGACAAGACTTTTCTGAACATACCTTGTTTATATATTTGACTTTGGAACAATGAAAATATTGTAAATAACTTTAATATTTTTTAAAAGGAAGTTATAAAAGTTTAAAGCAACACAAAACAAATTAACCCAACTATGTATTGAGTTTGTAGCATAACTTACCCTATGTGTTATTTGTTTTCATATTGCTATGAAGAAATATCTGAGAATGGGTAATTTATAAAGAAAGGGTTTTAATTGATTCACAGTTCTGCATGGCTGGGGAAGCTTCAAGAAAATTACAATCATGGTGGAAGAGGAAGCAAACACCTCCTTCTTCAAATGGCAGCAGGAGAGAGAAGTGCAGAGCAAAAGGGGCGAAAACCCCTTATAAAACCATGAGATCTCATGAGAACTCACTATCACAACAACAGCGTGGGGGAACTGCCTCCATAAATCGAATCACCTCCCACAAGGTCCCTCCCCAACGCTTTGGGATTACAATTCAGATTAAAATTCAAGATGAGATTTGGGTGGGGACACAGACCCAGACCATATCAGCCTGTGAAAATTATTTTAATTGACTTTGAAACACCACAACTCTACTATATATGCTAGGTGAGATGTAAACTAAGTACAAACATAACTGCAAACTTTTTTAAACTTTAGTCATCGTATTTTTGATGGCAGTGTTTATGTTTTACTCTGTGTCCATTATGTGTATATCATGAAATAAAGCAAATGAATGATTATACTGGTTTCTTTGTGAACTGAGATTTTCAGCATAAGACAAAGGAAACACATATCAGATCAATGCAGTTAAGTAAAAAAAACCTTATAGCACTAAAAGTGAGTAGAATATGTCAATATCAACTTATGATATAATTTAGTAACCAAAAAACCTCGGTTCACTGAAAAACCCTGAAATGATGACCAACCTAATAGCAATAAGTAGCTTATATCACAATAAGCAAATAACAACTCCTACCACCCAGGTTGTTACTTTTAATACTATTTCCAATAATTCTGCAGCAATGACTGATTCCAGATCTTTGACATAAAATAGGCTGACACTTCTTGCCATGTAGAAAATTAGAAAGCTACTGAAGAATATTTCAGATGGGTTAAAGGGTCATAAAAGCCAACTTAAAGAGGCTTCTGCTGGCCAAAGATGGGACTCTTGAATATCAATAAGTTTAATTGCATCTATGGATGAACACATTAAATATATTTAAAATGTGGTAGATAACAACTAAAAAATTCACTGGTCATATTTGAAGTATAATGGGAACCAATTTGTTATTTTGAAAATTGCAAATATAGAGAAAAAATAAAGCAAATTGTATCTGTATACAAACTGTATATACCTCAGGATATCTAAACAGTTGATGAAGAGATGTATTTCTTTATAGAAGTATCTCAGCGAATAAATTAAGTAGGAGTGATAGAATTTTAATATTTCAACATCATAATTATGTAATACATCTATAATAAATAATAGTCAATAATAAAAAAGTCAGCCAGGTATTTCATGCTTCTTGACAGATGTACAACATATTACCTGAAATATTCTTGTCAAAAAATTAAATCTGATCAAATCTCTAGATCTTACTGCCAATTTATAGGCAATAGGACAATGGAATGTGTTAATTGATATAAGATGCAATTAGCAAAATCCAGACTATGGAAAACTGTGCAAGATAAATCAGCTGATTTGTTCAGCAAAGAGACTATTTAAAAAAAATTGAAGATGGAGAGGATACCTATATGGCAAAAGAGACTTCAAAGTTTTATCGACCAACTATAATGTATAAGCCTTACATGAATACTGATTTAAACTAATAATCTTTTTTAAAATACTGACATAGTCAGAGATTTTCAACCTTATTGGATATACAATGCTCTTGGAAAATTATTATTAACTTTTAGGTATAATAATAAGTCTCTGCTCCTGTGTCTTAAATAACCCCTATCTTATTAAGGTATATATTAAAGTATATGTAGATAAAATCATAAAACATTAAAATATTCTGGGTGGGGACAAAGGAGAGTGAGTAGGGTAGACATAAAACAAGATTGAGCATGACGATAAATGATGAAATTGAGTGATGCATAGAGATTTATCATCTTATCCATTACAGTTTTATATATATATACGTATATATACGTATATATGTATATACATGTATATATGTATATATGTATGTATGTATAAGTATGTATATATGTATGTATATATGTATGTATATATATATGTATATATGTATGTATATGTGTGTATCACAATAGCAAAGACTTGGAACCAACCCAAATGTCCAACAATGATAGACTGGATTAAGAAAATGTGGCACATATACACCATGGAATACTATGCAGCCATAAAAAATGATGAGTTCATGTCCTTTGTAGGGACATGGGTGAAATTGGAAATCATCATTCTCAGTAAACTATCTCAAGAACAAAAAACCAAACACCGCATATTCTCACTCATAGGTGGGAATTGAACAATGAGATCACATGGATACAGGAAGGGGAATATCACACTCTGGGGACTGTTGTGGGGTGGGGGGAAGGGGGAGGGATAGCATTGGGAGATATACCTAATGCTAGATGATGAGTTAGTGGGTGCAGTGCACCAGCATGGCACATGTATACATATGTAACTAACCTGCACAATGTGCACATGTATCCTAAAACTTAAAGTATAATTAAAAAAAAAAAAGTATGTATATATATGTATATATATGAGATTTTGCATAAGTATCTTTTCAGTTAGAAAAGAAAATAAAAAATAATACCTAGTTTTGGAGGGGAGTATGAATCTCCATATTAAACTAAAATGAATGTTTTATTTTTCAACTGATATTTCAGTGTTTGAGTAAAAATATTATGAAGCTTTAAAATGTTTGAAAAGAACAGCCTTAGGTTTAATTATAGAAAATTTAAAATGGAAATTCTTACATCTGTAACTGGTCATTAACCTATTTTGTTTTGTTTAGGGATTTTTCTTCTGGTCATTTAAAATGAAACACTTTCTTTAAGACATACATACAGAAATATAGCTAACTAGAAAGCTCATGGCTTATAATTTTAACAAACATCTTTTACCCAGAGAAGCAAATTTCTTAAGTATTATATATTTTCTCTTCAAAAGCTTGAACAGCCTCAAATAAGACACATCATTGAGATGAAAATTGATTTTTTTACATATAATTGGCTTTTGCCCCCACCTCTACATTACGTTATAGGTTTTTTTTTACTTCAAAAAATAAACATAAAAACATTAAAGAATGAATTTTTAAACAAGACTCGACTTCAACATCTCTGAATTGGAATTGAAATACATCAGATATATGGTAACAAATTAAATTAATTTAAAAGCAAGAAAAATAATCATAAACTCAGAAGGCTCTATATTTTATGCATTCCTGGAAGACTTAACCCACAATTACTAAAAATTGAATAAACGTTCATTTATGAGTTTATTACACTGTATTGAGGAGTCATTAACTTAGCTCGGTACAGCAATGTGTTATGATATGACTGAAGCTGTGATCACAGTGCTTGATGGAAATAAAAGTATCATTATACTCTCCAGGAGCTATTTATTGCTAATGTAAACAAGAATAAGAATACGCATGCAATAGAGAAGACAGTAAATGATAGGCAACTATCTAATTTAACTATAACATTTTTCTGAGAGAATGCTGACTCAGAATTCAAGAAACAACTCGTAAAAAAAGAGCAAAAGTTTTCAGCCATTTCACATATAACCAAATATGAGGGGGAAAGATTAGTCGTAAATATGGACTGATTATATGGATAATCTCCAGTCTCCTCTCTAACCCAATGACTACATAGCTCAGAGAATCCAAGTCATGCTGTCTTGTCAAGTTTCTCTTGTGACGGAAGCTTTTAGAAGACCTAAAAGTGTTGAATGTCAATTCTATAATAATTTAATACAGCATGGGTTCTCCCTTGGTAGAATATAAAAACTAAAAACATACCACTTTAGATCCAATCTCAAATTTACCTTTTAGGGAAGACTGTGTGTGTAGTACGTATTGTGACGTGCCACCCAGATCCCACTGCAGGAATAGGGTCTTGATCTCTCAGCTTCTGGGATTGCTCCTTTGGCAGCCAGCCCTCTTAGGGAATTGTCTTGGCTGGAGAGAGCCACCTCACCCAAGCCCATGCCCTATTCCTGGGACAACCCTCATCCAATGATTGATCAACATGAGGACATAAAAGCCTGGGGCCACATTGCCCTAACTCAGGACAACTCTGAAAGACCCATCCCACTTTAGAGCTCCCTTTGGGCTGGCTGAGACCTCCAATGAGGCCTCATGATAGCCCAACTTCTACCTCTGACCAATCTTGCTTTCTTTTCATCCCTCCCTGTATCAAGTATGGCCCCAAGAGAATTTCCTGATAAACTTCCTGTACCCCAATCTCTGAATCACAGTCTGCTTCTCAGGAATCTGTGATGGTTGGCATCAAAAACTTGAGCGGGGAGAGGACAAAACGTAGACAAGACAAAACAACATTCTATAAGTCTAAGTGGTTACTGAGTTGAGATATGTCCAAGGTGTCGTTTATACAGCATTGCAGCTTTGAAGGCCAAAGATGTGACTAGATAAATTTTATTCAGAATGGAAGTCAAGAAAGTAAATCAGTTTCATAGTTGAGTAGCTCCACCATGCTATACAGTTTCTTTGTCACTGGTCATACAAATATAAAGACAGAACTCCTATTCTCAAAGAGGTATAGTTCAACCTAATGTATGACCATGTATTAAGATCAATATATTATGATACTGTTTAGATTGGGAAACTTTTAAGGAAGTTTGGTCACTCAACATAAAATATTGAATTTGCAAAATACCACCGGCTAATCTAATTGTGTTGGCAGAAGATTAAAGGTGTTTTTTTTCTATTTTCTAGGTCCCCACTTGAATCACTATAATTATTGAAAATAGCAGCTGATACGTACCAATATAAAACTGAAGACTTGCTATGACCCAGGAACTCTGGGAAGCATGTTATGTAATTGCATCTGCCTTCCTTGCTGGACTCTAAGCTCCTTGAGGACAAAGATGTATCCATTGTGCCACTTCTACATTCTCCAAGCCTAGCAGAGAACCAAGAACTAAGGGCTCAAAAACATGTGTTGAATTAATTAAGAATATCACAGCAAATCCTCTGAAAAACTCAGAGATAAGTGACATCATCATCCTTATTTTATAGATGACAAACCTGAAATTTGGGTCAAGAACACAGAGCCTGTGGGTGACAAACAGCAATCCAAACCAACAATCAGATTCCCAAACTTGAAAACTCATCTACTCTGCCTCACTGATCAGTTTGTTTGCCCAGTTTCACCATAAAAGAGTAGGTAAGATGGGGAGTGAGGAGAGAGACACAAGGAAAAACATCTCTTGCTTGAGACACCCTCTTCTTTCTTACTCACTTGCCACACATTCTTTAAGGCTTATTTCCAGCCCAAAATTCTCCAAGAAATCTTTTTGGACCATACAGCTCTTTTTGTTTCTTCTGAATACCAGCAGCCCTTAATATCCATTGAAAAGAATTAAAAAACTACCCCAGCTCTCCTGCATAGCTCATTCTTGTTAAGTGTATGGAGTCCTCTGAATTTCCCAAAAGCATGATAAGGTCCTAAGGGCAAGGTACCCAATTATTTTCCCTGTTTGCGGAACAGCACACAGCACAAAAATGAACACATGGTTTAGGTTCTTTGTAACTACCTAAGGTCAGATCAGCTAGAGTGACTAGTTAATGATATACATAATATCAGTATCAGACCAGGAATATCCTTCCTCCTCTCATTTGTAAAATTCTCTCAAATATCACCCATTAAAACTGTGGACTTCTTCATCCTTTTTGTGTTCATTTATCTAAAGTGCTAGACAAGCCAGGAGAATGCCCTGGCCAAAGAAAATTAAAGGAAGAAAAGGTTATGAGCTTTTTGCTTCCTCCCATGCACACTTTGCTTAATTCAGGGAGCATTTGGTTTTTATTCCATGAGAGACCAAGGACTCCCACTTCAAAAACAACACAATGATTATGGCCAGCAAAATTCCTATAAAAGAGAACATAAAGAAACTTCAGAGACATTTAATTGATCTACAGTAAGAATGGGCCAGGATTTTTACACTCTGGAAGTATTAGGTAGAACTGTAGTTAAAATTATTTATTTTATTACAAGAATAGTACAAGGCTGTCTTTATGCCAGAGTAATTATCCAGTTAATTGCCCTAGAATGAGTATAACCCAGTTTCCAGATACATAACACACATTTTGCCAAATGTGACTTGACTTATGCCAGCAGCCTGCAACAGTTTTAATCTCAAAAGTTGCCAGGGAACTTAAAGGACACCCACGGGAGCCTGGGGCAAGCCCAAGACTGCACAGCAGGAAGCACATGGAAGGGGAAGGAAGAAAAGGAATGACTATCAGCTGCTGGGACCAAGGAGTCCAGGAAAGTAGAACAAGGAAGGGATGTGAGCAGAGGAAAACAAGTAGAAGAAAGGAAAAAATAAGTAAATGTGGTGAAGAACAATGGCCTTCTTTTTGGCATTAACGGAATAAAATATGTTTTGGGCATCATAGATGTTACTGCTCTTTTTTGAGAATTAAATGAAGTATATAATGAGCTAGGCAAAGTGCCAAACATATAGTAATAATTTTAGGATGTTAGGTGTTTTTTGTCCCCCAAAGGGATGTTTGTTTGTGGGGGTTTTTTGTTTTGTTTTGTTTTTTGTTTATTTTTTGAGATGGAGTCTGGCTCTTATCGCCAAGGGTGGAGTGCAATGGCGCTATCTCGGCTCACTGCAACCTCCCTCTCCCAGGTTCAAGCAATTCTCCTGCCTCAGCCTCCCAAGTAGCTGGGATTACAGGTGCACACCACCACACCCAGCTAATTTTTGTATTTTTAGTAGAGACAGGGTTTCACCATGTTGGGCAGGCTAATCTCAAACTCCTGCCCTCAGGTGATCCTCCTGCCTTGGCCTCCCAAAGGTGTGTTTTTTATAAGTACACAATTTGGCCAATTAGGCAAACAATACTGACAATGTTTCTTTAATTACTGGGAAAGTCTTGACTTAGTCTGTTTCCAGAAAAAGGCTTGTATTAGTAGATATATAAAATACTCCATCTGCTATCGTAAGTCATGCTGGCACTTCATGTATGGGAATTAGTTTTTAGTCCTGTACCAAATGAATTTGGAAATCAAGGTTACCCATGCAAAGTCCCTTGATTTATATAAGATTATACATCCCTAATTCCAACTAGACTCTTGTTTACCTTATAGCCATTTCCTGCCTCTAAGTTGCAATAGTACATACAAAATAAATGGAAAAATAAGTTCTCAAACTTCATCAAAATATTAAATAAATTTCCAAATTTCACTGGAATCACAAGGTTTTAGCCCTTTCATCTGAGTCCTTTTTATCAGAGTTATTACTAAGGAGTTCAATGGACTTCATTGAGTTCCTATCTATATTATTTCTCCAGTCTGAGATAAATATATCAATGAGTGCTTAAATGGCCCAAAAGTGAGCAGCAGGAGGAAAGGGAAAAAATCAGAAAGCCCCAAGCTTTATCAGCTATATAAGCAATCACTAAATAATTGAGAATTAAACTAAGACAGTTACTGATAAACATATGCTGGTGTTAAACAGGAGTTAAAATGGCACCAAAATTTGCCCATCTTGTGACTTTAAGCATAGAATTTACAAACTCAACTCACTTACCGTACAAACAGAGGAACCGTTGGTGAAGGGACATTCTGCAATACCACCACAGGTCCTTAGTGACTGAACCAGTACTAGCAATGGTCTCCTAACTTGCAGGGTTGAATTCTCCCTTCCATTCGACCACAGCTATCTCAGAGATCTTGAGGCAGGAGAATAAGGTCTGGAGGCAGGGAATTGAGAGCCAATTCCCGCTAATTTCCTAAAGCTGGATCATAAAAACGAAAATACCGGGGTCTGGGGGCAGGTAGCCTAAGGCTAATTTGTGCTAACGTCCTAAAGCTGGATCAAGAAACACCTGGGTCTGGGGTCAGGGAACCTAAAGCCGATTTGTGCTAACTTCCTAAAGCTGGATCAAAAAAGAAAAAAAAAAAAACCATTTCCCTACGCCCCAGTAACAAAGGATCAAAGGCTACTCCCCTACAACACTTGCTGCCCACTATGCCCCAGATGGAAAGAGAAAGTGCCTCGGATGTGGGAGGGGAGGAGGAAGCATGGACCAGCCCTTGATGTGCATAGGGCCCCAATCCGCTCCAGCCTGTAATTGGCCATGGGCTAAATCCTTCACTCACAGGAGTAGCCAATTGAGACATCAAAAGTGGGTACTTAAATGCCAGAAAACTTTGTAACCAGGGCCCTTGAGCCACTTGATGGCGTGCTCCCACCAGGTGGAGTGTTTTCTTTCTTCAATACATCTTTACCTTTGCTATTTCATTCCTTTATTTCCATCCTTTGTTACTTTGTGTGTTTTGTTCAGTTCTTTGTTCAACGTGCCAAGAAACTGCACATCTCACACTCAAGGCCTGCCTTCCAATAACAGTCTGAAGTAATCGCTCCTAATCAATTCATTATTGATTTTTTTTAAGAATGTAAATATCTAACACAGCCTCTGGGACTTCAATGGCAGTCAATACACATTAGTTCTCTGGTGACCCTTTTCCATTCATGCCAGTGGCATCTATGATGTGTGAGAGAAGAAACTGTCCCTGGAATTGTTCTGTATCTTGAGGAAGCTCCCTGTGTCTACCCCAGAAAGCAGGAGCAAGGCTTGCCTCTTTATTATTTCACCAAAGCAGAGAACCATTCACTGGTACAGAGTTGTGTTCACTTTCCACTCAGAGAGAGAGAGACAATTAAGAAAAGGGATTTGCATGAGGGATGTCAATGATCTGTTTCTTATTGTCAGCTTCTGTACCTTTTTCTCTCTTTTTCCAGTGCTTTTTTAATGCCATATGTAGGCAAATTACAAATAAACAAAACCAAGAAGAAAAATGTAAGCTGTGGGCTGATGACATTGCTTAGCAAAAAATGAGTCTCACACACAGGCGGCTGCACTCCAGATTTCAATTTAATTCACTTTCCACAAGCAACAAGAGCAAGAATAATATGCTTCAATGTAGGGAGATCAGAGAAGAGAAGCTTCACTGCATTTTGAGACCGAGAATGACTGAATGAGGTGGCAGTGGTGGCAGCCGCTGCTCATCACAAGATGGAGAAAGGCTGGAAAATGAAATGGAAGTTGAAAGTGGTTGTTGTGAGTCAGGCTCCGACTATGGTGACCTGTCTTGCTGTGAGAATACACATGGAAACCAGCCTTCCACAGAGCCAAACATAGACATGTCTGTAATCTCTGGACACTAAGAAATAAGCTTCTTACAGACAGAATCTGGAAAGATGTCTGCCAAGAGTGGGGATGCAGGGACTAGAAAACAAAAGCAAAGCCCATCTTTCACTGGAGCATGTCTGCACAAACATTCTGCTGACTGACGATAGACATACAAGTTGTGAATACACTTAAAATGTATGAGTGTGAAAAGTGTCTACATACAATTATTATCTATTATTTACTTGTTATTTATTTATTATTTACTGAAATCCTACTTTGTCAGGCATCAGGCTAAGTGCCTTATTACATTATGTGATTCATTCTCCATAATAACCATTTGATGTAGAAGCTATCATTTTCACAATTTTTCATATGGGGAAACCAAGGCCTAGAAAAGAAAAGTTCTTCCTTGGCAAGTAACCATTTTTAAAGAGAAAAGAATTTTATCCCAGAAGAAAACATTTTATCTCTGTTCATGTGAATGAAATATACACATATATTTATATTTACATCAAAGGTGAGTAAAACTTTATGAAAAATAAAGTTAGGCTTTACAAGCAGTTTGGCAGGATTCATTTAGATGCTTTCAGTAAAGTTTATGTGCTATATCAATTTCTGTACCTAGAAAAGGAACAAAATGTTTTTGTTATTTTCCTTCCATTGATTAAAACAAAATAACAAACAAAAAACACAACTGAACCTAGACTGTTCATCTGCTGGGACCTAATCTGAGCTTGAAAAAAAAAATTTCAGAAAAATCAACTTATTCCACCACATCATTTGTGCCAACTACAGTGTTAGGATTATCCCTGGAAATTTCAAGGAGAAAAGTATGCTCCTCCCTCAGGTACCATTTGCAGAAGTCACTCATCTATCGATTCCTGATGTTGCTGGTTTTAGCAAGATAAGACTCCTAATCCATACACTGAATGTTACTCTGCCAGAGATGAAATAGCTTTAATGCCAACAAAGATTACTGTGATGTTAGACTGGAGAAGATTGTGTTGTTGGAACTACAGCATCCCCAGGAATACTTGCCATCTTGTGTAAATGCTATATTGAAGCCAAACATTGACTCTGCCTCTCATTCTATTCAGAAATCTAAGGGCATAGCAATCATATTTGTGTGCTTAACTCTGGTAAAAGGACTTTGTTCCCATTATAAACTACGGTGATTTTCTTTCAACTAGCCTTTCCCTAATTTAAATAATGTATTTAGTTGTTCCTAAGATGCTATCAATTGTAAAATGCATGATCCATCAGCTTTTTTCAATATAGCTTTGCAGAAGAAGAAATGCTACATTAAATATACAAATCCATATAAGAAGTACACTAGTGTCAGAAAACATTTTAATGTATAAAATATGCATTGTAGAATTGTGTATTGTGTATATATCTGTATCTATCTACATATATATATAAATAATGTCACAGATATATATAAACCTACATTTATATATACATAAATATATGAAAACATATAATATAAACAAGCAGCAGGAAAAGGAACATCATGGAAATCTTATATTTATGCCAATGTAAACACACATTCCAGTTAAATTTACTCATTTGACATCACATAGAGACCATGGCATCTGCAGAATTGAAGTGTAACCTGTACTCTGCCTTAAGTAGAAAGAAGATGGAAAGCCATCTGCTCACAATACTCGTTACTGTTACTAATTATTAAGAGAATATTATTTTGTTTGTTTTTACAAAAAAAGTGACAACACTGGGATCAGAATTTTTTTTCCTTGTATATCATGTACTGAGACCTCAGAACAAGCAATGCTAGGGCAGATTCAGAATGTTTTAGGTAAGTCAAGACACAGGAAAGAGCTCCCCTCAGTGCTTAGCAGGAAATATCTAGTGTAGACAGCAAGGCACCAACAGAATGGGCACACCCAGCCAGGCAAGATGTGGAAGCATATACCCTTTAGCATACAGCAGAAGGAGCTGGGACCTAATCACACCAGGGAAATATTTGCTTGCAGTGACCTTCCTCACATTGCATTCCATGTGTCCTCTTTGCCAGTTGCTCTGAGGTGTATCTTCGGGCCTCCTCAAAGTTATAGGAGGTTGTATGAGTCTGTTTTCAAACCCTTATAGACAACTGCCTGAGACTAGGTAATTTATAAGGAAAAGAGGTTTAATTTTTTCACAGTTCAGCATTGCTAGGGAGGCCTCAGGAAACTTACAATAATGGTAGATGGTGAAGAGGAAGCAAAGTACCTACTTTACAAGGCGGCAGGAATGAGAAGTGCTGAGTGAAGGGGAAAGAACCCCTTATAAAACCATCAGATCTCATGAGAACTCACTATCATGAGAATAGCATGGGAGAAACCACTCCCTATGATTCAATTACCTTTACCTGGTCGCTCTTGACATGTGGGAATTATGGGGATTATGAGGATTACAATCCAAGATGAGATTTGGGTGGGAACACAAAGCCTAACCATATCAGATGTCAAATATAATTTATGCAATATACAAAGATAAGTAAGACACCCATTACTGCCAAAAGAAGTTTACATTATGTCTGTGTGGATAAAGCAGATATAAAATCAAGATGATCCATGAAAAGGAAAACTAGAGTCTAAGGCAGTTCACGTTAGGAAAGTATTACAATCTGTGGGAAAGATCAGGCATCTCTTCTTTCTTGGGATGAAACTTGAAGATCATGAAATAATGTGGAAGGAGAGCATTAGAGGCAAAAAGAGCAGCCTAAATGTTATACCATAGGAGAGAACCACACAGAGCATGTCCTGGGAATGGTGCTTAGAAACATGCACACAAACAGTGGGACAGTAGAGCTATTCATAAGTGACTTTCAACACACCTTGGTGGTCAAGAACACAGACCATATTTTAGTGGTTAGCAAGTCAAGACTATCCTTACTACCAACTTCTTGATGGCAATTAACTGTCCCAAAGAGTCAAAGTATTGAACCAAGTGAAGATCAGAAAATATTTACTAGCCCAGGCATGGTGGCTCATGCCTGTAATCCCAACACTTTGGAAGGCCAAGGCAGGTGGATCACTTGAGCTGAGGAGTTCAAGACCAGCCTGGGCAACATGGCGAAACCCCATCTCTACAAAATAAATACAAAAAAATTAACTGGAGGTGGTGGTGTGTGCCTGTGATCCCAGCTACTTGGGAGGCTGAGGCAGGAGAATCACCTGAGCCTGGGAGGCGGAGGTTGCAGCGAGCCAAGATTGTGCCATTGCACTTCAGCTTGGGTAACAGGAGTGAAGCCCTATCTCAAAAAAAAAAAAAAAAAAAAAAGAAAAGAAAAAAAAAAGAAAAAAGAAAAGAATTTATATTTATTTGCTAGAGAGCTACCTTTCTTTTGAAGAATTCTGGCCAGAATCAGCAGTCTTACTTGATTTTATTATTGAATCTTTCCTCTCTAAAAAAACAGCATCTGATGCCGTAGGTAAAAATTGCTATACTTGGCATTCATACATTCAGGACAACCTGTAGAAGAAAAACTGTAGGGAATTAGGAAAAGCCACTTCCTTTATAGTAAAAAAGGGGAAAAGTATCCTTTTAAAATGTTTTAAAGGAAAAGTACCCTTTTAAATTTTTTAAAGAAAAATTATCAAATTCAATAATGGAATTTATCTGACAGCTAAACAGGTAAAATATGAAGAAAACTGGAGACTTAAGTCAGAGGTTCTTTAATTGAGCCTAATTGAGTCTGTTTTCTTTTTCTTTTTCTTTTTCTTTACTAATCCCATCTCTCCTTTTAAATGAATTTAGTCAATGGAGCATAAACACAAAGAGGGATATTATTCATTCATTTAATGAATTGCTAAGTATAATCACCTTCTGCAGAAAGTCCTTTAAGTTAGATTTATGTTCCAATGGGGTCCTTATAGTTGTCAATGCCCCCTGTACAGAAAGGTAGGTTGATCTTTGAAGTGAAGAGGGCAGTAATGTGGGAGTCAGGGAAATCTGGGTCTTAAATTCCAACAATGACACTCATTGTGTTTTAGCAGGTAACTTTATTTCTCTAAGTCTTAGGCCCCTCATCTGTAAAATAGAAATAATAAAATCTCTTTCATAGCATCATTTGAGGAGTAAATGAGGATGTTGATAAGTGTACCCTAGAGCACCTAAAACATTGCTTGGCTTGTGAAAGGAGATATTTGCTGAAAAACAACTCATAATACAGTGTCAGGAGACAATTTTCCATGGGTGTTGTGCATTTCTGCATGTCTTCCACACAGAGGCACTAATTGCCCTTCTGTCATGACCACCTTGCAAGGATATTTATATACTGAACAGCTTGGAAGATAGAGATGGTGTCTTCCTGCAGAGCAAAGGGCAGGTTTGCCTATCATCCAGTATCATAAACAGAATGTCTCCCTCTGGGACAAAGTTTGGGCAGATTATCTTGAGACCATCATGAAAGATTTGGGCTCCCTAAGCTCAACATACCTCTCCTGACGCACAGCCTATCAGTGTGCAGGCATCCCCAGGTCATTCTTATATCATCCTGTGGGAACTGGGCCGTAGGAAGTGGCAAAAGAAAATGATGATACTCTGGCAACTGCTATTCCTGTGAGCATTACTATATGATCTATCATATAACCTTGCCTTTTATATCTGATCTAGGAGTCTTATGCATTTTGCCAGCTTGTGTGAAACTGTCTTGCAGGAAGGATGAAATCTAAGACTATAAAGAGTTTTTAACACGAAAGACTCAAAACCTAATCTAGCTCCAAAATATTTCCCCATAGATTCACCCTGTGGACAGTAATTACTACCACCATATCCAATATTTTGATTTAGAAAAGTTCCCATAAATTTGTACATGTATTAGCTCTAAGAGCTACCGCAGTGAGTCATTAATGCTTAATTGCTAATTGGCTCATTGTTTAGTTTGTGAAACACTTAGCAAATTCCAGATGTAATAGAAAATAGGAGGGTAAATTTGAATAGACGTTCTAGAACTGATAGGCCAGAGAGATTTCATCCCGGAAAATAGCACTTCTTTCTGGTGCACTTCTGGGGAGCAGAAGAAGGGAAATGGAGGAAGAGATACATTTCTACTTTTCCTCAAGCTTCATTGTATCCCGCAGAAATAAAATATAAAATCGATTTTAAATTTTAAATATAGAATCATATAAAAACGGTAGTTTTTTTCAGTACTTTCATTCATAAGTTTTACTTGGCATTTGTTAAATGTGTCGTAGTAATTTGTATTATCCCTTACTCCCCTACAACAGTGTGCAAACTCCAGCAGCAGGAAATATAACATACCGATTTTGCCTACCCAACCCTTGGTGACCCATACTCCCAGCTTCTTCCGAGTCTATCCCAGAACTCTGCAAATACATTAAATGTACTCAGTAAATACTGTGTGAGTTGTATTCTCCTCTGTTCAAAGAAAATACACAAAATTATGAATTTATACTGTGGCTGTCAAACAACTCGAGGAAATCAGAATCTCATAAGCAGCATGAAAAATGAGCCAAATAATTTCAGGCTATGTGGAACATTTAAAAATCTTATGTGTAGTATTCACAATGTTAAATGAATTTATTCAACAAGCATTTTATTAATGGCTATTTAGCACTTTTAAACTACCTTCCATTAATCACTTTCTAAGCCAGTCCCTGTGAAGAAAAACATGACTGTTTCATTTCAATTATTGCTTTATTTAGGTGGCAATTATTTAGTTTCTTTTTTTGGCTTAACCATGTGATAGGTTGAGAAGAAGGTTGAGAAGAAGAATTTTTTTAAAAAACCATGCTAATTCTCTTATTACAGAGGAATTTAAGAGTCAACACACAACATCCAAACTTACACATAGTGAGATTAGATGGTGGCTGTTCAAATAAATAAGATAATGTGTACAATGGTTTTAGCATGTGGAAGGGACTCTATAACTAGTAGCAATTACTATTTTGCCAAAAAAAGCCAATCCCCAAGGCCCCTTTCTATTGAGAGTTTCAACTCTTATTGAAAAAAATCCATTTTTGAAAATTAAATACTAAAAACCTTTTCATTAACCTATCAAATATTTAAAGTAGACTGTACTTAATAGTTGAAGGCATTTGAGCTCATGAAAACAAAGATTTCATGAATTAAACATAGTGAAGATTTGGGGGGAATATTGATAACTATGCCCAGGCAATCATACAGAATTAAATGTGTTTGTCTGGAAAATATGGATGAATTGAAATATGGCCTACCCCCAAGTTATACTACCTGAACATTTGAGATAAGAAGATGAAGATGCTGACTTTCTGTCCCTCAGGTAGGCCCCCTACGCTGCTTTGGGTGTTTTGGTCCTAGGAGTGTAACATTTTATTTCTGCCAAAACTAATCTTTCAAGGCCCCCCAATTCTTTTCAAGCATTATATGTACATCTCCAATTTCATCCTGTGCAATTATATCCACCCAGTAAGCAAAGCTACACACTACAAAGCTTGTTTGCTTTTAATCACATTAAATACTCAAACCAGCCATCCTAACAAGAAAAGAAAAAAATATTTTCCTGCATAAGCATTTTTTTAAAACCTTCAGATATCAAAATTAAAGGTAAATGCCTGTACAGTCCATTAGTACTGCTTAATTGCTTTTCCATAATGAGCAACAGAAGATTATTGCTCACCTGAGACTAATATGAATTGCAGCTGATAGATTCATAAGTTGGACTAAAGCAGGTGATGCCCACCCCAACATCATAAAATCCAAAAGACGAGAGAGAGAGAGAAAGCAAACACTTATAATATCTTTTCAATTCACAGAGTTTGTCTCATTTAATCAAAGAAAAATCAAGATCATGGGTTATAAAGTTATCCTATCTCTCCCTGTTCTTTGCCACATATAACTGCCTCTTCAGTCAATATGCCATCCGTCCATCCATCCATTCATCCATCTAGAGAAAAGTCTGTTCACCCAAGCTAAGCTGTCCATCTGTCCTCTGCATTCTGTCCCCTTTCTCTTGTACACATTAGTCCCATCAATTATATTTCATATTTTCTGTTCTTTCAAATTCTTCATCCCCACCAGCTGCCTCCTTTAAACCTACAAGTATGTTAAAAATTCCTTCACATATGCTTCTTTCTCCCTTCAAGTTAAGATAGGTCCTACAGCAACTATACCACCCTCTCTTCCTTACCCACTTTCAAGTCCAAACTTCCTAAATGGCATACAAATCTATACTTCTCCAACTTCATCTCCCTCTAGAATTTATTACAATTTGATTTATCCCACCCCAGATTCTGAAATTTCTTTGAAATGATTTTCTATTTATCAAACTCAATGTACAATGGTCTATTTTTAGTCCAGAAACTTAATGGACTTATTAAAGCATTTACCATGTTAACTCCTTTCTCCTTAAAAATGTGTCTATTTTGGCTTCTATCCTTGCTTTTGTCCCTTCTGACTGCTTCTTCAAGTTCCTGTCATCATGCCTTTAATATTGGCCTTTCTCACCAAACCATTCTTCACCCAATTTCTCTTTTTATTCAAATCATCCACTATGGGTATTTAATGTTACCACCCATAACCTACTCCTTCAGCCTCCTCTCTCCATCCACGATATCACCATCTTTCCAATCAGTTAAATTTGAGATCTCAGTGGCACCTTCAGCTTCTCCATTGACATTAACCTTTCACATCCAATATGACACAAAACATAGTGGCCTTTGAAGTCAGAAAGACCTGAGTCTGAATTACAGTCTGCCTTCAAGGAATTTAGAATTCTGTGTCTTGTGTGTGAAGGCATGCAAACATACATGGGATTAACATATACACTAATGGGTGAGTACTCACAAATTAAAGTGGGAGCCCAGGAAAAATTATGCTTCAATCTGCCTGAGAAAGGAGGCATCAGGGATATTTACCATGGAAATGTCTAATTTGGATTGAAATTTAAAGACTGCTAAGGAGTCGGATAAGTGGAAGAAAGAATGAGACAGCTGAGAGAAAAGCAGAAGTAAAGTCTAACGTCTGGGAGGGGAATGCTGCCATTAGGGGAGGGAGGCAGAAGAGACTGGAACCTCTGGCAAAGATCATACTGTGATGAGACTAATACACCAAGGGTGATGGCATTGCTGTGGTTGCTGGGAAGCCACAGAGATTTCTGAGGCAGAAGACAGTCCCATTTGCATGCCCAAAAAACCTTCATGGCTGCATATAGTTTGGATTGGAGACAATAAAGACCTGAGTAAGAGAGTTAAATCATAATATTGATTTATTCAAATAATATTAATTTATCCAGTGATATTAATGGATATCACTGGAGATAAACTCAAGGTAGGGATGAAAAAACTTAAAGTAGAAACAGGGTCTTCTTACGGCTTTGATTTTATGTAAATACTGAAGATTCTATTATTTCAACACTTTGAATAAGCATATAATTCACTGCCTCTGTCTTTCTGTTGCTTATAAGAAAGCTGCAAAAGTAAAATGTGGAAGGAAAGCAGGAGAGAGGGAGGAAATAAAGAGGGAAGAGAAATAATAGGAGGAAAGAAAATAATACGAGCAAAAAGTGCAGTGGACAAATATAGGATGCAAAACAAGGGAAAAATGGAGACGGGGGAGGGTATTCTTTTTAAATAACTGAAAAAATAATTTAAAAAACGTTTCCCCTCAAGATTTTGTGAAAAATACAACTTAATGCCATTCATGAGTTCAACACAGTTGCTTTCATCAGCCTATGTGTTATTGACATAGATACCATAAATATGCTTTCATTTTACAAGATAAGACAATAAATTCATGGGTCTGGCAGTCATGATGATTTATCCCTCAGGTTAGTTTTGCTCTTCTTTGATCATGCCACAATTGCTTAATTAACCTGCAGTTAAAAGGTTTTTAGGAAAAAATGTTCATTGTGGAAAAAATTTTCTACGTTCCAAACAATATTCGAATTACCAGTGAGAGTAGAAGCTTTCTATGAAAATCATAAGTGCCATATTAAGTATTAATGTGTTAGATGGACCACATGTGAAGGCACTGCGTTAATAGCATCACTTAACCTGAATACTTTATTCCACTACTTTAACCTTGATACTAACAGACTTAATATATTCCGCTTTTGTTTTCAATTATCTGTTATGTCCTGCAATGGGTTTATTGGAGACACTGTGAAAACCATTACGACCCCTCAAAGACATAAGGCAATTTTCTTCTCACCAGGATATTTTGAACAAATTACTCTCAGTTTTAACATGAATAAGTCTATGAATTTTAGTTCCTCAGATCTGAAATAATGGAATTCAGTTATAATTCCAACTGCAATTATCATATCATGTCAATAAATTGAGATAAAATCCTACAGAGGTGAAAGCTTTCTGTCTTTGTATGGTTTTACTTTCTCCCTTTTGCTTTTTTTCTTTTTTGGCCCCAAGCCTAGGGAGCACTTTGAAGTGTAATTATTTTGTAGGGTACTTGAAATAGTTCTACCCTTTGAAAAGAGTGTGGTAGCATATCGTCCGTGTTAGCATTACAAGGCATTGCTACAGCTTGCAATAATTAAAGGCTGTTACCGTTAAGAATTTTATGATTAGTCCTATTATGGCTCATTGAGTTTAAGTTTTGAAATTTTGTACTGAGTCCAAGATTAAAATGTTTCTTAGTCATAAAATGCATTTTAAAGATTAATTTGGACATCTCTCAAAGTCCTTTTGCTTGTTTTCCCCATCCTGGGATAACATAATGTCTTTTCACGGCGTGGTTAATGGTAATGCCAAAGGTTTAAGCCCAGTATAAGCAAATTAGCTTCTCTATTCTCATGTGAACTCCTCCTCCCACCCCAAGATGTTCCCAGGAAAGGAACCTCTTCATAAAATAAGCTTTAGACTCAACTCAGCTGCCAAAGCAGGGCCATAAGTATAGTGTATCCAATACTGGAAGGCCAGTTCTAGGAGACACTGCTTCTAGAAGTCTTTTGGCTGAGAGGTATCCAAACTAAGTTGTGCTGTTACTCTGAGAAAATATAAAAAGATGTATTCAAAGAGAGTGGGCAGGATAAAAGAGACTAGGCTCTTTTTATTTCATATGATTCTTTTTCTTTCTTTACCGCTTGTTTTAAATTAGATTTTTGTATTTTTATATGTACTAAAAATGAGTTATGGGAATTGTAGAACTATAGATAAGAAAACTGGGGCTTAGAAAAATAAAGTAGCTTAACCATGGCCACAAGGCCAGTGATAGGCCAAATGAGTATGACACAGGCCTATGACTTTGCATCCCCTGATGTTAAAACCACTCAATCCTGCAGAAAATCCCGTCTTTCCCTCCTGGATGACTCCCTGCTTCCAGACTCATGCCCTCCAGGATCTTTTCTACACAGTGCAGAGCTCTTTCTAAAGCCCACCTCTGAAAATCTTACTCCCCTGATTTTAACCTGACACTCCCAAATTAAGAATGTAGATTAACCACTTGTGTTTATTTTCTCTCCTTGCAGATCTAATTAAAATTCAGTAGTGAAACAAAACACCATAAACCAACAAAGACAGTAAGAGAGGGACCTTCGGCAGATGAGAAATATCCACAAGTTCCTGAAAGATGCAAACGAGGCACAGAGGTGGTGAATGATAATAGCCTAAAGCATTAGCCAAATTACCTTATAAGACCCCAGCTGACAGACCACTTAAGGATTGGGACATCCTAAAAATGTGAGAACGCTAAAGTAGAAAAAAGCAAAAAGAGTAGAACGCTCTTTAAAGAAGGAAATATTCTTACAGTCAGGATTTGGTCGTATAATTAATATGTACATATTCTTCATGTTGTAAACATAATTGACATCACCAAAGATGATTTTATTATTGGAAAGGCAGAGCATGATGGAAGAGATCTACATTCTTCCTATTGTTAAAGAAAAATAAAAGTGAAGGCCACAGTTTAGACATAATTCGAGGCCAACAGCCCAATAACCACACCACCAAAATTGAAGTCATCCTAATTTCCCCCAAATGCTAGCTCTAATCGTAAATGAAACACAAAACATAAGCTTTATGTCCTTGTCAGCATGATTCAGTAAAATTAAACCAATCAACTATAGAAAAATCAGCTTAAAAGGCTCTGCTTGCCTTAAAAAGAATATTAATGCATAACAGCCAATCACAAAAAGGTCAAGATACTTCCTCCTTTATGCTCCATAAACTGAGCTGGAACTGCTGGAAGGTCATCTTCCTACCACTTGGATTGAAGTCTCCCTCATCATGATCTGTACTTTCTCTTTTTGTATAACAATAAACTTTAAAAATTCTTCTAATTTGGTGTGATTTTATTTTTGACACTATCATAGCAGGAAGGTAATTGATTTCAAAATTTACAAGTCAAGAAATGGCGATAAAAGCATATTATTTAGAGACGTGGAGGTAACTATCAAAGAACAACTGGGACTGAAGGATAGCGAGAGAGTTAACTTTTATTATAACCCTTTAACATTATTGGATTTTTTTTTTTTTTAAAGACAGAGTTTCACTCCTGTTGCCCAGGCTGGAGTGCAATGTCGCCATCTCGGCTCACGGCAACCTCCGCCTCCCGGGTTCAAGCGATTCTCCTGCCTCAGCCTCTTGAGTAGCTGGGATTACTGGCATGTGCCACCACGCCCAGCTAATTTTGTGTTTGTAGTAGAGACGGGGTTTCTCCATGTTGGTCAGGCTGGTCTCGAACTCCTGACCTCAGGTAATCCACCTGCCTTGGCCTCCCAAAGTGCTGGGATTACAGGTGGCAGCCACCGCGCCCGGCCTTATTATTGCATTTTCAAAACCAAGACATTGTTACTTCTAAAACAGGAATAAAAGCTAAGAAAAATTTTTAAAAAGCTCATGTTCTTCACAGGCACTACAGCAAGATGCCTGAGAAATAAAGCAAGTCCTACATGAAAGATTCATTTGCGTTTCCTCCCATTCTTCCCATATTTCACTCCTGTGTTCAACTATGCCAGAAACAGAAAACTAATGTTCTGGGACGCAAAACTCAAAACTCCTGCTGCTATGATTGTTTTGTTGTTCTTTTCTTTTGTAGTTATGATAAAATGTGAGAACATACAATCACAGCCCTCAAAAACACTACATGAAGGTAAACAAAATATTTCAGTATGAGTAGATGGACATTACGTCTAAATTCATTTGTTGTGAACTTTCTTCTTTCCATCAAGATGTTAAAAGTCCAATAGGATGATCGAGAGAAGAGCTTTAACCACAGAAGATAAAGGACAGGTAGGAAAGGAGGGTGGGGAATGAAAATACAGCCAGTCTGGAAGGGAAGAGCCCAAAATCCTGTGCTTTAAGAAGAGAGTAGGGTGGAAGTGGAGAGCCACATGCAGCTCTGGGACCCTAAGAGAATGGGCATGATCATAAAGCTGGCACAGTTCTTGCCCCCCCCCCGCCCCCCAAAAGAAGAGAGAGATGGTTACATGAGGAGTATTCTATTTCTTCCTTTTTTTCTTCAGCTTTATACTTGAAATTTGCTAGGAGGGAGTTCAGTTTCTTAAAACAGGGTCTAACTCCCTCACATATAGGAGGCTCATAGAATAGCCATTCAAGTTCCTAGGCTTCAGAGTCAGTAGAACTGAGTTTAGACCATCCCTTCACTTACTGTCTCTCTGAAAATTTTAGGTGACCTTGGGAGATACTCTCTGTGACTATCATAGGCAAATATTTTTCGCAAAACCTCATTTTTTCTTCTATAAAATGACGAGATAATAATAATATCTGCCTCATACAACTGCCCCACTATCTTGCTAATCAGATCCAGATATACTAATTGAATTTTTCTATCAAAAATATTATCAGATAGCTTAATTTCTGTGGAGCTGAACCTAGATTGGGTTATAAAATTAGTTTGTTTTGAAAACTGTGTTAACACTTTCAGGTCTGTAAAATGTTTGCTTGTATCTAGCAAAGAATAGCACAATGGTCATCACGTCAAAATTATTTTTAGAGCTGGAAGCAGAGGCTCACGTTTATAATCCCAGCACTTTAGGAGGCTGAGGAGGGAGGATCGTTTAAGCCCAGGAGTTCAAGACCTACCTGGGCAACACAGGGAGAACTCATCTCTACAAAAATTAAAAAAAAAAAAAAATAGCCAGGCATGGTGGCATGTGCCTGTGGTCTCAGCTACTCAGGAGGCTGAGGTGGGAGGATTACCGGGAGGTCAAGGCTGCAGTGAGTTGTAATTGCACCACTGCACTCCACGTGGGCAACAGAGCAAGACCCTGTCTCAAAACAAACAGAAAACCTTCTTCTTAGAAGGCCTATGAAATTTAAAATCCATACTAACAGTCAGTATTAGCCTGAACTTATATACAACCCCCATCAGAAAAGAAAGAAGAGAAACATGGAGAGAGAAAGATTGAGAGAGAAAGAAAGACACAAAGCTAGTCTATTAAAGCAGTGACTGCTATCCAAGCAGTTCTATTGCTGATCACCAGGGAAGGTGGAGCAGCTGGCCCTGCTTAGCCTCTGTAGTGAATTAAATCCATCTGTTAGAGCTCTAACTAGCTTGATGAGATTTTAGACTCTTTCTATCCCACTACCACCCCTGTAATTCATACTGATCAAATTCCCAATCAAAAAATTATGAATTCATACCAGCTGACATTCAGAATTCAAATACTATAAAAAGTTATTTATTCTGGCTTCAAGACAAAAGACTAAATAAGGCTTAGAATGTTATAATTATACTTCAAATGTCATTTTTAGATATACAGAAAAGTAGTCATTCTTAGAGTGGTTAATGCACCAAACCAGGCTATACTCCATGACATTTTATGTAAATTGTAACAAGAAAACAACAGAGATGGATGACACTCTAAAACACTGCTGAAACTGTATCAATAAAAAACATATCAAAGAAGTTATATTTTCTGCCAAACATATAAAGATAGTAGCACCCCACTAATTAGACCATATAAACTTGAAGAATTCTTCCAGATATAAAAGGCTCTTATCTGTACATAATGGCATTTTTAGCTGAGGGGCCCAGTGGGTTTCTCTGGTCATTAATCCAGAGTAGAGCTAGAATAAGCCTCAGCAAATGAGTCTTCTGCAACACCCTTATGTTCAATCAGATCTGAAACTTTTAGAATTATATGGTATATTGGGATGATGGTATTATCTTTGCCCAGACCAGTTGTCTAAAAATCTTATAAATGGGGTTTAAATTTTTAATGTTAAAAGCCCAGGGATAAATGGAATCCTTAAGCATCCTAGAAGATCTGGTCTGCAAAATAAAATGTTGAGCTTTTGTATAGACTAGGGTCATGGAGGGTAAAATACTTGAAAAAGAAAAGAACACAATATATGTTAAGATCTAAAAAATCAGTGCAATTATTCTCTTCATAGGTAGAGAAACATAAAAAATTATAGTCAGGTCTTCAAGGGAGTCATATATACAATGAGTTCACTCAGCACAAATGGTCAAGAAAAGAAAAATTTTCATGCTCTCTGTATTTAGAAAATGGGTTAGCTATATTCCAGTATTAAAAATCAAGCAGGCCGGGCACGGTGGCTCATGCCTGTAATCCCAGTAGTTTAGGAGGCCGAGGCAGGCAGATCACGAGGTCAGGAGATTGAGACCATCCTGGCCAACATGGTGAAACTCCGTCTCTACTAAAAATACAAAAATTAGCTGGGCATGGTAGCTTGTGCCTGTAATCCCAGCTACTTGGGAGGCTGAGGCAGGAGAATTGCTTGAACCTGGGAGGCTGAGGTTGCAGTGAGTTGAGATCGTGCCCTTGCACTCTAGCCTGGTGACATAGCAAGACTCCGTCCAAAAAAAAAAAAAACAAAAACTGCACCTAAACAAAGAAGCCAAAGAAGCACACATTAGCAGCCAAAGACAAGGTTATCAAATTCAAGAAGAAATTTGGCATTTAAATATGGGGATAAGTATGACTAAGGTATGAGCTAAAATCATGGTTGGTAGTCTAGGTCTGTTGTTAGCAATAAATTTAGTTTCATGTTATTTGTGGGAATGCTGGGCATTAAAAATGCACCTCTCATTGCTCAATGGCTTTTCAAACTACATGAAGACCAATTTGATTTTCTTGCGATCATGATGAGTCCCACGCAGTGTATAGCTCATTGGTCCCTCTCTTTGGAGCCCTTAAAAGTCACTTCCAAAAATCATTTTTCTTTTGAATATTTACAAATCTATATGTTAAAGAAATCAACTTCCATATGTTTTTCTTCATGCATAAATTTATTAGAGACTAAAAATTTCTTTCAAAATTTGATTTAAACTCCCAATCTTCTTTAAAATCCTGGTTAGATAACCAACTTCCTTAAAATTTGGTGGCAGGTATAGTAATAATCAACTTTGCTCTCTTTGTTCCCAAATCAGCCCTCATTTATCAGCAAAGAGGTTGTCCTCTGTGGGCCTTTGTCAGCTGCACTCTCACCCCAGCAGAAATGGGTCTTTCCCTCTGGCTCCATCATCAATTGCTCACCGTTATTTTCTGGCACACCCACATCCCTCTACATGCAGTATCCATCACTCGCCTGCTTGAAGCTCAGACTGATACTCTGTCCTTCCCCAGCTCTGCCCTGCCAAGCAGGGACACTGCATCATCCCCCCACTCTCTCTTCCACTGGCTTCCAGGTAGGCTCAGCCAGTGGAAGACACTGGAGAATGACTGGAGTGTGGGAGAGGGGAGAGGCCAGGGCATTGCTCCCTCTGCCTCAGGGAAGGGTGGCAAGCCCTCCACAGCAGCTGCATCTTCTCTGTGTTCACACAGTTAGTTGGATGGCTTCTCCCTCCCTACATGGCTAAGCACCTTTCAGACAGCCCTCACCATGGGTGCAGCTCCATTAAACTGCTGCAATTGTGGGTTCTGTCACATCACGTCTTCCTGTGTCTCTCCCTTCGTAGTAGTGGTAGTGCTTCCTATTGTTGCTAAACTGTAGGTTGCCTTACCATTTCATGTTTGGCTTTCCAGCTCTTCTAACACCCATGTAAATAACTTTCTTCATTGAATCCCCTCTGTTAGAAATACTTAGAATGGTTTCTGGTTTCCTGACTGTATCCTGTCTGACATGTGAAGCTGTGTTTCCCTTCTTGGCTGTGAGCTCCTAGAAGCCAGTGGCTTTACTAATGTCTTTGATCTGCCATTCTGTCTCCAGTGTGATCTCTCTATAATCTATTTGCACAGAGATACCAGTATTATCTTTCTAAAGTAAAGATATTATCAATTAATAATTTTTAAAGAAATCTTCACTGGTTCCCTATTGACCATGACATTTTTCAAAATATTTTTCCTATTTCTCAACCTGTTCTGTAATGAATTATAAACTGACAAAATGTATTTTTAAAAACAAAAAAATGACTATAAATTAATCATCACTATAGAAAAAGTAAATACATGGATTACACTAGACAGAAAGTTGGGATACAGACATACAGTTATGAAATTTGGCTCCACTTTGGCAGCCATAAAAGGGAGACAATCAATTACATGACTGTCTTTCAGAGGGACAGCAAAGTGTTCTTGGCACTTCTCTGATGGAAATTGCTCACCTTATCAGAAGTAAGGGGAAGTCAAGCAAATAGGACTTAAAAATTTCATGTAAAGAACGGGTTCAAAGTTATTTGAAAATCACAGTTCATGAGGGTGGATGAATTGCTTACTATTCAAACAATCTTTCATAGTTTCTATTGGCCTCTAAAATTTTAACTAATGTGAACAGAGAAAAGTTGACTTGGCATAGTTACTAATGTTAAGAACAGATGCATGTTGTTTAAAGACAGAATAAACAGATAAGGCTGAATGACATTACTTGATTTAAAATGGGGCATTTGACTATGACTCCCTCTTGAATATGTGGTCTTTCTATATCATCACCGAAATGGCCAAAGGAATGCCTTCAGGCAAGACCAAGATATTCCCCCCAAATTAACAAATACATTACATAAAAAGAGTCCTGGCCAGGTGCAGTGGCTCATGTCTATAATCCCAGGGCTTTGGGAGGCTGAGGCAGGAGGATCACTTGAGGCCAAGAGCTGGAGACCAGACTGAGCAACATAGCAAGACCTCGTCTCTACAGAAATCAAAAAGTTAGCCAGGCATAACGGCATGTGCCTGCAATCCTAGCTACTTGGCAGGCTTAGGCTGGAGGATCACTTGAGCCCAGGAGTTCAAGGCTACAGTAATCAATGATGACACTACTCCACTCCAGCCTGGGTGACAGAGCAAGACCCAGTCTCTAAAAAGAAATAATAAATAAATAATTTAAAAAGAGTCTTAGGTCTGTTCCAGCCATGAAGAAATAATTGATCAAATTCTCAAAACTCCGTTCTACAGTGAGTAGCCCACAAGATTATCCAAGTAGGATTAATAAATTTTCTGCTAACACCATAGAAAATAAGTCTCACATTTTCTTCAATAAATATCTACTTAGGTGAGAAAATTTCCTGTTGAAATTCCAGGAAGAATTAACAAGAAAATATACTTCTTAACAAGCAAACCAAATGATTTGCTATATTTAGGGTTTTATTTATTTTTAATATAAATTGATTAAATTGTAGAGACTTCTGCCAAATGTAATGTACCCAGCTTTAGAATAATGGATTTTAAGCCATTCCTCCTAAAAACTGTGTTATAGTAAAATCCATTGTGTTGAATCTAATTCTGGCTTGAAAAGTAAAAAATAAAAGCATAAGGGAATTTTTTAATTGCCCAAAGTTAATGAGTGTGTTCGGAAAAGAACACTTTCATATCCAACTGGTAGACATGACAGTAATAAAACCTCTCTGCTGAGTTATTTATCAATGGATATCAGAAGTCTTAATATATGTATGTACCTTTTGATTGAATAAGATCAATTCTAGGAATTTGTTTTAGGGAAATACTTATGGAATTGTACAACATTTCTACACAGATGTTCATCACAGCATTGCTTCCAGAACTAACATTTTGGAAATGAGCCAAAATAAAGTTATTAAATAAATGATCATACATTCCCACAATAGAATGTAATGTAGCTTTTAAAGTTACATAGTGAAATAATTGAATCCTATTGAAACTAGCTCTCAGTACATTACAGAAAGACACTTTTGATAAAGAGACTTCCAGTAAAAAATGGCAGTGGCAGATTGAACACTACATTTGAATCCACTCTTTGTTGAAAGTTTAATACAATAGTAAAGGGGTTTTTTAAAGGAATGAACCCACAAAGACAAAGGCAAGATGAAAGGAAACAGGAATAACATTAGTTTAAATGTCGGAAAGCAGATGGACATGTAGCCATTGACTTAGAAGATCCAAGAAAAGCTGAGCTCTAAGTCAGCAATGGGAAGAACCAATAAGCAACTTGCTTTCCATTCTATTCCAAAACTTGTAAAAGCCTCAGAAATTAATGGCATCAGGTACTTAAGAAAATGGTTGTAAAGGAGACATTAAACATAAAGTTTGAAAGTTGAGTTAAGAAGCAGTTAGGGAAAAATGTTTAATAACAAAGTAGAAAAGGAAAGCAATCAGAGGCAAAGCACCAAGCTTTATAAAGATGCAAATTTTTTTCTAAAATTTTTTTATTCCTTTTATTTTTCTTCTAAAAAAAGCTAAAAATATGCATTTTAAAAAAAGTATTAGAAGTCATTAGATATCTAGAGACTATTTCAGATCCATGCAGCCAGCAACTACTCTTCTCCTACCCAAGAGAGGACTGGGGACTTATCCTCTGGAGAGTAAACAACATCTCTGGCACAGTTGAGGGTAAGGGAACTATGTTGAAAAGATTAAGTGAAGGTTTATATAATGAACACAGAAATTAAGCCTAAAACTTATAAGAAAGTACAAGGAAGCCCAAATACCCATAACAATCTTTAAGAACAAAGTTGTGGGACTCACACTTTCTGATTTCAAAACCTATTACAAAGCTACAGTAATCAACACACACACATGCACACATATATATTTGTGTATATATAATTGAGAATCAATGTATCTATTGTCAATCAGTTTTCAACAAGGGTATCAAGATCATCTCCTGGAGAAAGAATAGTCTTTGGGAAAATGGTGCTGGGCTAAATGAAACTCTACATTCAAAAGAATGAATTTGGACTCTTACCTTATAACACATGCAAAAATTAATTCAAACTGGATTAAAGATCTAGATGTAAGTGCCAAAGCTATGAAACCTTTAGAAAAGTTAACACAGGTGTAAATTTTCTTAACTTGAATAAGACAACATTTTCTTAAATATGACACCAAAAACATAAGCAACCAAAGGAAAAAATAAATAAATTGAACTGCCTCAAAATAAAACTTTAGTATTTCAAGGGGCACAATCAAGAAAGTGAAAATTCAGTCCACTGAAAATATTTGAATACCATACATCTGTTAAGGGACTTGTATCTAGAATACATAAAGAACTCTTACAACTCAGTAATAAAAAGATAAATAACCCAGTTCAAAAATGGGCAAAGGATCTGAATAGAGATTTTTTCAAAGATGACATAGGAACGGCCAAGAGGAATGTGAAAAATGGTGTTCAACATCAATAGTTATTAGGTAAAGGCAAATCAAAGCCATAAGGAGATGCAACTTCCCATCAACTGGGATGCTTAAATAAATTTTAAGAAAGCATGATAGTGCTTTTCTAAACAAGTTTCATAAACAAGTGTCTATGAGGATGTGGAGAAATTAGAACCCTTACACATTGCTGGTGGGGATGTACAATGTTACAACCACCATGGAAAACAGTAGTTTCTTGTGGCGCTACATATGCAATTACTACGTGACTTAGTAATTGCACTCTTGGGCATTTCTCCCAGAGAAATGACAATTATGTTCATACAAAAACCTGTACCTGGGTCTTCAAAGCAGCTTCATTCATGAAAGCCCAAAACAGAAAGCATCCCAGATGTTCCTCAGTAAGGAAATGGTTAAGCAAACTGTGGTGCATACATACCATGATATCTTACTAAGCAATCAAAAGGAAGCAACTATTGATACATGCAGCAACAACTTGGATGGATCTCTAAGTAATTATGCTGAGTGAAACAAACTTACCCCAAAGGTTACATATTATATGACTCCATATTTATATAATGGTTTTGAAATGACAAAATTTTAGAAATGGAGAACAGGCTGGTGGTTGCTGAGGGTGAGGAAGAACAGGTAGGAGGGGCAGAAGGAAGAGGGTGTGGTTATAAAAGGTGTTTATGTAATCATCATAATAGAAATATTAAATTGATATAATCAAAATTAAAATATACCTAACTCAAAAGGATGGAGGAATGGAAACTGTGGATATTTAGTGGGGGGTGGGACAGAGTGAAAGAAAACTAAATCCCCAGATTTGAGAGGGATTAGTTATTTCTGTGATATTAGCCTCCATTTTCAGTAAATGTTGAGCAAGCATCTCTACCTTGTCAGGCAACATGGTAGGCTCTGGGGACATTAAGAAAAATTAGATTGGCCTCTGCCCGTAGAAGCACATAACTACTCTTCAAATGAAGAATATTTAAATACCTTCGATAAAATCTTGAATCAACCTTTGCTCATGATTACAAATGGTTCCTTCTTGTAGGAAGTGCAGCTACAAATGTTCCAAGGGATAAAGAAGAAGATATAGCTGGGGAACAGATAGCTGTGTTTTTTTGATGTCCCTGTAGACTTCACAACGAGGAGTTCTCCAAATTATTTCAGGCAGGATATATTTCCGGTTTTAAAAAGAGAAAGTCTTTCTCCTCCTAGAGACAGAGAAACAACACTGTCATAAAACACTGAGAACACATTACTTCATGTTCACCATAGAAGCACTGAAACAAAGTTTTTCTGACTATATAGGTTAAACAAAAATGACCTATTCTTCTATTCCAAATGGGAAATAATAAATGACTGATAACCAAGGTCTCAGCCAATAACCTCCTTTCAAATCAAAAGTTGATATATAATGGATCTTAGTCTCCTCAGCATATTAATAATGACTATATTACCAACATTATAATTAACGTTATATTAATAATAATTAACAATGATAACGACATGTACCATAAAATGTTTTTAAATCTTATTCTTTTCTAGATTAATTTCCTTTTTTCTCTTAGGGTCTAAATCAACTCCTCATGAATCACACCCTGCCCCACTGTCATATCAGCAATTTTAACTTAAACAGAAAATTATATTAATTGCTTTGGATCAGATCACACATTACATTCTCCCATTTATATACTCTCCTTTGACTTCTCTGACAGTGATGCTCTCAATGAATCCTTTTCATATATAATAATAGGGCTTCCTCAGCTGAGGGCATAATACCTCCTGGATCTGCCTGACTGACAGATGAAAGTTTGGCATGTTCTTAAGAGGAAATGGACATGTTAATTAGCACAGTTACTCACAAGTGCTTTGGAAACTATGCCCTAAAGTTGATGACTATACTAAACGTTGATGGGAGATTCTTAGTCTTAGAGTAAGGAGACTCTTTGAGTCATGGCACTTCTTATTAGAAATGGGGAAGTCATGTAAAAGCCCTAAATCCTTCTACCCAAGAATCTCAAATCACAGATTTTTAAGCTTTTATTTCCCACTCTGGGCCTGAAAGCTGTTAAACCAGCTGGGTAGTGCAAAGGCAATTTAGTGGAGAAAGGATCGTTTTTTCAAGAAACGGTGCTGGAACGAATGGAAATTCATATACCAAAAAAAAATGTACATCAGTCCATACCTCACGCCATATAAAAATTAACTAAAAAATAGACAATAGACCAAAATGCAATACCTAAAACTATAAACTTCCAGAAGAAAACAAAGAAAAAATATTGCTACTTTAGGCAGAGCTTTCTTAGATACAATATGAAAAGCATAATCCATAAAGAAATAAATCGATAAATTGGGCTTAAAAATAAAAACTTCTGTGTCTTAAAAATCATTGTTGAGAAAGTAAAATGCAAGCCACCAACTGGAAAAAATATTTTCAAAACATCTCCATCAAAGAACTCGTATATAGAATATATGATGAACTCTGGCAACTCAATAATAACATGGGGAAAATCCTAGTTTACATATAGGCAAAGGATTTCAACAGGTATTTCAACAAAGAAGGTATATGGATGGTGGAGAAACACATGAAAAAAATGCTCAACATCGTTGTTCATTAGAGAAATGTAAGTTAGAACCACAATAAGATACAATTGTACATACACTAGAGTGGCTAAAAGTAAAAAGATTGACCATAAGAAGTTTTAGTAAGAATGCAGAGAAATTGGCTGTCTCATACACTGCTGGTGAGAGTGTGTCATGGAATAGCCACGTTAGAAAACAGTCTATAGTGTCCTAAAATTTAACCATACACCTACCATAGCTATTCCCCTCCTAGGTATTTACCTAAGAGAAAAGAAAGCATAAGTCTTTACAAAGACTTATACATGAATGTTCATGGCAGATTTACTTGTAAGAGCCAAAACCTGTTAACAACACAAATGTCTATCAACAAGTGCATGAATAAACAAACTATGGTGTATATATATATATATACATATACACAATGGGATACAACTCAACAGTTGGTTTTTATTATGATTTTTAATTGACATGATAATTGTACATATTTATGGGGTACAGTGTGATTTTTGATACATGTATACAATGTGTAATAATCAAATCAGGGTAATTAGCATATTCATCACTGCAAACGTTTACCATATTTTGTGTTGGGAACATTCAAAATCTTCTAGCTATTTGAAAATATGTAATAAATTGTTGTTAATTATAGTCACCCTACAGTTCTATAAAATACTATTCTATCTAGCTGTAATTTTGTATCCATTAATCAACCTCTCACTATCCCCTCCTCCACTCTATGATTCCCAGCCTTTAGTAAACACTCTTCTACTCTCTACTTCTCTGAGAACAACATTGGTAGCTTGCGCTTATGAGTGAGAACACTCAATACTTTATGTGCCTGGCTTATTTCACTCAACATAAAATGCTCGGCCAGGCACAGTGGCTCAGGCTTGTAATCTCAGCATTTTTGGAGGCTGAGGCAGGCAGATCATGAGGTCAGGAGTTCGAGACCAGCCTGACCAACACAGTGAAACCCCATCTCTACTAAAAAAAAAAACAAAAAAATACAAAAATTAGCTGGGTGTGGTGGCTGGTGCCTGTAATCCCAGCAACTGGGGAGGCTGAGGCAGGAGAATCGCTTGAACCCGAGAGGCAGAGGTTGCAGTGAGCCAAGATTGCACCACTGCACTCCAGCCTGGGCGACAGAGCGAAACTCTCAAAAAAAAAAAAAAAAAGAAAGAAAGAAAAAAAAACCTCTAAGCTCATTCATGTTCCTGCAAATGACAGAATCTCATCTTTTTATAGCAGAACAGTATTATATTGTGTATATATACCATATTTTCTTTATCCATTGATGAACACTTAGTTGAATTCCATATCCTAGCTATTGTGAATAGTGCCGCAATAAACATGGGAGTGCAGATACCTCTTTGACATACCTATTTTATCTCCTTTGGATATAAACCTAGTAGGGGGCTTGAGAGGTCATGTGATAATTCTATTTTTTGTGTTTTGAGGAAACTCCATACTGTTTTCCGTAATGGCTATACTAATTTAAATTTCCACTAACAGTGTAAAAGAGTTCCCCTTTTTCTGCATGCTGAGCAGGATTTGTTATTTTTTGTCTTTTTGATAATAGGCAGTCTACCTGGATGCTATGATATCTCATTGTGGTTTCGATTTGCATTTATTTCCCTGATGATTAGTGATGGCAAGCACTTTTTCAAGAACCTGTTGGCCATGCCTATGTCTTCTTTTGCAAAATGTATATTCACCTCATTTGCCCATTTTTTAAAAACTGGATTATTTGATTTGATGTTGTTGTTGTTGTTTTGTTGTTGTTTGAGTTCCCTGTATACTCGGGATATTAATCCCTTGTTGGATGAATAGTTTGCAAATATTTTCTCTTATTCTACTGGCTGTCTTTTCATTCTGTTGATTGTTCCCTTTCCTGTGCAGAAGTTTTTAGTTTGATGTAATCCTGTTTGTTTAGTTTTGCTTTTGGTGCCTGTGCTTTTGATATTTTATCCATAAAATATTTTACCCAGAACAATATCCTGAAGACTTTCTCCCACGTGTTCTTCTGGCAGTTTTATAGTTTCAAGTCTTCCATTTTAGTCTAATTCACTCTGAGTTGATTTTTGTATATGGTGAGAGAAAGAGGTCTAGTTTCATTCTTTTGTGTATGTATATCCAGTTTTCCCAGCACCATTTATTGAAGAGACTGTCTTTTCCCCAGTGAGTACTCTTGGGTGTCTTTGTTAAATATCAGTTCCCTATAAATAGGTAAATTTATTTCTGGGTTCTGTACTCTGTACCATTGGTCTATGTGTCTGTTTTTATGCCAGTACCATGTTGTTTTGGTTCTATAGCTTTGTAATATATTTTGAAGTCAGATAGTGTGATGTCTATAGCTTTGTCCTTTTTGCTCTGGATTACCTTGGATATTCAGGGTCTTTTGTTATTGCATATGAATTTTAGGATTTTTTATCCTTTTTTTGTGAAGAATTGTATTTTGATAGGAATTGCACTGAATCTATAGATCACTTTTGGTAGTACAGGCATTTTCACAATATTAAATTCTCCAATTCATGAACATTAGGTGTATTTCCATTTGTTTGTGACCTCTTCAATTTCTTTCATCACTGTTTTGTCATTTTTCTCATAGAAATCTTTTACCTCCTTGGTAAATTTATTCCCAGGATTTTTTTGTAGCAATTGTAAATGGGATTGCTTTCTTGATTTCTTTTTCAGTGAGTTCATTATTGGTGCCTAGAAATGCTACTGATTTTTGTATGTTGATTTTGCATCCCACAACTTTACTGAATTTATCAATTCTAAGACTTTTTTGATAGAGCTTTTAGGGTTTTCTCTATATCTGATTATGTTATCTAAAAAGTGGGACAATTTGACTTCCTCCTTTCCAAATTAGATGTCCTTTCTTTCTTTTGCCTAATTGCTCTGGCTAGGACTTCCAGTACTATGTTGAGTAAGAGCAGTGAGAATGATTGCCTTGTCTTGTTTCAGTTCTTAAAGGTAAAACTCACCTTTTTGCCATTCAGTATGATACTTACTTTATTGTGTTGAGGTATGTTCTTTCTGTACTTACTTTGTTGAGAGCTTTTATCATGAAGGGAAGTTAAATTTTATCAAATGTTTTTCCTGCATCTATTGGGATGATCACATAGATTTTGTCCTTCATTCTGTTGATATGATTTATCCCATTTTTTGATTTGCTTATGTTGAACTATCCTTGTATCCCTGGGCCAAATCCTACTTAAGCACGGTGAACGACTTATCTTATTTTATTTATTTATTTTTTTTTTTTTGAGACGGAGTTTCGCTCTGTTGCCCAGAGTGGAGTTCAGTGGTGCTATCTCAGCTCACTGCAACCTCTGCTTCCAGGGTTCAAGTGATTCTCCTGCCTCAGCCTCCCCAGTAGCTGGGAATGCAGGTATGTGCCACCACACCTGGCTCATTCCTTTATTTTTCATAGAGATGCGGTTTCACCATGTTGGCCAGGCTGGTCTCGAGCTCATGACCTCACGTGATCTGCCTGCCTTGGCCTCCTAAAGTGCTGAGATTACAGGCATGAGCCACTGGGCCTGGCCATGAAGGACATTTTTAATGTACTAGTGGATTTGATTTGCTAGTATTCTGTTGAGAATTTTTGTGTTCATCAGGGATATTAACCTGTTGTTTTCTTTTGTGTGTGTGTTCTCTTCTCTAGTTTTGATAGCAGGGTATTGCTAGCCTCATATGAGTTTGGAAGAATTCTCTCCTTTTTAATTTTCTGGTAAAGTTTGCAAAGTACTGGTACTAGTTTCTTAAATGTTTAGTAGAATTCAGCAATGAAGCCATCAACTGTAAGGAGGCTTTTCATTACTGATTGAATCTCATCACCAGTAACTTGTCTGTTCTATTTTTCTTCTTCTTTTTATGGAAAATTTTGGGAAATGTGAACTAATATACAATGACAGAAATCAGATCAGTAGTTACCTGGACATGGGTGAAGGGGTGGTACAGGAGGTAATCAGTGGTTACATGGAGATGGGTGTTGGGGTTGTATAGGAGGGTCCGGTGGGGGGTATTATGAAGGGGAACAAGGAAACTTTGGGGAGTAATGGATATGTTCACTACCCTTCTCAAGGTAATTGTTTCACTGATTTACACATGTGTCAAAATTCATCAAATTGTAGACTCTACATATGTACAGTTTATTATATGTCAATTATACCTCAATAAAGCTATTTAAATAAAGGTAAGTTCACCTTTTACTAATTGTAACAGAGAGCTCTCTGGAATTTACTTTCTTTATTTGTGAATGACAATAATAGTTGAGTCCCATGTACCCTCCAGGTTACTAGAGGGATCAACTGAGATGATTTTAAAATGATCTGCAAATTGCAAAGAGCCATCCATACAAAATATACTATTTCTGTTGACATGATTATTATTAATTTCAAAAACCCTAGATGATCAACGAGCAAATCAGTGATTTCTGGTGGAAAAGAGGCATGTGGACAAATGTAAAAGGCCTGAGAAGCAGAGAATTCAGTTTGGCACACTTGAATTCTGAAGAGAGCCAGTTACCCCACCAACCTTTGACTCATATTAGTGATTTTCTGTCCTCAACTGCCAACATTAGTCCTTGCCACCTTAGCTCATTTCGATTCAAACATAAACTGCACTTTTATTTATTTCATTTCTCTTGTCTTTCTCCCAGGAGAAGTGTATAGAAGGAGTGGCCAAGACAGTTATGACAAATAAGCAGTGAAACCCAAGTGGCCTCCATGGTCCTCCCTACTACCCTGAGCCAAGTCAGTTTAGCTGAAGACCCCTGCTCTTTCAACAGTTCTCTGGCTGATACAAATTCAGAGCACTCATCAAGACTTTTGTAAATTCTCTCACAAAATCCATGCTCATGGGCTCCCCCGGCTTCTGGACCCTGGCAAGTGGATGTAGTGTTTCTGTCTATAACAACATCTCTTGAGACATTAAAGTCCCATCACTGGTTTCCACTAAAGACATAGATCTATAGGTCATGAGTTTTGTAGCTCTTATTGGAGAATTGAAGGTCAATCACAGCAATTACTTTACAGACCATAAAGCCTTTGTCGTCTATCTGTACCTCATACTTTCTCCTTGCACGGTTCTGGCAGCTCCAAAAACTTCTTTTCTAGGTAGAATAATTCTCCCTCAGAAGCCTCGAGACTCACACATGCCAAGGTCTGTGGACCTTTCTCCTACCACAGGCATAGATTGAGGAATTTTTCTAGTAAAGACAATTTCCTCCTAAGAGAATTCTGGTACCAGCTATTAAGAAAATAACTATTTTTAAATTTCAATTGTTACTGTAGGATGTTAAGGCAATTCAGAGTTAGAAATTATATAATAATGTTCCCTAGAAACATATTCAAAACAGCCTTGAGCCAAATAGAAGGATTTGAAGTTCTTTGCCCTTTTACTTACAAAGCATAGCCTCGTTCCTTTTTCCAGGTATATTTCCATTCCCTTCTAATCTATGTGCATTTCTTAACTCTCATTATTTTTCTCAGAAATGTTTAACTGAGTCTTTCATGTCTCAGGTAAGGAAGGGTAACAATTATTTAAGGTGTGACAGGTCCCATCTATATTTTTAAAGGATAATTGTGTAGAATTGGCTGCAGAGTGTTTGGCATTTTTTGGGCAAGGTACCACTCTTTCATGGGATCTGAGATTATAATTATATGAGCAATTTACCTCTTTATACATGTAAAAAACACAATGAATTGCAAGCAGCATTTTATTAGAATCATGTATCAGCCAGATTCACTCAATTATCACGTAAAAATATATGGTCAGAAAAAGGGTCATTGATGTGCATATCTTCTATATTTAGATAATTGAAGTCATATGTCTCATGACTTAAAATCAAATTAAAATATAATACCTAAAGAAAAAGGCACATTTTCCCCTAGGTACTAGCAGCCGAAGATAGGTTAGATGAATTCAAGGTGAATGAAGTTGGTACTTATTTATAGAGATGAATTTGATTTCATATTTAAGGTTATATAATAGTTTTAGAGCTAGTATTATGGTCCATAGTCTGAGGTCTGGCATTAGCAGTGAGTTTGGTCTTATGTTACTTGTTGTTTGAAGTGCGCCTGTAATTTCTCAATGCCAGTGAGCTATATGAAGGTTATATAATCTCTATTTTCCAAGTACAGAAACAAAAGTTTCAGGTTTGGTTGTGGAACTTCTCTTGAAAGTGAGCTCACACTCAAAGCCGGGTCACAGAACCGGAAATCAGAGGTCACTTCCTAAAGCCATTTTCTTTTGAATATTTGCAAATCTTGATTCAGTTCATTAATACTTTCCATATTATAACTTCCACACACTTCTTCATACATAAATTACAATTATAGACTTTACAGTCTCCTTCAAAGTCTAAATATTTGAGTTTTAGATTCTGCAAGACAAGCAAACTACTTAAAATTTAGTAACAGCTATAGCTATAATCAATTTTGCTCTCTTTGTTCCCGAATCAGCCCTCATTCATCAGTAAAGAGGTTGTCCTCTGTGGGTCTTTATCAGCTGCACTCTCACTCCGGCAAAAATGGGTCTTTCCCTCTGGCTCCCTCATCAATTGCTCATTCTCATTTTCCGGCACACCCACATCCCTTTCCATGCAGTATCCATCACTTGCCTGCTTGAGGCTCATACTTACACTCTGTCATTCCCCAGCTCTGCCCTGCCAAGCAGGGACACTGCATTGCCCCCACTCCCTTGTTCACTGGCTTCCAGGTAGGCTCAGCCAGTGGGAGACACTGGAGAATGACTGGAGTGTGGGAGAGGGGAGAAGCCAGGGCATTGCTTTCTCCCTTGCTCTGCCTCAAGGCAGGGCGGCAAGCTCACCACAGCAGCAGCATCTTCTCTGCGGTCACGCAATTAGTCAGATGGCTTCTCCCTCCCTGCATGGCTAAGCACCTTCCAGACAGCCCTTACTGTGGGTGAAGCTCCAGCTAAATTGTCCCAGTTTCTAGGCTCTGGTATCCCCATGAGTAAATGAGTATCTGAGTACATAGCCCCGAGGTTTGAACAAATAGAAATCCCTTAAAAATGAATGCTTAAAGTTAATATCATCAGTTATGTCTTGTTAATAGCATATACCGTTGGTAGGGGGTGATGAGAATGGTACTTTACTCATGTGGTCTTTCTCCCCCAAACCTGCAACCCCAGTCTAATCATGGGAAAAACATCATACATTCCCAGTTTGGAGGATATTCTACAAAATACTTGAGCAGCACTTCTCCCAAATTAATGATCTAAATATTTTTGCAATAATATTTCCTATTTTATTCCTTAAAAACAGTGAGAATGTAATGAAGGCTTAGTTATAGTGAAAATTGAAAGATGTATTGAAAATACTATACTTAATATCTTAAAGTCTTGTTGATTTGGACCTCACTAATACATACAAACATTCACACCCATGTAACATACATAATTTATACCTATGTGTGTTTTGGGGTAGGACTACTTTGTTTCTGCTTTCAAAAGCCAAATAAAATGTCATGTGTAGTTTGATCTCAACACAACATAAATAATATAACATTTCAATAATATAATATTCAATAATATAATAAAAATATTAATTATATATATCTTTTATTCCACCCTATTATATATTTTCCCCAAACTTAATTCTCTCCTCCAAACTACAACTAACAAACTATTCAAAAGACAGATTGCGTGTATTACTTCCATATCTTTACTCTCCACTCATCTCAACCTTTAGCACCTAAGATGGAAGGCACATTTTTTTATAATGTAATCTTAGAACTGGCATCCCGCCACTTTCACCATATGCCATTGGTCACACAGATCAACCTTGATACAACTGGGGATGGGGGAGCTACAGGAAGCCAGGATCACTGGGGATCACCTGTGAGGCTGGCTACCTTGGAACAATAAGCTATTAATATTGGACTCTTTCTTCCTCCTCACTTATACATAGCACCCTGAATCCATGTGCAGTAACAGATGAGAATGGATATTGGTTTCATCACTGGAAAGAAAAGGGGATTTTTTCTTTTTGATGAGGCAGAGGGAGGAGAGAGATGAGGAAACTGGAAGAAAAAATTTGGTTCTTTGGTCGATCTAGAGTCCTGGACTGAATGTGGGTCACTAGGATGGAATTTCACACATAGGACACAATTTCACACAATGGAAGAACCCAGTTTTGAGAAAATCTTTGTGTAGTTCAGCCTAGAAGCTGAAAGAATGTCTAGCCCCTTTGTGAAATTCCATACAAAAGAAGAAATGCATTAAGGTCTGGAGGACAAAGAATAGCAGAAGTTTGACATAAAACTGGCTCTCACCTGTGGAACTAGGGCCACTCCAGTCTCTGAGCCTCTAGGATCAGAACATTTGACATTCTGTGGAATTCCTCCTTCAGAGACTCCCAGAAAACACTCCCATAGTGATCCCCATTTAAGAGGAAGAGATAAGTCTCTGTAACAAAGACATAAATGTAAACGTGAATTGATTTTGTAGGCTCAGGTAGGTGAGGTCAAGCTACCAATCTCTATCTTGGGACTCTCATTTACTTTGTAAAATTCCAGACCATATGTATACAGGTGACTTTTGAATACATATCTTTAGTCTTAGTCTGTCTTCTAATCCTCAGAGCAGCATGTTAAAAAGCTGAACATTTGTGTCTACTTCCCAGTGGCCCCTCAAACACATGACAAGAATCAATATTTGCTTCTCTTCCTAACATTTTTATTTCTATTAATAATACTTTTACTCTCCTAGTCAATTTTAAAATTTTAACCTATTACAACTCCCTTTCTACCCAAACTCCCTTGGATCCATAAGGGTGATTCTGGCTGTTAGGAACAGAAACTGTATCCAAAATGGACTCAAACCATAGGAAATTGTTATCTTGCCTAACTGCAAGTCCAGAGGCAGTATGGAAGCTAAGAGAGAAGAAGGAAGGAGGAGTTTCTAATCAACAGACCAATGCCGTCAACTATGGCTTGGGTTACTTCAACCCCTGTGCTCTGCTGTTTCAGCCTAAGTCTAGGTCTCTTTATGGTCACATGATGCTTAAAGTGACAATTAGGACAACACTCCTAGTTCCAGCCGGAGGAAGAAATCATGTTCCCATTGGGTTATAAATACTTCCCTTCCATCTGACTGGGCCAATTTTGCTTGCAAGACTGCCTATGAATTCTAAAGAGTTTTCAGGTAAAGGCTATGCAGTGGTTTACTTAAACTAATGAGAATCCATCCCAGGAGAAGACAGGTAGAGTCATATTTTCCCCAGGCTGTGTAAGAGACACTTGGATGCCTAAATACAGCCATGCTTCTATGAGGAAGAAGATGTGAATGGATCCCAACTCAATCAGAATGATCAACAGGATGACAGATATCATAGTCAGATTGACCTCACATTATCTCCCTAAAGTGCAAATCTGATAATGTCACTATGATTCTTTGTTGTCTTATAAACAACAGTTAAAATGATTTTATACTGAATATACATTTCCTTTATACTCTGGTCCTAACACAACCTTAAAGCATGAATATTCCTTATACTCCAGACAGTCCAGGCCATTCACCATTCCTCTAATAATGCTGCACTCCATCTCATGTTCCTGGTTTTGTGGACATTAATATTTCCATTGGGGATTTCCACCAACCCTTGTTTCCATCAGCTAAGCTATTGCTTATACATCTATGGCAGTAGCTCTCAAAATTAGCTAGATATTACGATCACCTGGGAGATTTTTAAAAATTATCTATGCCTGGGATCCATAGAGTTTCTGATTTAATTGATCTGGGGAAGGGCAAAGACACTATTTTTTGTTTGTTTTGTTGTGTTTTGAGTTTTTAAATTTTGGTTTTTGATTTAAACCTCTCAAGGTGATTCTAATGTTCAGCCAGGATTGAGGACTACTGCTCCAGAACAATGACTCATCCTTTCACCCACACAGCTGAAGGTAAATCTCTTCTGCTCTTACGCCTCTGCAGCATTTGCATCACTGTCTCTTACTGACTTCTGTTGTAGTTACATGTGTGCCTCACTCAACAATGTTCCCAGATTGTATGCAAATTCTTTGGGGACAAGGTCCCTGCGATATTACATACCACATGGTCTAGCATATAGTAGGTAATAAAAATCAATTCATGAAAACGTAAGTACAAAAACACAGAAATATTTAAAATAAAATAATACTTTCCAATAATAGAATAAAGATGTACACTTTGTACCATGCAATGCTTTGTCAGACTGTCAGAAATTCAAAATAATTTGTCACCACCTCTGGGACCTCACTAAAGAATAATAATGATGAAAGGGACTTTGCTGATATATACAAATTAAACCTTGCTTAACTGTTGTCACACTCAATAGAATCCGTAGATACAAAAGGACTTCTAACTTCAAACCATAAGAACCAATTCTCATCAGTATATCCATCTAAACATAGTTTTTTAATCCAAAGATTCTTAAAGAAACACAAAGTATTAAATATTCACTCTGTGTTCAGTTCTTTGCAAATCCCATTCAAACATTGTCTCATTTAATTCTCAGAACAATCCTATGAGGGATGTAATATCATCACTTGGTTTACAAATGGGGAAATTGAAAAGATAAGAAATGTGCATAGGGTTACACAGTTGGTAAATGGCAGACTTGGGATTCAAACCCAAGTCTGTCTGATTCCAAAACCCAAACCCTACTTTCTCCACCAGAAAATGCTCCTGAATGTTCAAAATTCTTCATGTGAAACACAGGCTCTTCTGAACAACTTATCAGTCTTTTTTTTTTTCAAAATGACCTACAATGACAAACCAAATTAATTATCTCTAATACAAATGACTTCTTAAAACAAAGACTTGATATCCAATAATTTTTGAATTCGGGAAAAGAATTCTAGAAGCCAATCTCCATAATAGAATCCCTTCTCTCTCCCAAAATGTAATTGTGACAGTGCACTGACAGACCCAGTGAGAAGGACTGGGCCTTCAAGAATCTTCTATCAAAAGAGTAATATATAAAAGAGCTGACAGATAAGAACTACCTATCACTCTTAATATTGGTAATCCTCTTTAGGATTAGTTTGCACCCATAAAGTTCTCAAGACTTCAAACTGGGAAAAGCTTATTGAACTTTCATTTAATATATATTTTAAATAAAAATAAATCAGGTTCAGGCGATAGCTCCATGCCACCAAAGAACGAACTTTTTTTTACATAAAAACCTTGTTATATGAGATTCATGAACCCCATTCTCTTTGATAACCGCCAGCATATTTAGATAATTGATCATGTGTGCTGCCCTTGGGTTCCTAGTGACTGTCAATTAAGTTTGTTCTTAATGTTGCTGCATGGAAATGGCTACAAGCAAAGACAGATGACACTGCTGCTTTAGGGTGATAGGATTTGAAAAATATCATGACAAATGCTTCTGGCAACTCAACAGCAGAATATTCAGATGTAAATTCCACTTTACATCAACAGTGTCATATTTATATTTGACAGCCCTGATTGCCTACTAGGGAGGTCCTTTTTAGAGATTAGGTTGAATAAAATGCTGGCTTTTAAATTAAAATATTAATCATTAGGAATGGCAGCAGTTACTTGATTACTTCATTGAAGTTTTGTGGAAGTTTCTTTTTTTTAAGGAAAGTAAGTTGATTTGAGAGAAGCAGAATGATAGTGAAAGACATGTTGTCTTTTTGGATTTAAGGATACCTGAAAGTGGTAGCCACTTCATTATTTTATTGAGTTGTTGCCTCATTAACGGGATGCATCTATCATGTCTATTCCTGTTTCAAGTGACTGAATCCCCAAGTGAATGAACTAAAGTAGACAATGGGAAATTTATTGGCTCATATAACCCATCTGCTGAAAAGGCAGAAGTGGACCTGACCTCTGAGGCTGAAACCAAGGACTCAAACCCTTTTATCTGAACGCTCGACCTCTTGCATTTTTTCATCAGCTTCCTTTCCTCAGATCATATTCTCCATGTAGCAAAAGACATCATTCTGGGTTTATCTGGGTTCATACCCCTAGGACATATGACCAGAGAAGAAAAAAGGCTCTCTTTTCACATCTTGAATTTGAAAAGTCCCCACATAGGAATTGGATTGTCCTGGGTTGGATGACCTGCCCATCACATAGATCAGTCACAAGAACAAGGACTAAAAATTTATGTAGACCCTTCCCACCACCAGTAGCTAGGAAAACAGTTTCTGTTGTCAGAACAGAGAGAGGTCTGGATAGACAAAACAAGAGCTATTCTGTAGAATAAAGATGATTGAGGCAGTGCAAAAAAAAAAAAAATCTTACCATCTTGTCATATTGCTTATGATCATGCTGAACAAATTTTTTGATATAGTAATAGGCTTTTTTTTCTTTGTTGGTGCTTATGTTAGATTGAGTTGAGTGATTTACAAGTTCATTCTTGCCTATCTTAAGTGAGGGACACTACTTTTAGGTAAGCTAAAGGAATATAGGATCTTCAGTTTTTCCTTTTTGAATGTAATGTGTATTCGAGATTACTGTTGTCCTAATTAGAATTATTTTCCAACCAACAAGGGAAAACTACCATCTTAACAACTTCATAATGGTTATTTTCCATCCATGGGGCGCCACATTAAAATTTTAAAGATATTCTTCGTACAGATTGTAGCCAGGTTGCATGCATTAAACTACTGCTCAGGCAAGTAACACGTGTTTGGGATAATTATGCTGTTTTCCCTATTTATTTATGAAGTGTCACATTAAAGTTTAAACCAAGATTTATCATTGAGTGTAGATATCCCATGCATAGCAAACAGCAGTCACCTCTTCTTTCTGGTTGTTGAGTGTTAAATTCAGCTTTCAAAACCAGCTGTTTAGTATTTAAAGAGAAAGTAAACCAAATTAAACATCAAAGAGCTTGAAAAGAATATAACATACTCAGGCAAACAGTCAGCTTGAGGCGTCCTATTTCATTGAATAGTTAATAGAAGAATTGCATAAATTATTCATGATAAAAAGTAGACTCTGCTTTCACTGTATTTCTACATCTTAGCATTTCTAACGCTGATTTTTCTAATGCAAACTTTCTGGGTGGCTGGATTCTGCAATAATTCTTGAATCCACTGACATATCAGTTTGTAAAATTATGTGAAAATGAAGAGTAAAAAACAATTCAAAATTTAGATCCTTAAGATGCTAAAATACTCTATTTCATCCTTCACTAAATCTGCCATATCACCTGTTTCTCTTGGTCAAAACATGTGATATGTGCAAAACTAAGCCGGCTCCTTAGAAAATCAAGCTAGAAAGAAAGAGGAGGTATCTGGAGTTGGGTCAGGTTTCAGGGAAGGGAAGTGAGTCTTGATTCTCCTCCCCAGCGACAGGGATGTTTTGGAAGTGCAGGTAATCATGCAAGCTCATGATGCAAGGGAACATGGGGTACCACACACAGGTTTGGCCCAGGAAGATGCTATCCAAATGTGAATTTGAACTTAACAGCTGCAACTTGCCTCCCAAGTTCCAGGCTCATTTATTCAACTGCTTGCTTCTTTCAACAAGTATGTACTGATGACGAGCAATGTGCCAAGAGGACGTGAGGGTGAAGAAAACAGACCCGCAGGATGCTGAGGGTCTAGCAGGAGCAAGAGGACGTGAGGGTGAAGAAAACAGACCCGCAGGATGCTGAGGGTCTAGCAGGAGCAAGATAGATGAATCAAAATAGTCACATAAATGTCAGAAGGGCTCTGAAGAAAAACAACAAAACAAAACAAAATGGGATAGTGAGGGAGCACTGAACAAAAGCACCTGGGCAGAGTGGCCAGACAAGGAAAGCATCCCTGAGAAGGGATTTCAGCTGAGAACCAAAAGATGAGGAAGAATTCCCAAAGCTAAGTGGGAGGGAAAAGAAAGATCACTCTTGTGAGAGGAAGGAGAGAACAGAGCACTTTGAGGGAGTCCAGATGCCACCAGTGTGACTATGGCATCTCCTGGGAAGAACAATGTTAAATGAGAATATGGAGAGAGCTTCCAGGGTTGGACCACACTGGTTCTGTAAGATTTTAATCTTCGTTCTAAGAGCAAGGGGAAGCTGTTCGAGCCTTTCAAGATGGGGATGGAGGTGAGAGAGGGATGGAGAATGGCAACACGAATAGATGTGCATTTTGAAATAGAGTGACTTTGGTTGCCTCCTCAGTACTTTTCAATTATTAACAGATGCCCCATACATCCTGCTACCCAACCCAGAAGCTGAAAATCACCTCCAACCTCCACCTTTGGACTCCCTTGTTTTGGAGTCTACCTTCCAGAAAGTTGGAGTTAGTCCACTGTTCTTCCTCGGTACCCAATTCTCCTTTGCTCATGACCTCATTCCTTCTTGCCTGGATTACAAAAATGCCTCCAAAGTGGCATCCCTGCCTTCAGCTCAGCTTCTGCCTGCCTTTTGTTAGTTCTTTCACATAAATCTGATCAAGTTGCTTCCCTGCTTAAAATTCTTCATTGAGTCTGGTTCCCCTTGCGTTCAGCAAAGTTCAAATACCTTATTATGGCACACACATCTCCGTGGTGATCCTGCCCATGTTTACTCTGCTAAAATGTCAGTTCCCTAAAACCTCCATTCTAGTCCATGCCTCCACACATTTGCTTTTCTGTTTTCTCTGTTAGAAAGGTGCTGCTGGCCCAGGTTCTCTCCCCACGTAAAACAAACACACACCCTCACGTGGTTAACTCCCAGGGGACCTTCACAACTCCACTCAAGTTCTCACAGTCATTTATTGAGCAAATATTAAGGGTGCTCCTTATGTGTGTGGTGATTCTATTGTGAGCAGAGTTAACCAGCTCTTCCCTTCACATGGGCTTACAGTCTAGACCAGCATGGTACAAGAGAAATGTAATATGAAATATAAATTCAAGTTGCATATGTAATTTTATATTTTTTTAGTAACTACATTTAAAAAACAAAAAGAGATAGGTCAAATTAATTTAATGATATATTTTGTTTAACCCTTTAGATCCAAAATGGCATTATTTCTACATGCATTCGATACTCAAAATCATTAATGAGATGTTTTATACATTTTTTGCACTATGTCTTTGAATTTATATTTTACAGTTACTGCACATTTCAATTCAGACCAGCCACACTTCAAGTGCTCAAGTGGCTAGTGGCAACCAGACTGGACAGCATAGCCCTAGACAAAGTAATACATAATTACAACCTGGGCTAAGTCCTCGGGAGGTCAAGGCCAGAGATTATAAAGGTAGGGGAAGTGAATGTAAATTGGAGAGAGAGAGAGCAGAGCTCCTTTTGAAAATAACACTCCAGCTGAAACCTCAAGAACGGCTGAACATTAAGCTGGTGGAGTAGGCACCTCCCCATTGCTTTTAGAAGAAAGACTAACATTCTATGGGGCCAGTGTGGTCCATAGAGTAAAAAGTTCTCTCCATAGCCTCATTTTGCGTTGTTCTTCCAGGAGATGCCCTAGTCACACGACCATGTCTGGGCTCCTTCAGTGTGCTCTGTTCTTTCCCTCCTCTCACAGGAACGATCTTTCTTGTCCCTTCCACTTTGGCTTTGGGAATCCTTCCTTCCTCATCCTTTGGTTCTCAGCTGAAGTCACTTTCTCAGACGTTTCCCTGTCTGACCTCCCTGCCCCCAGAATTTTCTCTGCTGAGGGAGCAGCATGTGCAACAGCCCTGAGATAGGAAACAGCTCAGTGACTCAGAGAAACTGGGAGAGGACTGGCCAGGAAGGGATGCGCCAGAGGAGGAAAGATTGTAGGGGGCTTCAAGAGTCACCCAAGGGGTTGACAATGTATGCCAGATGCAGCTGGAAGCCAGAGAGAGGACTTCAGCAAGTTCACATCACTTTCATCAGGCCCCTTCTTTATGACCCTACCACATCAGCTACACAATCCAAGTCATGTCCCTCTCCTCTGGCTTCTGTATTAACCATGTTTTTGGATTCTGTATTGACTATTTGACATCCCTTATTCCTAATCTTTCCACGAGTATGCTGCATCACAGGACCAGACTAACAACCTGAGTTGTTCACATCTTCACTGAAAGCTAACTTTCATGGGTTCACAAAAAGCATGTTACAATTCCCCCAACCATTCACCATGACCTGTTTCCCCTTAGTACCTGATACAGTTTGGATTTATGTTCCTGCCCAAATCTCATGTGGAATTGTAACCTCCACTGTTGGAGGAGGGGCCTGGTGGGAGGTGATTAGATCATGGGGGTGAATTTCCCCCTTGCTGTTCTCATGATAGAGTTCTCACGAGATGTGCTTTTTTAAAAGTGTGTGGCATCTCCCCAGCTCTCTCTTCTTCTCCTTCTTCAGCCATGTGAAGTGCTGGCTCCCTCTTCACCTTCCACCATAATTGTAAGTTTCCTGAGGCCTCCTCAGATGCCAGCATTATACTTCCTGTACAGCCTCTGGATTGGTGAGCTAATTAAGCCTCTTTTCTTTATACATTACCCAGTCTCAGGTATTACTTTATAGCAGTGCGAGAATGGACTAATACAGAAAATTTATACCAAGGAGTGGGGCGGAAAGTAGGGATGTCTCTACCTAGTTGCTTCCCACCACTACGATCATAAAGGCACTATCCTAGTTTCTCTATCTGCTTCCAGCCCCCGAGTGTGACACCCAGGCATGTGGCCCTGTGTGGTGTGCTGTGCCTTTCATTTCTGAGAGAACTGTATTAAAAACTTTCTCGATATCATTGCTCAGCTACCATTATAAATTAAGACACAGGCCCAATCCAGTCTCCCATAGCTTCTCTACTGATACTAATTAGCATATGGCAATTAATTGGCTTGGTGTTAGTTTAATGTCTGTCTTCCTTACTGGTCTCTAACCTTCGTGAGACAGGAATGGCACCTTTTATCACTATTTCTCCAGCATGTAGCACAATGGGTGTTGGGTTAGGGCAGCTGGATGTCCTTCATCAGAAGAGCTCTTTCCCATTCTGTCCAGGGGAGAGGGTTCACAAGCCCATGCAGTGTGGCAGGCCCGCAAAGTTGAAGAGGGCTAGGCAGGGAAACTGAGGTTAAGACTCAGTTATGTGGACTGGACCACAGACAGGTCATGAGTAATGCAGGCTGCCTTTCAGTGAACATTCACATGCCCAGGGCCTACCACAATTGCTTGGATACTGGTTCTATAGAAAGAAGAAAAACTACCAACTCCACCTGCTACCTCGCTGTCCTGCCTCAATAAGCATGGGCTCAATTGAGGCAGCAGCTGCAGACAAAATCGTCAGTGATGCCAGCAAGAATAGGCTATGAAAGGTTTGGGACAGGGGTGCACACAGAGTCAATCTCATTCCTCTCTCTCTCTCCCTCCCTTCCTCACACAAAGTCAATTTCATTCTTCTCTCTCTCCCTCCTTCCCTTCTTCTCATTTTTCCTCACCTTTCTGATATTCAGAGGAGATAAGGATGCATTTAAAGGAAGGTATAGCAACAAGACTCTACTTACATGATACCTGGAACAAATAAATTTGACCAATTCCTACACAACCAGCTATTTTATCTCCAAAACTAAAGTAAGGAGAGAGGGTGACAATGGAAATATTCGACTCTTGAACAACTGTTTAAATGTTTATGGGTCATAAATGTTTCATATATTTAGAATGTAGAGGACTTGGTTTTGGGGCTTTCAGTTTATCTATATAGGAGACGAACTTGATGAAAATCTAAAATAACAACACCCCACTTCAAAAGACCTAAAGTTGGCCTACTATTTTGAAACCTGGTTTTCTTCTACTAGCAAAATTAATTTTTCAGAATATACTATGCAATAAAACATCATAGTGTATGTAATGAATAAACAGTGTCACTACTGGATTAACTACCCAAAGGCATAGTAGGATTTATAATTAGAGCTTCACTTTAACAACGAAGTTCAGAGGCTAGAGACACTAAAAGTACCGCATTATTTGATTTTAGATTTAAACAATGAATTATTTGAAGCTATGACAATCTCATTTATATATATGGTCCCTTCAGATCATAACTTGCTAGATCGCAATATTTAAGCATCATTCTCCTGACTGTATATCATAATTTGTTTACCTCTTTTATGTATCTAAACTTTCATTACTATGCCAGTCTCACTTTTTAAATTTAATATAT